>NC_000012.12:131318490-131620114 GCF_000001405.40 Homo sapiens | reverse complement strand
GTTTGGCTGCGGAGTCTGAGCTGGGGAACCGCTGAGCTGCTTTCTGTCTGAGGGCAGGGTTGAGCCTGGGCCTGTCCTGATGCTGCCAGCCCCTTCTTAGGGTGCTCAGGTGAGGGCGTTGGTGAAGCCCCCTTTCTGTCACTTGCCTCCAAGACAGCCCAGATGACACACATGTGGAGCAGGGGCAGAGGAGAGCTGGGCAGTGGCTGCACCAGCCAGGAAGCAGATCCTGCTCCGCCGGGATATCAGACTATGTGGGCTCTGCAGCATTCACGATCCTACACTCCCACTCTGGGGTCTGGTGAGTCCTCCCCCTGCAGCAGGAGAGCAGGCTTTCCCAGAAGGTGAGCCCCACTGCTGTCCAGATGTGTGATGGCAGCTTCCTGTGAGGAACCAGACATTGTCCAATTGTGGGGGGTCTGGCTTCTTGGAGGTTTGCAGAGTGTGGCAGGTGTGGAAAAACTTGAGGCCAAGGAAAGTCCTTTCGAACAGGATTAAGCAGGTGGCATGTTGGTTGTGGTGATTCCAGTACTGTGTGCGTGTGTGTGTGTGTGTGTGTCTGTGTGCATGCACGTGTCTGCACATATGCATTCATGTATGTATGTCTGGGTCTGCGTGCGTGGGTCTCTGTGTGTGCATGCATATGTGTATATGCATTGTGTGCCCATGTGTGTGCACATCTGTGTGCACCTGTTGAGCCAGTTCTGTGAGTCCCCCTGAGGGCCAGGAGGCCGTGGGCAGGGCTGGTCCTGGAGAGCACTTTGTTTTCTTCTCCACACACTTTGGGTTCCCCCGCTGAGTGCACCCCCTGCATTTGGCTGGCTGCTTTCACCCCAGCCCCGCTCCTCCTGTGCCCAAGAACCTCCTCCTCGTCTCCTCCTCTGTCACGCAGCTGGTGCAGCACACCAGGCCTGCACTGAAATGCATCGGGGAGCAAAAGGGAGGTGAAGTCAAACATCCCATCTGCTCCTGTCCACGTCTTCAGGGTCACTGCCAAGTTCTGACACTGCCGACTCCCCACATTGAGGGCAAACAGCCCCCCCGAATGCAAATCTCACTCCTTGTTTGCAGTCACTGAGAAATTCTTTCTGGAAGATGTTTATTGTTTCTCCTTCGCTCTGCAAAATCATCAGTGTAGAGAGGATGTCTTAGGAGTTTCCAGAATAAGGAAACGAAGGAGCAGCGACTCATGTGGGTCCTCTTGGGATGGCTGAATGGAATGCAGAGAGGGGAGGAGAGTGGAAAATAGAGCATGCATTTTGAGAAAATTTCGAGCAGTTTCTCAGAAGCCTTGAGCCTTGGAGGAGGCAGAAAGGGAAATTATTTTCAGCTTTGTGTATGCTGTTTTCCGAGGATAGCACTTGTCTATCAGAGGCTGACTTCCTGAAGACTTTATCTATCAGATTAGAAGCCTGTATGAGAGCCTAGGTAAAAATGCAAATTCCTAGGTCCCAGCCCAGACCCTGGGATCAGAATATGGAGTGTGAGAGACCCAGGTTCTTGCGTCTCTGCAGCCTCCCACGTGATTCAGATGGTCGCTAAAGTGGGAAGACCAGGCTCCTGAAAGAGCGGATGGCATCTGCGCAGTTGAAGCATCGTTTGTCCATTCACTCATTCAGCAAATGTCACTGAGTCTCTTGAGGTGCCAGCGCTGTCTCTGGTGCTGAACCAGGGCCCCGCGCTCACGGCATTCACCTTCCAGTGGAGGAGACAGCTTGTATCTGAGGGAGTCCCCCAGCAGTCAGAAGGGACACGACGGGTTAACTGAAGAGGGCTTAATAAAGGGCAGGGGTCGGGACCGAGGCTGTTTATGCCAAGATGGCAAAACCCAAGAGGTCTGTGGGTGGCGACGTCTGAGACTCTAGCGGCCGCCTGGAGCTTCCGAGGCTCACCAAGAGCAAACCTGAATTGCTTTCCAGGCCACATGTCCATGAACAGCACGTGCAGAAGCAACACCCGGAGGCCTCTCCACTCCCCAGGGGCTGGTGTGGGAGGCGGCCGTGGCACCAGGAGCTGCTGCATCCTGCAAGTGCACTGCCCGGTTATTAGTCATGGATGGCATCCAGAATTTCTCCAGCATACTTGGGCCCACCAAATAGTCACAGCAGCACAAACGGCCCAGCAAATCAGAGGCCCTGAGGGACAGGACCCAGAGCTGGGAGGGTGCACAGGACAAGCCTGGCTCCCTGCGTGCCTGGAGGGTGGCTCCCTCGCCCTGGCCACTGTAACTCCGACTGCCTGTCCTGGAACACGTGCCTGCCATGGTGTGAGGGTACACAGGGTAGCCTGAGCCCTACCTGAACTTCAGAGACCAGGGGCACGGGGGGATCCCTGGGCTGATATCAGAAACAAGGGCATCGGTGCTGGCGAGAAAGTAAGGGGAGGCCCCGGCCCCCTGCAAAGGATCCCGTGAGCCCCCAGGTAGCTGCTCCCAGGACATGGCACTTGGACCCCCTCATCCTCACAGTCTCGGACCCGACTCCTCCACGTAGCCAACACCATAGGATGTCAACAGTGTCTTTAAAGCTATGAGGCTCCCAAACAAACTCTCCTCTTCCCGCCCCAGTCGCCTCCATTCCCAGGACATACTCGGAGCTCTCAGGCAAGCGGGACTGCTGTGGTCCTCAGCCGACAGTCCCGGGGTGCAGCCAGAGACCACACTGCAGCCTCAGCCCTCTCCTGCCTGCCTCCACTCTAATCTCCACTCCGCATGGTGCTCTGTCCGACGAAGGAAGTGGCTCGCTGGTCAGGAGAAAGCCCACTCCAGGCCGTGCATTCGGGAGCTTTCCATGGAAGGAGCCGGGTACGCAGGTGGACGAGCAGGACATCAGCCAGAGGCTGGAAGACACTCCAGGGTCTTGGCAGTGGGAGCCTCCAGGGCCCTGAAGGTTTATTTGAGCCACTGTGCAAGGGGGCTGGTGCCTGGCTCCATGTGGAGACCTCCCCTTCCCCCAGGACAGAGCGAGCTCCTTCCTATGGGATTTCCAATAAAGCTCCTCACAACTTAGACGAGTTTCTAACCTAGGGGATTCATCATTTCACTAAAATGTATTTACTGAGTACCTACTGCATGCCACGTGCCATGCCCGGCATGAGAAACAGAGGAACAAGAAGGGCAGGACACATCTGAGGAGCCTGTGTCCTGGGAGGCGGACAGGGTGGGATCCAGGAGCAGGACCGGGCCTCATGACTCCTGGCTGGGAGGTGGACAGGGCGGGATCCAGGAGCGGAACGGGGCCTTGTGACTTCTGTTTGGGAGGCTTGAGCCACAGAGGAGGTTGGCGCCACCTTCTCTGGAGGGAAGGCAGAAGGACAGAAGTTTTGGAGGAATCACGAGTTTGGTTTGGGCCGATGCAGGTTCAGCAGCCATGAGGGCCCTGGATGGGTCCGTGTCTCCTCACAAAGGAGTTGTTTATGACTCCAGTTATGCACCCATGAGTAGCATGAGAGCTATACCAAGGTCTGTTTCCCGGCTACTGTGAACCTGGGGGGTTTCTGGTGAACGGAGCCCACACTGACGCGGGGCAGAAACACACGTTCCATCGTTCTGAGCTGAAAGGGGGCAGCCTGGACAGAGCACATGGTGGGGAGAAGCCGCTGTTCCCTGCTGTGCCGGGCTGGGGTGACTGGCGGTTGATAAACAGCCCCGCTCCTAACAAAGAGCCCTGGAGCGGGAGCCGGCACAGTCGACGTGCCATTTATCTTAAGGCTTTCAGGGAGGAAAAATATATTTAAAAAAAAGCTCCTGGGAAATGGACAATTATTAATGAAACTGTTTTATCAGTGACTTCACTCATTTGCCAGGCAGGGAGATGCTGACATACAAGAGTGAGGCCAGGTGGGCTTTGGAGGGGGCTGAGAAGGTGGCCAGGAGCACAGCGTGCCCTCTCAGCTGTCAGTGGGTCTGCAGGCCCCAGACGCCCTCTCTGAGGACAGCGTTGGGAGTAAGGGCCGCCATGAGCTTCATTTAATTCACCTGACATCTGGGGAAGCCTGGGGGTGGCTTGCAGAGCCCACACTTATGACAAAGGGGTGTTGTGGGACCACAGGCTCTTGGTTCCCTAATCGTTCACTGGAAAGTCAGTGACATGAGGCAGATTGAGTAAGAGGAGAAAAGCACACACATTTATTTACTGACCATGTGTGCCTGGGAGCCTTCAGAATGAAGATCCAACCCAATGATGAGGTACGGAAGCTTCCACACCATCCTGAGGCACAGCAAGGAAGGCTGAGGACTCTAAGCACTGCCAGAAACAGGTCATGCTGCAAAGTCAGGCTCAGTGGCAAGACAGGGAAACAGCGGGAGAAAGGAAGAGGCTTGGCTAGCACAGGCAGCCTTGTTATGGAGGTGAAGCCTCCCTTGGAGAGGATAGACGGGAAGTGTTTCTTTTCAGACTCTTAACAGTGTCAGACTCTCAATCTCTCCCAAATCTGGGAAAGGTACAGAAAGTAGAGGGGGCCTGGCTGCATTAATGGAGATTCTCTACAGGGGCCTGTGGCAGCTGTTTCAAATTATGTCAAGCAAATGTATTTTGGGGTTACATATTTTAAATTCCTCCAGCATTCTCTGCAGTTCTCTGCTGGTGCAGATGGCTCTGCCTGTGGGCTCAGGCAACAGCTCAGACCTCAGGAGTGCACGGGGCGGCTTCTTCTAGGAGGCTCAGAGGTGTTGATGAGAAATGCCAAACTCTAAAATATTTGAAGAGATGTATTCTGGGCCAAATGTGAGGACCATGACCTATGACACAGCCTCAGGAGGTCCTGAGAACATGTACCCGAGGAGGCTGGGTTGCAGCTTGGTTTTATACGTTTTAGGTAGACATAAGACATCAATTAATACATGTGAGGTGTACATTGGTTTAGTCTGAAAGGTGGGACAACTGGAAGCAGGGTTGGGGGCGGCTATAGTAGGTCATAGATGGGTTCAAAGATTTTCTGATTGGCACTTGGTTGAAAGAGTGAGGTTATTATTGAAGGACTTGGAATCAATAGAGAGGAATGTATGGGTTGAGATGAGAGGCTGTGGAGACCAAGGTTCTTATTACGTAGATAAGTCTCTCAGATGACCACCCTTAGAGGAAAAAGGTGGCAAATGTTTCCTATTCAGACCTTTAAAAGATGCTAGACTCTGGAAAAGACCTGGAAAGGGCACGGGATTCTCTACAGAATGCAAATTTCCCCCACAAGAGACAGCTGTGCAGGGCCATTCCAGAAATAAATAAACAGATTTTTGGGTAAAATACTTAGATTTCTTTCAGGGCCTGCTATCTCTCATGTGACAATTTACTAGATTCGGGTTGGAATTTGGTATCTTTTTTTTTTTTTTTTTTTTGAGACGGAGTCTCACTCTGTTGCCCAGGCTGGAGTGGGTGGCATGATCTTGGCTCACTACAAGCTCTGCCTCCTGAGTTCAAACAATTCTCCTGCCTCAGCCTCCCAAGTAGCTGGGATTACAGGCACCGGCCACCATGCCTGGCTAATTTTTTTGTATTTTTAGTAGAGATCTCCTGACCTTGTGATCTGCCTGCCTCGGCCCCCCAAAGTGCTGGGATTACAGGCGTGAGCCACCGCACCCGGCCTGGAGTTTGGTATCTTATTGCTACAAAGAGTCTCTTTGGTCAGTCTTAAAAATCTGTTTTAATGTTAACGCTGGCCAGTTGCGCCAGAAATGCCAAGGGAGGAGGGTATCATGAAGCATGTCTGAACCCCCTTCCCATCAGGGCCTGAATCACTGTTTTAGGTTTACTTTGGAATGCCTGTGGCTGAGATGGGGGGTCCATTAGTTGGTTGGGGGCCTTAGAATTTTATTTTTGGTTGACAGAGGTCAGCAGTGAACACATGGCTTCCCAGACCAAGTCACCCATGGATGAGAGGCCTGCTGCTGCTGGAGGGTGATGTTCTCACTTGGTCTGGAGGTAACACAGGCAGCCTCTCTGCATGGAAGTGTAACTAGTGTCAAAAGAAAAACCTTAGACAAATTAAATTTAACAAAGTTTAATTGAGCAAAGAACAAGTTGCGAATTGGGTCATGTCCAGAGCCAGAGTAGGCTCAGAGGCTCCAAGGCAGCCACATGGTGGAAGATTTATGGACAGAGAAAAAGGAAAATGACCACAGAAAAGGGAGTGAGGACAGAACACGCTGGGTCGGCTGCAGCTGGGACAGAACCCACCGGGTCGGCTACAGCTGGGACGGAGCCCGCCGGGTCGGCTGCGGCTGGGACGGAGCCCGCCGGGTTGGCTGCAGCTGGGCATTTGCAGACCTCAGTGGCTGGCACGAGAGTAGGGTAGTCTGTTTACACATCCACTTAGGTTTCAGTTCTCTATGTACAGAGAAACCTTTAGGCTGAACTTAAAATATGTAAGGAGGCAGCTTTAGGCTAAACTTAATTTAACACCAGGGACCTCAGTTTTAAAAATCACATACTCTCTTTTTCTTCCCTCCCTCTCCTCTCACTCCGATTCCTTCCCTCTCCGGACACTCCCCTGTAGCAATGCACACTCATCTAATTAGATTCTTGCTTAAGAAATTGCAGAGGCTGATCTCAAAACAAACCGGGCACTGAGCCCCCATTGTGGACTCTGCTGCTTAGGGGAAGTCATGACCAACGTCCACCACCACCGGGCCCAAGTCAACATGGCACCATCCAGACCTCCGTCCACCCAAGACAGCCACTGGGGTGAGACACACAGGCCCTGCACCCCGCGTGGCTCCCGTGTCACGTTTCCCAGCTCCCCGTGGCACATTTTAACATTTAAGATGGTGCTTTAGAACACCAGTTCATCTTCTTGGCTTGTTGGCTTTCCGATGAAAGCTGCTTTCCCTCCCACCACCCCTTGGCCCTCATGTCTGGCTTTTGAGTGGTGAGCCGTTGAACCTGGGTTACAGAGGGTCCAGGGCCCAGCTTGTCCCTGAGGTTCAAACCCAGCAGGCCCCAGGCGGCTGTCACCAGGGACCCAGCTATGGTCTGAATGCTTGTATCTCCCCAGACGCATCTGTGGAAATGCTAACCCCCAAGGTGATGGTGTCAGGAGGTGGGAACTCTGGGAGGTGATGAGATTATGAGGACTGAGCGCTTTTTCTGGGGTTAGTGCCCTTCCAAAAGGGACCCTAGGAAGCCCCCAATCCCTTCCACCATGCAACAATGTAGTCAGAAGGCGTCGTCCATGAACCAGGAAGTGGTCCTCATCAGATGCTGACTCTGCCAGCCTCTAGAATGGTGAAAAATAAATTTCTGTTGTTTCTAAGCCACCCATTCTGTGGTTTTGTTTCAGCGGCTCAAATGGACTGACCAACACGGATTCTAATGTGGCTTCTCGGGGTGGGGGGCCGCGTCCCATCCCTGCTCTGTTTAAACCCAGGGCTCTGCAGCCTCGGCTGCCGTGGTCCACATGGGTCCCCTCGAGGGCCACAGTCCACCCAGGTCAGCCTGGGCAGAGGCCAGAGAAGGGGGCCGAGGCGGGGGAGAGGTGGGTGAAGAAACACTGGGCGGTCCATTGGTGACAATCGGAAGACCTCGCTGATGGCAGGGGTCCCTGGATTCTTTGAACCAGGGGACACGCGGCAGACCTGGCCACTCCCCCTACATGGCAGCAAGTGCCGGGCTGGGCAGCCACCCCCAGATGCTCACTCCCTGCGGGTCCCATAGCCTGCACAGGTGCCCCACTGGTGCCACACCCCTGAGTGTGGGCACGGGGCCTGTGCCCTTCCCTCTGCTCCATGTTATCAGCACAGTGTGGATGAGTGTGGGTCCCGAAGTGCAAAATGAGAAAATCTTCCCCCAGTGCTGTAGCTCCACCCAGCCCAGCGGTAACCGGAGAGCCAGCGGCCCTGCAGCAGGACCCTAATGAGAACTGCGCCTGTGGCAGGAAGGACACCTTGGGCTGTGTGTACACGTGTAGACAGGACACGGGGACATAGACGCTGGATTCCTGCTAACATCACAGCCTCAGGCCCCAGGCAAGAGAGGGTCAGGTCAGGTCCCCAAATGAGCAATTAGAGAGGTTACTTTCAAGTGGAGAGCCAGTGGCGAAGTAACTTAATTCTGCAAAGTGTCGTGACTCAAGACTCAGGCAGGTGGAAGGAGCGGGTGGGCGGCTCACAGCGGAGTGGGGAAGGGGCAGGATCCCCACGATGTCAGCGGCCAGGTGGGGTGGAGACCGAGGGCAGGACCCCACCCCAGGGGATTTTTCCAGGGTCTCGACAGCACCACAGGCTCACCCCATCACGATTTGGAATACGTGGCCCTGGGTTTCCTCTGGGCTGGTGGGCCATTTGGTGGGGCACAGAGCCGGAAACAAGTGCACCATGGATCATGTGGCATGGCTGCAGGGAGGACAGGGCCTGGGGGGCACAGAGCCAGGGCACAGGGAGCCTGGGCCTTCTTGTGCAGGTGGGTGGGGCCATGCTGGGCAGGGGGAGCAGGCACCCCTGCCTGTACAATGGATTGGCACAAAGGACCCCTGAGTGGACTCAGCCCACGTCAGAGCCGTTTCCGGGCAGTTGGGTGCAGGCTGGATGGAACCCCACACACCACGTGTGGACTCAGCCCACGTCAGAGCCGTGTCCGGGCAGCTGGGTGCAGGCTGGATGGAACCCCACACACCCCGTGTGGCTGAAGGGTCTCTGGTTGGCTTCTCTCTGCCCCAGCCCACGTGAGGCACAGTCAGCATGAACTGTGGGGCCTCCGCTCTGCTGAGCCCCAGGGCTAGGTCTGCAGAAAGCAGAGGCTCATTTAGACCCCAAACACCCAACTACCCAAGGCACCAAGACTGGTTGGCTGCAGAGGAACTGAGACCCAGAGTTATTTTTAATGAGTGAAATAGAGGAGACGGCTTCGTCTCCGTCTTCCTGGCCCAGACACTATCTCCCTCCCATCTCCACTGTGCACACCCGAGCCGCAGGCACCATGCCCTCATTCCACAGGCACTCCAGCCTGCCCTGTGAAGGCTGCTGCTGCTGTAGCAGGTGCCTTGGAGGCTCTGCCCTGCCCACATGCCGCTCCTGTTCCAAGAAACAGCCCACAGCCCGACCCTGCAAACTAGCCAGCCTGCAGTGCGGCCCACATCTCCAGGAATCTGCTGTCCACTGGCGCCTTCCGCCACACCTCCGCTGTTCTTGAGAGCATCCTTGGGCTTCAACTTCCCCATACTGTGCTGCAGATGAAGTTAGTTTCCTTGGGAAGAGACCTGGAGCCCTCACTTTTACCCTCCCCTGGGCAAAATCCCTGAGCCTCCACTCTGGAGCTGGAACTGTGTGTAGGGACATTGCCCGCTTCCTGCCAGGTGTCACCATCCTGTCCCATCTTAGGGACCCAGGACTCTATCCAGCAGGCTACGGTGTGGGAAGGGATGCTGTTTAAACAAGAAGGCAGAGGAGCTGGCAAGCGGGCCCAAGGGGTGTCCAGAGAAATGGGAGGAAAACCAGGAAAGTTTAATGACAGAAAAGGCAAGAAAAGAGAGGGTGCCAGGAAGAGGAGGCCGGCTGCCCCCGCTCTCCCTTGCAGGTGGCTTTGTCATCTTTCCTCTGCTGGTCTGACTTCTCTGCCCCTCTGTCCATGAGGCAGAAGGTGCTCCCCACCCAGCACACAGCCCCGAGATTCCTCATATCTTGCTTACGAGGCAGGCTCAACCCGAAACAAGACTCTTGGCGCCCAGGCCAGGTGGCCAGGGAGAGGCCTGCTTGTGTCAGAGGTCATCAAAGGTCCAGTCAACTGTGCCCTGGAGGGTGTGGCCTCCTCATAGACAGGTGGGATCTGGGACCACTGCGGGCAGCCACTCTCCAGCTCCTTCAGACGAACCTGCTCCAACGGACCCAGTGTTGCCATGGGCTATAAAACGGGGGACACTCCTGTCCCACTGCAGCTCTGCAGGCTCTTGATTAATTTCTGAGGTTGACCATCAGAAGCTTCACATTCGTGGACGAAGACAGAGAGGGCCTCCACCAACAGGGCTACAATGTTGTCTTTTCATGCCTTGTTCCCTACCCGTTGGGCAGGTGAAGCCACGGCTGTTTCTTTCATGCCGCTCTTAAGGCTATGGGAACACAAGGCCCACATCTCCTGTTTTGTAGCTGAGTTCTCTAAAGCTTTCCATGATGGCCCCACCGCCCTTCTCTCATGATCAAAGGTGCCAGCGTCACCAGCCGCTTCCCTGGGATGCCCTGCATTGCTGCCAAGGAGCCAGGGATGGCTTGGGGCCGCCTTCCCACCAAAACCCCACAGCGAGGTCCCCAGAGTCTCTCATGGTTTGCTGCAGGCAGCCACATTCCTGCCTCCAAGTACTGATTTTTGAGACAACAGAGCACAGCATTAGGCTTCAGATGGATTAGCTAGGTGCGCTAGCCTTCCTCAAAAAGCTGCTGGAACAGACAGTATTGCATTCATGTTAATGGCTGAGTAGTACCCCTTGGTGTATAGACACCACGTTTTCTTTATCCATTCAGTAGCCGATGGGCAGCAACTCGGACGGAGCTGGGGGCATTATTCTAAGTGAAGGAACACAGGCGTGGAAAACCAAAACCACATGTTCTCACTTGTCAGAGGGAGCTAGGCTGACTACGCGAAGGCGTACGGAGTGATGTAATGGGCTCTAGAGGCTCAGAAGGAGGAGGGCGGGATGGGGCTAGGGATAAAAAGACCTACACGCTAGGACAATGGACACCCCTTGGGTGACGGGGGCACTAGAATCTCAGAATTCACCACCACACAATTCATGCATGTAACAAAAACCACCAAAATGCTATCGAAGTAGAAAAAAAACCTGTAAAATACAAAAAACAAACCAACTTCTTTTTGTTTGGAAAATCAACAAATTTGATTTTCCTGTTGTGTCTCTGACCACAGCCTGTCTGGCGGGAGGAGTCGGTTGCAGGCTGAGCAGGAAGGGCGGCCCCAACCTCCCCCTGGAGGCCCGTCCTGGAACTGCGTGTTTCTGTTCCCGCAGAACCACAGAAGCCACGTGTCAGAGTGAACATGGGGTGTTGGCTTGGCTCCCCCAAAGATTTTAAAAGCAGAAACTCTCCAAGCAAAATATCTGCGTTGTCTATGGTGGAACTTGCCTTAGTGATGTTGCTGCATTCGCCAACACCTGCTCCATATCAAAGACAAAATAGTGGTGAGGAGGTGTGGGGATACGAGAGACAATATCCCAAACTGGGCTTAAACATAAGTGATCACACATGGTGTGGCGCTTTCACATAAATTATGCGCGTTTCCATGGAAACAACGCAGAAATCAGACGAAGGCAGTACATGCCAAATATAAAGTATTTAATTCTAAACAGTAACAGATTTTAAACTGTTTATTCCCAGAATTGCTTCAAATGGTCACATGGCAAAAACAAATGCCATTAATGTGTTTTTGCTTCTCTCTCATTTGTCCATTGCATTGATTTCCTATGAAATGTAAATAAAACAATTAAAACAAAATTGATATCGAATGCAACTGAAGAGAAGTAAAAATCGCAAGCCCCAGTGGTATTTTTAATCAGAGCTAACCCATCATAGATGAAAATTAAGGAAGAATTTATGCTAGGACTGTAATGTTACTAACTGAGGACCTTCAATTCTTTATTCACCTATTTAAATGATCTTTGCTGGACATTTCTAAGAGTGAAATTCTTCATTTACAGTTTCTACCGCTCAATTTTGTAATAAAACAAAAATGTCAGACCATCCAGACACATGAAAGAGCCAAAATGAAGTATCCCACAAAGACTTTTGGAAGGTAGAAAAACAAACAAACAAACACAATTCATCAAAAAAACCCCAACCTACTGATGTTGAGAGAAATCACAAAAACAATCTGAGGATGGATGAATGACAACCAGCCCCTCCTAACCTCCCAACATGGTAACTATGATAAATTACCACCGGTGACAGTGACTCACCCTCCACCACTGCTGGAATCCGTGGCCTATACACAAAAAAGTCTGGAAAACAACTTGAAGGACCATGTGTGTGAGAAAGAAAAGGAATTCTGTGTGTAGGGGAAGATGCCTCTGTAAGGTCTGAACAGCCTTCCTGAAGGCATCCCTGGTGCAGTGTGACCACGGATGACCGCACCCGACCAGCCACTGCATGCAAAGTGAGATCTTATGGCTGTCATACTGAGCATGCACTGAAACCGGTGACCCAACACCATTGGGTCCCTTCCCTGAGGCACCTGTACTCCGTGTGAATACACAAGACACACAAAGGTTGAATTAGTAATCTCATACTGGTGTTGGTATGTTTATAGTTCATAAAATACCTCCGCATCCTTCATGTTTGCTCACAAGTCTGTTTAATATTAAATGAAATCACAGATTCTCAGAACTGGAAGGAACTTCAGAGGACAGCTAATCTGATTTCAACTGACTCAAGACAGGCTTAAAAATAGAAAATGAAACAGAAATTCAAAACAATGAAGACACAGGCAGTACAGGAATAGCTGTCAGTGGATTGTACAAACACTCACTTCTCTTCCTCCTAACTCCCACAGAATCCCCCAGGTAATGTCGGATCCAAAATCTACCTCTATGATTCCACTGAGATTAGGTTGAGATGAGTTAATGCCAGAGTTAAACCGGAATAGAATACCAACTGGCAAGTTTGAGAGGGTGACTGGGAAGAATCTGAGAGGGGAAACAGATGGACGTGGCCCTCCATATCCATAGGCCCCATGTCCTTGGACCTCAGATCAAAAATATTAAAAAATAACCTGGGGCCGGGCATGGTGGCTCACGCCTGTAATTCCAGTACTTTGGGAGGCCGAGGTGGGCAGATCACTTGAGGTCAGCAGTTCAAGACCAGCCTGGCCAACATGGTGAGACCTCATCTCTACTAAAAATCCAAAAATTAGCTGGACGTGGTCTTGGGCCTCTGTAATTCCAGCTACTCGGGAGGCTGAGGCAGGAGAACCTGGGAGGTGGAGGTTGCAGTGAGCCAAGATCGCACCACTGCACTCCAGCCTGGGCAACAGAGTGAGACTCTGTCTCAAAAAACAAAAAACAAACAAAACCCAATAAAAATAACAATACAACAATCAAAAGTAAATAAAAAAGCAGTGATAACAACTATTGGCACGGTATTTGTGTTATCTTGAGTATTATAAGGAATGCAGAGACAATTTAATGTATACAGGAGGATGTGCCTAGGTTATATGCAAATAACACACCATTTTATATAAGGGACTTGAGCATCTTCAGATTTTGGTATCCATGGGAGCCTCAGAACCAACCTCCCGAGGATACTGAGAGACGACTATTGTCTGAAAAAGTTGGTGAATTTGTGCAGTTGGTAAATGGGGCACAAGAACAGTTTCACAACAGTATTCTAGGGTTGCACAACGATGTCAGACGTTTCTCTGTCTGGGCATGAAACCGCCTCTGCAAAAATTAGAACTGAGGAAATTATGGCGGTGAAACAGATCTGACCTAACCGACTCCATCTTGCTTCTCACCTCCAAGCTGTCCTTGTTCATTCCTGGGCGTAGGCTGAGCTTACTTTGGAAGGAACTTAGTTTAACTTTGAAACAAAGATGATAACAGCTCTTTCCCAAAACAAAACCCCTCCTTGCCTAGGGACTTGACTTACGAATTAGAAGATTAGAAATTACGGTACAGAGTCACTGTCGTAAAACCTGAGATCAGGGCTTCAGATATTTTGCAGACCTTGCATTCTGATGCACCAGCTGACTCCACCCAGAAAAATAAACTGGCTCATTTGGTCTTGTGGCCCCTACCCAGGAACTGACTCAGTGCAAGATGACAGCTTTGACTTTCTATGATTTCATCTCTGACCCTACCAGTCAGCAGTCCCCACTTGCCAACCCTCTACCCACCAAATTATCCTTAAAAACCCCAATCTATGAATTTTTGGGGAGGTCGATTTGAGTAATAACTCCATCTCCCACATGGCGTGGCCGGCCTCATGGCAATTAAACTCTTTCTTGACTGCAGTGCCGTGGTCTTTATTTGTGCAGTGGGCAGGAACAACCCGTTGGACAATCACAGGCACTGTTAGTGGACCCAGATTTTCAGTTATGCGTCTGAATTAGACCTTGGCCCAGATTGGAAAGAAATGTGAGTACAGTTCCAAAATTACACTCTCTAGCAGAAAAGACCTCCCACACCTGTTGAGATGCTTCTGTCCTGAAACCTGGGGGAATGTCCTTAAGGAAAAGGTTGGAAAATATTAGATATGGGAAAGCTCCAGGAGAATAATGAAAAACAAAACAAAACCAAAACCCTGGGGATTTTGATGATTTTTTGTTGCTGCTGTTTTGCGCTTGTTTTTGAACCTTAAAAAAGTCTTGCTGGGAAAAGAAGGGGATGAAAAGAAGTTGCTTGGGGTTGAGGTTTTTAAACATTATTGTCGATGGTGCAGGGGCTTTCTTGTTTCTGAGGTTTGCTCTTCTGAAAATAACAAAGTAGAACTCAGCTTGGGCTCTGTGGGGTCAGGAGGGAATCACCCTCTCCAGGGTTAAAGGTGAGGGAAGTGTCAGAGGCATTTGAACCAGAATGACTCCATCTTGAACAGGGGCTGAGTAAGATCAGGCTGAGACCTACTGGGCTGCATTCCCAGCAGGTTAGGCATTCTAAGTCACAGGATGAGACAGAAGGTCGGCACAAGACACAGGTCACAAACCCAGCTGATGAAACCGATTGCAGTAAAGATGCCGGCCAAATCCCTCCAAAACCAAGATGGCAATGAGTGACCTCTGGGGTCATCCTTACTGCTCATCAGCGCCATGACGGTTTACAAATGCCATAAATAATCATGAGTCTTCTGGGAAAGGGGTGGGCAGTTTCCAGAACCGAGGGCTTCTCCTGGCTTCTAGACCATAATCCACCCTTGTTTAGCATATAGTCAGGAAAAAACTATCATTCGTGGAGCAGCCCCACTACCACTCTGCCTGTGGAGGAGCCATTCTTTTATTCCTTCACTTTATTAATAAACTTCCTTTCACCTGATGGATTCACCTTGAATTCTTTCTTGCATGAGATCCAATAACCCTCTTGGGGTCTGGATCAGGACCCCTTTCCAGTAACAGAAGGGCTGTGAGTGACAGGTCCCGGTTCCCGGTGGGGTGGCTGTGAGTGACAGGTCCCGGTTCCCGGTGGGTCAGCAAATGGTTCTCAGTGCCCACCGACAGCAATGTTTTCTCTTGAGCCTTCTAGACATTTTGATATGCAGAGAAAACCCCTCTCTCACTTTTATTTTGGATGAACTAGGATTAAACACTACAATTTTTTAAAAATCAAAGAAAATTCTGAAGGTGGGGTTTATTCCTTCTTCTCTCAGACTTTTAAATTTTTTTGTTCTTTGTGTTAAGACTCTCCCAAGTGCAGGGAGCAGAGGTCCTCAAAATTCTGATCCCAGAGGCAGCTCTGGATTTCCGCGAGGCTCTGTCGGAGCTGAGTTGATGTTTAGATCTAAGCTGCTTCCTCCACCAGAAGCAATTAATCTGCAGTTCGGGCTGACGGCGATGCACAGCCCTGTTTGCGGTTTCCGTTGCTTGCCATCCACCGACACCTACTCTGCAGCTCGTGTTTAAAATTTAATTTTTCTTCCCTGGCAACAGGATATTTGGCTGAGACAGAATGTCATAGTGAATGGTGTAGTAGGAATTCTTAAACGCAGCTGAGGTTCTCTGAATCTCACTGGGATTTGTTTTTCTTTCCTTCTGAAAAGTTGCACAGTGAGCTGTGTTGGGCCCCCGCAGAGCTGGCCAGTGCTGAGTGGAGAGGCACGGTGGGACGGCGGGAGGGCACAGGGCTTTGTGACGGGCTCAGCAGTGTAAGAGCTCCAGGCAGGCGGGGGTGTGGGTTGGAGACCCCGGGCTTTAGTCCTGTCTGCAGGCTTCCCTGGCCGTCAGGAGGGTGGGCTCGGGGAACTGGAGCATGGGAGCAGGGTCTTTCCTGCAGCAGGAAGAGGCTGTAACCACTTGCTTGTTTGCCTGACTGAAAGTGAGACCCTGCGTTTAATGAGCCTGAGCTCCCAGATCTTCCCTGGAGTGCTGTGGAGGAAAGAATCCAGGCTAGGAAGCATGGCCCCAAAATTTCTGCTTCCTGGTATACATGCCCTGTGAAATCCCCTTCTGTTGAGTGTGGGAGGACTTATGAATAGGATGAAATTTCACTCTTGTGATTAGGTTATGGTTTTTTTGGCAAAGAAGAAATTTTTCAGATGTAATTATAGTTGCTAATCAGTTAATTTTGAGTTGATCAAAATAGAGATTATCCTGTGTGTTCTTGGTTTAATCAGATGAGCTCCTTGGAAGTGGTCCAACTCACTCCTGGAACTGAGCCTCCAGGCTGTGGGCAAATTCAGGCCCTTGAAGAGGCCACAAGTAGGTGTCTCAGCTAACAGGCCCAATGATGGCTGTTATAAAAGGAAAATAAAGGTCTAGACCTTCCCTGAGTCGGAGATTCACAGCCACAGTCTCTCCCCATTGCTGGGTATGAAGAAGGAAGCTGCTGTGAGCTCTACAGCTGCAAGGAAGTGAATTCTGCCAACATCCTGGGAGGCTTGTATATGGGTCTTACAGCTGAGCCTTCAGATGAGAACAAGGCCAGACAGCACCTTGGTTTCAGCCTTGTGAGACATGAACAGAGGACAGGGTTGGCTGGGCCAGGACTCAGACCTGACTGAAAATGTGTTGTTTTATGCTGCTAAGTTTGTGATGACTTGGACACAACAGAGACCCTTAACATAGGCCCCAAGGCTGTGTAGAAACACAGGAGTACCTGACCTGGGCCCCAGGGCCGTGTAGGAACACTGGAGTACCTGACCCAGGCCCCGAGGCTGTGTGGAAACACTGGAGTACCTGACCTGGGCCCCAGGGCCGTGTAGGAACACTGGAGTACCTGACCCAGGCCCTGAGGCTGTGTGGAAACACTGGAGTACCTGACCTGGGCCCCAAGACCGTGTGGAAATGCTGGAGTACCTGACTGATATGGTTTGGCTGCGTCCTCACCCACATCTCACCCTGAGTCGTAATAATTCCCACATGTCAAGGGCGGGGCCAGGTGGAGACAATTGAATCATGAGGGTGGTTTCTCCCATACTGTTCTCATTCTAGTGAATAAGTCTCGTGAGATCTCTTGGTTTTATAAAGGGCAGTTCCCCTACACAAGCTCTCTTGCCTGCCGCCATGTAAGATACGACTTTGCTCTTCCTTTGCCTTCCCCATGATCGTGAGGCCTCCCCAGCCACGTGGAACTGTGAGTCCATTAAACCTCTTTCCTTTATAAACTAGCCAGTCTCAGGTATGTCTTTATTAGCAGTGTGAGAACAGACTAATGCAGTAAATTGGTACCAGTAGAGTGGGGGTGCTGCTGTAAAGATTCCCAAAAATGTGGAGGTGACTTTGGAACTGGATGACAGGTGGAGGTTGGAACAATTTGGAGGGCTCAGAAGAGGACAGGAAGATGTGCAAAAGTTTGGAACTTCCTAGAGACTTGTTGAATGGCTTTGACCAAAATGCTGATAGTGATATGGACACTGAAGTCCAGGCTGAGGTGGTCTCAGAAGGAGATGAGGAATTTGTCGGGAACTGGAGTAAAGGTCACTCTTGCTGTGCTTTAACAAAGAGACTGGCGGCTTTTTGCCCCGCCCTAGAGATCTGTGGAACTTTGAAGTTGAGGGAGATGACTTAGGGTATCCAGGAAAAGAAAATTCTAAGCAGCGAAGCATTCGAGAGGAGGCAGAGCATAAAAGTTGGAAAATGTGAAGCCTGACGATGTGATAGAAAAGGAAACCTTATTTTCTGGAAAGAAATTGAAGCTGCAGAAATTTGCTTAAGTGAGAAGGAGTCGAATGTTAATCACCAAAACAACGGGAAAATGTTTCCAGGGCATGTCAGAGAATTTCACGGCAGCCCTGCGTATCACTGGTCCGGAGGCCTGGGAAGGAAAAATGATTTTGTGGGTGGGGCTCAGGGCCCCCCTGCTGTGCGCAGCCTCAGGACATGGTGCCCAGCATCCCAGCCACTCCAGCCATGGCTAAAACGGGCCAAGGTACAGCTCAGGCCATGGCTTGAGAGAGTGGAAGCCACAGGCCTTGGCAGCTTCCATGTGGTGTTGAGCCTGTGGGTGCATAGAAGTCAAGAACTGAGGTTTGGGAACCTCCGTCTAGATTTCAGAGGGTGTATGGGAATATCTGGATGTCTAGGCAGAATTTTGTGCAGGGGTGAGGCCTTCATGGAGAAACTCCGCTAGGGCAGTGTGGAAGGGCAATGTGGGCTTGGAGGCCCCACACAGAGTCCCCACTGGGCACTGCCTAGTGGAGCTGTGAGAAGAGGGCCACTGTCCTCCAGACCCCAGAGTGGTAGATCCACTGACACCTCGCACTGTGAGCCAGACACTCAATGCCAGCCCGTGGAAGCAGCCAGGAGGGGGGCTGCTGTACTCTGCAAAGCCACAGGGGCGGAGCTGCCCAAGGCCGTGGGAACCCCACCTCTTGCATCAGCGTGACCTGGATGTTAGACATGGAGTCAAAGGAGATCATGTTGGAGCTTTAAGACTTGACTTGCATGGGGCTTGTAGCCCCTTTGTTTTGGCCCATTTCTTCCATTTGGAATGGCTGTATTTACCCAATGCCTGTACCCCATTGTACCTAGGAAGTAACTAATTTGCTTTTGATTTTACAGGCTCATAGGTGGAAGGGACTTGTCTTGTCTCAGATGAGACTCTGGACTGTGGACTTTTGAGTTAATGCTGAAATGAGTTAAGACTTTGGGGGACTGTTGGGAAGGCATGATTTGTTTTGAAATGTAAGGACATGAGATTTGGGAGGGGCTGGGGCTGACTGATATGGTTTGGCTTGTCCCCACCCAAATCTCACCTTGAATTGTAATAATCCCCATGTGTCAAGGGCGGGGCCAGGTGGAGATCATTGAATCATGGCCGCAGTTTCTCCCGTGCTGTTCTCATGGTAGTGAATAAGTCTCATGAGATCTGATGGCTTTATAAAGGGCAGTTCCCCTGCACACACTGTCTTCCCTGCCACCATGTAAGACACGACTTTGCTCTTCCTTGCCTTCTGCCATGATTGTGAGGCCTCCCCAGCCATGTGGAACTGGGAGTCCATTAAACCTCTTTCCTTTACGAATTACCCAGTCTTGGGTATGTCTTTATTAGCAGCATGAAAACCGACTAATACACTGACCTAGGCCCCGAGGCCCTGTGGAAACTCTGGAGTACCTGACCTAGGCTACGCTGCAGTACTTTTATGACACATGAATGACCCCATCTCCCACGACCACCACAAGCCCTGGGGGTGCCCGTGGGGTCCTCCCTTCATTGCAGCCCTGCCACACCCCTGACGATGCCCACGGTGTGTTTTCTGTGGGGCAGCTGTGAGAATGGGGGTGCTGCCGTTGACAGGGCCCTGACTTAAGGGCAAGGAAGGGGTGGGGGAGCAGCACTGTGGCAGCACCAACCCCACAGGCAGGACGGATGCGGTGGGCATCAGGGGGCTACACATCACCCAACGGTGTTGTCTCCCACCCCTACTGGCACGTGGACCTCCCCGGACAGACACCTCATCTGCTCTGCTCGCCGCTACCTTCCTGGCACACAGCAGGAGCTCAAAATGCAACATTGAATGAGTGAATAATTGTAACCCAAACGGGAGCAAACACGCAACAGCTTCACATGTATCTATTTTCCTTGATCAGAAGTACTTCATAACGACCCGCTTACTTCAAGTAAGCTTAGTGGGATGAAGTGTGACTCATCTGAAATGATATAATTTACTACATTTAGCATCAACTGCAATTACGGATATTGCTCTGAGCCTTGGAGCCTGAAGTCTGCAGGTGGGGTAACCGGGAGGCTCCTGCTTCTGATAATTAGGAAAATGGGCATTTTATTTCCTGCTGACAATGCCTAGTGCATGGATCCAGGGAAAGACTGAATCTGGCTCCAGTCTGCCTTTGGATCTCAGGCCAAAGGAAGGGTGAAGGTGAGGACAGGAGATGCCCTGCGAGGATTCTCTCTGCTCATTCCGCAGTGACAAGAACGGCCAGGACCTCTCCACTTATTCCACAGTGAACACCGCGGCCGGAACCTCTGTGCGCATTCCGCAGTGAACAGCGCGGCGAGGACCTCTCTGCTCCAGGCGGCATTGCAGGGCTGGGCGCCTGCCCCTACGGAGCTTAGTGTCTCTCTGGGGTGAAAGACCCGTAATACAGCCCCTGCAGTACAATGTGATGGATGGCATGATGGACACGGGGTGGGGGGCGCCTGACCATCCTGGGGGTGGAGCCCAGTGCAGGCTCAAAGAGGTGACATCAGGGGAGGCCTCAGGGACACAGAGGAGTCAGCCCTACAGAGGGAAGGAGGGAAGGACACTCTGAGCAGGGCAACAGCAGAGGCGCTTTCGGAGAGAGCAGGGCATGTGTTGAGTAGACACCAGGGGCTCTGAGGCGGAGAGGGCGGTGACCCAGTGTGCACACCAGAAGGGCCCTTGGGATGCCGTGTGTGTGTATGTGTGTGCACAGGTGTGTGTGTGCATGCGTGTGTGTGTGCACACAGAGGTGGGCAATGCTACAGGCAAGGAGATGTGTCAGAACCTTACTGCTCCATGGGCGTCTCTGGACCAGTGCCACTGCCACACCAGGGTTGTTAGAAATGCAGGACCCAGAAGTGCCAGATCAGAACCCAGCTCGAGCTCCCTGTGATTCATGGCACACGGATGTTGCAAAAACACAGGGTGGAGGCTGCGGCAGTGACCTAGATTAGAGGCGGTGCTGGCTTACACCAGGGGTTGCTCCAGGGATGCAGAGAAGGCAAGTGACAGAGTGAGAAATGCGGGCAGGGGGCCTGCAGGGCTCGGTGTCAGAAGGAGAGAAGAGTTTCCTTTTATTGCGCACAGGAGTTGATGAATTCGCTCCTGGAAATGTTGGATCTGACATGCCTGCGGGGAAGCCCTTCAGACAGGACTGGAACTACTCTGTAGGGAGATGAAGCGATCTGGGTGGGAGACTTTAAAGGCTGATGGGAAAGATGCAGGGAGGGGTGGCTGAGATTCAGTAGGAAGGGCCCCATCCCAGGAGGGGAGTGGAGGGCTGGGGCACAGGTGCCTGAGGAGGACTGGTGGCCCCAGATGCAGATGTGGTGACGGGCAGGGAGGAGGTGAGGAGGGTGGAGCTGAGGTGAGGAGGGCGGAGTTGAGGTGAGGAGGGCAGAGTTGAGGTGAGGAGGGCGGAGCTGAGGTGAGGAGGGCGGAGTTGAGGTGAGGAGGGCGGAGCTGAGGTGAGGAGGGTGGAGCTCTGCCTGCTGGGCTCCCTTCTCTCCTTGGAATGGGGGCCAGGTCACCTGCAGGGCTGAGGTCAGAGGCTGGGGTAGGAGGCCTGAAGCTGTGGGGCAGCTGGGAGGTGATTGGGCTTTCAGTGTTCCAGGGAGGCTCTGGGGGAGGCCCTGCCATGCCTGGAACCAAGACAGGAGGCCGATGGGGTCTGAAAGGCGCCTCCAGCAGAAGCTGCCGGCTCTGAGGGGGCCTTCTCCAGCCCGTGCCGGGAGGTGGCATTGCTTAGAGGCTGTCCAACATACAGTTCATTGACTGGGTCTTGTTCGCTCTGTCCTCTGATCCTGAGGCCAGAGACAATCTGTCTCCCCGTCCCCAGAGCTAGTGGTGCCTTGTCTGTGTCGTTTAAGTGCTACCTGGTGTCAGAGATCCTGGGATGGAGCCATCTATCTGTGCTTGGAGCTGGCAGGCCAGACTCCATTTCCAGCACCTGGCAGGTTCCTAGAACATATTTTGGGGTGAACTCTGCTAAGCTCTTGCTGAATTTTTCACCCAGAAGTTGGGAGCATGGAAAACAGTTCTGCTCGGCAATGTTTTCTTACTGTATACTGGAGGGATCCTTGCTGGTCCTACTTCCAGAATCAAGGGCAATTCTACCTGGACCTATTTAGGACCCAGGTTCTCTTCAGACACCCAACATTACTACAGAAAGTTCCACATTCCTGAGCAAGATTCCCAATATAATTCCTGGGCGATTAGGGTGACTGGCAGAGAGGCCCATGGTGTGTGCCTTCCAAAGAGATTCCCTGTTCCTTCCGGCAGCGAGTCCATGATAAGGTCTGTACATAAAAGCTCACAAAACCTAGGGGTCCTTCATGGCAGAAGCTGCCGTGGAAGTCAGATGGACGTTCATTCCTCTGTTGGTGAGCACAGTGCTCTGGGTGGACAGAAGAGTAACAGCCAAGCTCGCTGATGGAGAATCCCCAGTGAGGCCGAGCTTGGCCTTGCCCTTCCTGGCCCCTCCACATAGGGTCATCGAACATACCTCACGCAGAGCAGGGGCTGGCTCAGAGACGGGCTAATTGCCCATGCCTCACGCAGAGCAGGGACTGGCTCAGAGATGGGTTTTACTGTCCTGCACGGCCTCAACCTGTGCATTGGCTTTTTGTGTCGTACATTTGAATTAGTGGTGAACACTCCCAACTAGAAAATCCCACATAAGAATCAGAATTTTTGAGCTTCTCTTGGGAACAGTACCGCTTGGTGTGCAGGGTTTACTCTCCCCTGATGACGGCAGCTGGGCTGAACCCTGGCTGCCCCCATGCCCCTCAAGTGCTCGTCAGCATCACTGTCACCATGGAAACCACATCCTCGTGTTCACTTCTGCCTCCTCCCTGCGTTCCAGGTTCTGGGCGTGGGAGCATAGATATGTTGGTTCCAGCTTGACTGGTCAGTACCTGTGCCCTGCCAGTTCTCAGATATTTTGATCATCACCTTTGCTTGTTGGTGTTTGAGTTTGTCCCTCTGTGTTAAAATAGCCAGGACTGTTTGAACTGCTTTTGAGACTGCGGGATGTGGGCAAAGGGCAATGTCTCTCCTGTGCACAAAGGATGGGGAAAAGTCTGGCCTGTAACGTGACCTACGTTAGGACTCCCCAAGATCAGCCATGACCCATCCTCTTCAGAAAGGGGAACGTGCTTAAAAGGCAGAAACACCAGTATCCGTGGGCTCATTCCCATAGCACTCAGAATGGTGATGTTTGTGATTTCCCAGGCTCCTACTGGACTCATGTACAGACCATGTGGACATCCAAGAAGGGTCTGCGAGTCTATGCCAATGGGACCCTGAGCACCTGTGACATGAGAAGGCAAGTGTCTCATGCCTATGGGGACCCTGATGTCAATCTTGTGATGGGATCTCAGCAGGACTGGACCCAGCATTATGATAACGGAGCTTTGGATGAGTTCAACATCCAGGGATGGCCCTACCTCTGGATGAGGTCACCATGTACTTCATAGCTGCTGCTGGTCAGTGAGGGGTGAAGGGCTGGGGCAGGTCTGGTGGCTACATTCCTGGGGGTACCCTAGTATCTGCACCCCTTTCCCAGCATTTCCCATCTCCCCACTCTCCTGTTACAGCCATCGGGACTGCAGGCAAGAGCTGTGTCCTAATGAACTTCATTAAACAGTCATTTTACTGGAACACCTGTTCCCTAATGGAGAAACCGACAACCTACCTGAGACACGCCGGGATGAATATTCTCCTGGGGATGGCGGGGTCTCAGGGTGTATGTGACGGATAATGATAGAAGGCTCTAGGTGGCAAACATTCTAGGTTTATTACCTCATTTCATCCACAAACGTTTACCTTGAGCCTCCTGAATTCCAGGCTCTCTGATGAGTCCTTGGAGAGCCCCAAGGATGCCTCTTCCTGTTCTGTACCAATGGCTGTTTCTAGCAGTGGCCTTGGGTAGGTGGCCCTGGGTTCAAATCCTTGTTCTGCCAGGAAGAGCGATGGGACTTGGGAAGTCAGTTGTCCTTTCTCCAGGTTTCAGTTCCCCCAACGGCAGTAAGGAGGCTGTCCGACCCCGCCGTGGGGTCTGTGAAAATACAATGGGATGTCACACACCAGGCCCCAGCAGGGCAGCCCAGGACTCAGTGCAGCTGTGGTTCTGTTAATTTGGCCTCTTTGCTTCAACAGTTGTTTTAGTTTCACCAGAAATAAATGCATATATTTTTTTAAAAACCCTGATACTGCTTATTAATTTCCACATGCACTAACCTGCCAAAAAGCCTGCTGTTCTGACATCCAGAACAACAGGGGAAGTTCAGGCAGGAGGTGGAAAGAGGCCCGGGTTCCAGACCTGGTTCGCCCTTGCTCAGGTTCTCACCTTGAGTCCCTCTCTTGACCCTGAGTCATGACTCTTGATTTCTAGTGACAGAAAACCCATCTGAAAAATGACTTAGGTAAAACAGGAGGAGGTTGCTTTTGGCATGGCTTCATCCGAGGGCTCAGATGACATCACCAGAGAATTCTCCTTCCTTCCTGTAAGCAGTATTATATTGAGGCGGGGAGGCAGTGATCTCCTCTGTGGAGCTGAGATGACTGCTAGGTGCTCCTGGCTTCCATCCTCACTTCTCAGCAGCCTCAGCAGGACGTAGAGAGCTTCTCCAGTCGCTGCGAAGAAGGGCTGGGCCTGAGCTTTACTGGCAAAAGTGGTGTGTTACCTGGTGTGATGCCTATGTGACATAGCTGAATTTCCACCCTGCCCTAACTCTGCTGATCTTTAAGAAACGGGACACCTTCGATAAAAATTTCCCTCTGTAACCAGACCAGCTGAGACTGGTTAGAACCAGGATAGCCAGCCAAACAGCTTCAAAAGACCTCAGGCTTCATTATCATCTCATTTCCACGCTCAATGATACACCCACCAGTCCCATGACAGTTGACGATCGCCATGGTAGTGACCAGAAGAAACCATAAAAGCACAAAAAGAAGGCGGCACTCTTGTTCTGGGAAGTTCCCTGCCCATTTTTGGAAAAGACTTGAATATTCCTCTTCTCGCTTTTTTTTTTTTTTTTTTTTGAGACGGAGTCTCTCTCTGTTGCCCAGGCTGGAGTACAGTGGCGCCATCTCTGCTCACTGCAAGCTCTGCCTACCGGGTTCACGCTATTCTCCTGCATCAGCCTCCCGTGTAGCTGGGACTACAGGTGCCTGCCGCCACGCCTGGCTGTTTTTTTTTATTTTTAGTAGAGATGGGGTTTCACCATGTTAGCCAGGATGGTCTTGATCTCCTGACCTCGTGATCTGCCCGCCGCAGCCTCCCAAAGTGCTGGGATTACAGGCGTGAGCCACCGCACCCGGCCCCTCGCAATTTTTTTTTTTTTTTTTGAGACGGAGTCTCACTCTGTCACCCAGGCTGGAGTGCAATTGCGTGGTCTTGGCTCACTGAAACCTCTGCCTCGCAGGTTCAAGTGGTTCTCCTGCCTTGGCCTCCTGAGTAGCTGGGACTATAGGCATGCGCCACCACACCTGGCTAATTTTTTTTGTATTTTTAGTAGAGATGGGGTTTCACTATGTTGGCCAGGCTGGTCACAAACTCCTGACCTTGTGATCCACCCACGTCGGCCTCCCAAAGTGCTGGGATTACAGGCGTGAGCCACCGCACCCGGCCCCTCGCAATTTTTTTTTTTTTTTTTGAGACGGAGTCTCACTCTGTCACCCAGGCTGGAGTGCAATTGCGTGGTCTTGGCTCACTGAAACCTCTGCCTCGCAGGTTCAAGTGGTTCTCCTGCCTTGGCCTCCTGAGTAGCTGGGACTATAGGCATGCGCCACCACACCTGGCTAATTTTTTTTGTATTTTTAGTAGAGATGGGGTTTCACTATGTTGGCCAGGCTGGTCACAAACTCCTGACCTTGTGATCCACCCACGTCGGCCTCCCAAAGTGCTGGGATTACAGGTGTGAGCCACCACGCCCGGCCCTCCTCTGGCTTTTAATGTCCAACCCCTTCATTAGAGAAACCCTATATTTTAACCCCCCACCCCTCACATGTCAAGAAGTTGACTTGTGAGTGATGCTTCCGTTTGTCAATTTCATGGCCATTGAATAACACCTGCACTACTTGACACTTTTGGTTTCATGTATTGGGTTAGTGACACCCAACACTAACAGGGAAAGACCCCATCTTTTGGGGGTCCAGCTTTGTCAGTAACTGTCCATGTGTCTTCCATGAGCCAGTCACCTTGACTGGGGAAGAAGAGATGGGATGAAATGTAGACGCTGGTTGGTGTGAGCCGGGTTCAAAATCCACCTCTGACACGGTCCTGCAGTAAGGCTCATCCCAAAGATGTGGAGGAAAGGGGACTCCTCAGAGAGGGACCAGAGATACTGGTCTCAGAAGAGGGAACAGCCACTGGCAGGGAAAAGCAGCATGTGTGCCTTGTAGCCTTTGACATTCTCATCTTCCAGCTTCCACTGAGAAAAACAGATTTCATTTCCTTTCACAGAAGTGACATAAGAACAAAATATAGTGTCCTTAAAAGAAAAATGGATATCAATCTACTGTATTTTATTGCCTAGGATTTGAAGAATTGTCACTTTGTGACCAAGATGTCACTTGTATTTGTTATGGAAAGCCTCAAATCCTTTCCTGATAGTTTACTGTTTTAATAACATTGGGAAGAGGTGCCATTGTTTCTGGTTTGTGTAACTGTCACAGCAAACCCTTGACATTAGGACCTCTCAGCTCAAGGACACAGAGCCTCCGTCTCCTCTTCGCAATGCAGCATTTCAGGAAGGTTCTGCTACTCAATCATGCATGCAGTTCAGTCCCTGCCTTGGTGAAGGTGACATTCGATTGTTGGGGGACTCAGGAGAGAGTTCTATTAACATTTACATCCCCTGGGGAGCATATTCCCTGCACCTTCCCTAGACCAGTCTAGATGCATTCCAATCCCAAATGTCATCTGCCTATTGTGATGATCAAATGGGTCCTTAAGTGTAAAAGGCATAGATCAGTGTCTGCCACATAAGTGAGCACTTTTTAAGGGTTTTCTCTTCTGTTTTCCTTGCTGAAGACGGATCCAAAGAAACACATGATGACGTGTGTTCAATAGGCCCCAGAGTGGTGGGAGGCACCCAGAAACCTCCCTGTGTGAGGCCAGGGAAGCTAGTTAGACTGCTCAGGTTTCATTCACTCATTTAGACATAGAACATGCTAGGTTCTGGGGGTTCAGGATGACTAAGCACCACTTCCTGCTTTGAAGAGGCTCAAGAGGCTCAGGGTTGAGGGCAAAGGCAGGCCACTGAGAAGCACCGCGAAGGGCCGTGCATGGAGCTGCGGGAGTCCAGTGGTTCTGCAGTCAGAAAGCCTTGGGTTTAACTCCCAGCTCCATCACTCCCAGGGCTGTATCCTTGGCCAAGTTATTTATCTCTGCAAACCGGTTTTAACACCTTGACAAGGGGATCGTTAGCTCATAAGTCATAAGGTCTTAGATGCTTTTGGCTGCAAGTAACAGGACAATATGCTTAAAATAGGCTTAGGTCATTTGCTCACTCTGCCTGACAAGAAGCTCAGAGGCAGGTGACTCCAGGGAGGCCTGAATCCAGTCCTCGGTGGGGCAGGGTCTCGCTTGCCTACCAGGCTCTGCCTCCCGCCTGGGGCCCATTTGCAGGTCTGTCTGGACTTATGGTTTTAGCACTGGAAGTACCACCTCGGGGGATTTGTCTTAGTCCCAGGTAAAGCCACACTGTTTCCACCCGGCTGCAGGCCCCCAGCACCTGCCCCAACCTACAACGGCCAGCAGAAGAAAAAGGGGTTGGCTGGGCCTCCCTCCTTATCAGGGGATATCATTCTCATGGTTCCCCTTGCAGATAGCTCCTTGCATCTCATTGGTCTTAGCTGAGTCTTATGACCATCCCTGGGCCAATCACTAACCAAGGGGAGTGGGATTGGCTGGATGGCTCAGCCAATCATAAAGAAGCTCCTCTCCTGTCTGTCCACTTGGGAGCTCCCACCGGAAGGGTGGGGCAGTGTTGGCTGGGAAAGAATCTTCCGGAAGTCTGTGTCCTAGAAGTTATCCCCGCACAAGCCACAGGCGCCTGAGCTGTGCGTGGCGGGAGAGGCAGGGCTGGCAGAGCCCGGGAGGGAGGCAGGCACAGAGCCACTGGGAGTGGGGCGGGGACGGAGCCGGGCTGGCAGGACTTGGGGCCAAGGCGGGACAGGCGAGTGTGACAGCCACAGCCAAGGCCAGGGCGGTGTCCCTGCACCCTGTGTGGGTTTGGGGGTGTCTGGCCGGGGCGGGGTGTGTGCGAAGTGGGTGGAGACAGAAATCATGCTGGGGATGTCCACGCGGGAGCGTAGGAGTCAGTGCAGAAAACGCGTCTCCCTGGTGTCGGCAGCTCCGGCCCCCGGGCTGCTGCGGGAGCAAGTAGACCGGCTCCTTAGCGGCTCAGCGCAGCGGACGCCGAGTCCCAGCGGGGGCGTCCTCCTGCAGTGACTCAGGGGCCCTGGCTCTGTCTGTCCTCGGATGCTCCCTTCCCAACACTTGGCTTCCAAGGTTGGACTGGAGCTGGGACCTGATTGAACCCCTCGGTCCTCAGTGCCCAAGCGTAGAAGCCGTGGAGCCGCATGGCCCTGGTGACTGGGCTGCGTGACCCCTCTGTGGCCCCCTCCTGACCTGAGAAAGTGGTGCAAACATCCACCGCGTCATCTGGTCGTTAGGAGCACAGAGCCTGACCCACGATAGACACCACGGGCATAATAAATGCCGCTTTCTGTTTGCTTCAGCAGGATGTGGACAAAACCTTTAAATTTGTTTTTATGCATTCAATGCGTCCAGCTGTTACGACTCTGAAGCAAGTGTGATTTTCAGTCTTTTGTAGTTGTTATTCAGGGCAGTCCTGTTGTGCTGGGCTTGACTGAAGCGGCCAACACGGTCATGTGTGTGTCTCCAGGCAGCAACCTGCAGTGAGCCCAAGATCATGGTCCAGGGCTCCTCCTCCCGGCAGGGAGGAACTGTCCTCAGCATCCTCTGAGCCCCAGGTGTGCAGGGGGCAGGGTCAGGTAGAGAGAGGGGAGGAAGTTAGCTGAGGAACAATGGCTATTGGTCAGATTTCCCTACCCCAACCCTGACACAAGCGCCTCGCACATCATTGGCTGAGATCAGTCTCTCCATTTTCCTAATCGATTCTTCATGCAAAGCCACATTTTGGAGAAAAGGAATGGTTAGAATCATGGCAGGTATGTTTGGTCGTGCTGTGCACTCAGGATCCGGTACGCATTTCCTGGGGACTTGGGAGCCAAGTTCATGTTGTGTGACTATCAGGGTAGGAATTAAGAAGCAGCAGCTCCTTCGGGTATCTCTGGAATCAGTGGGGCAGAATCGGGTTCCTAGTGTCAGCTGGGGTCAGCTTGGTCTAAACCTGCTTTTCCAAGGTGTTGTGAGACAATCTGGTACTTCATGGCCCTTCTGTTCTAAGTGTTCATATAGCAAGTGTCAGCACCCACATCTCCTGCAGGAGCCCATCGGGGAACATAGCTGGCTTGCTCCACCTGAATTGGTTTTGGTGGCAGCTCATCTTCCCAGGAGAGGCCAGTCTTCCCTTTCTCATCCCCTCCTCCAGGGTCCTCCCTGTGACCCACCCACTGTGACACCTCAGTGCTCACTTGCCAGCCCTCAGGAACCAGTTGATGCCTGCAGTTGTGACCGCTGGTTGTCCTGTCTCTTCCTGCAGGAGTGGCTCTGGGCTAGCGTTTCTCAAAGTGTATCCTCAGGATACTGTCATCAGAAGCACCTGGGAAAATAGTGCAGAGTCCAGCCCCCCTCCAGACCTACAGAAGGGGAATGTGAGGGCCTGGCAATGTGCATTTTAAGCATGTGACTCTGCCCTGGGGGTGGGGGGGGGGAAGGACACCTTCCTGAATCCAGACAACTCATTAGCTTGGGTAACTCCAAAGGATGATTTTACAATATTTAATCATTAGGAATGTTTGCTAAACAGCCTGGCTGTGGGCTGGCTGAGGGACTTTGTCTGTTCAGGGGCTCTGGACTCTACTACTGCCCTGGCTAAGTCCAGTCCCCCAGTGAACCAGTGGCCAAGGGGCTCCAGTGCTCTCTCTGTGGGGTGTCCCTGTGTGCTTCCTGGAAGCCTGCTCCTTTGCTTAGATTCTGTTCCCCATTGCTTTGACCCTTTCTGTTCCTTGACAGCTGCCTGTGCCTTCCTGCTGGGCCTCAACTAGAGTGTCTGTTATTTGTGGTCAAGGATTATATTTCAGCTCTCTTGGTATCCCCTACAGGTGCCAGAATAGAGGCTTAAGTGGAGTTGGTATTCAATAACAGCACTGAAAGTTTCACCCAAAAGAGATCACTCTTTCAATAATTTGAACTTTAATATTAAATTCCAAACCCAGTTTGTAGCTGATTGCCCTCCTTTGCCATTTTGTAATAATTTCCCTTTTATTTCCAAGGATTGCTGAGGCAGTGAATTGAAGAGGCTGCGTAGTGCTTGCAACCAGTTACCATATTTCCCTGGAGGAATCACCAGCAACCGACTCTCCCAGGACTTACGAGGTGCTTCCCTTATCACCAGCCGTCTCAGCACAAGTAGGTGAGTTTCTCTTTGAGCTGGTTTTCCATGTGATCTTATAAAGAATCTTTGATGGTGGTGCTGCTGGCCTGAACTGGCATTCTTCTCCCCCAGGAGGTCTTTCGTCTTCTTGATCTGTGGCAAAGAAGCCCCACTATTGGTGATAAGGGCTGGTCTCAGGGTATTAGCATTCAGTAAAAAGCATCTGAAGCCAGATTGAAGCTTTCATATGGTTTGTGCAGCAACTGGGAATGTTTCTCTGAATAGAGAGCTTGTGTTTAGAGGAGAGAGGCTTTTTTGGGAAGTGGGGGTAAACAGTTTAATTCTCAGTTATATTGTGTAATCACTGATGGTGAGTGAAGCAATGCCTTTTCCCGAGAAACGCGTGTGAGAGCTTAGGTTTGCTCTGCCGCATCATAACTCTAATTCATTTCTACATTGAATTTTTATTTTTCAGTGGATGAGAATGACCAAGTTACTGGTCATGTGGATGAGCACAACCTACTCACTTTAGAAGAGTTTCCTTCTGGGCCGGATGGGCAGGGTGGCTGACGCCTGTAATCCCAGCACTTTGGGAGGTTGAGGCAGGAGGATTGCTTGAGTCCAGGAGTTCAAAACCAGCCTGGGCAGCATAGTGAGACCCCATCTATACTAAAGATAAAATTAGCCAACTGTGGTGGTGCTCACCTGTAATCCAAGCTATTTGGGAGGCTGAGGCAGGAGGGTCACTCGAGCCCAGGAGTTCGAGGCTGCAGTGAGCTGTGGTGACACCACCACACTCTAGCCTGGGTGACAGAGCGAGACCCTGTCTCTAAAAAAATAAATAAATAAAAATTAAAAGTTTCTTCCTGCCTGATTTAGTGAGTCATTTACTCACAGAAATTGTGTGATGATTGTTGCAGTTATTGAAAACACAACTCGTGGAGCCAAACACGTTCACGAAATGCTTGTTGACTCTCAGGCTGTGACCTTCCCGAGATATTTGTTAAAGAGAATCCCAACATATGCCATAGATAGAAGTGATATCACAGAAGTATGCTTGCAAGGGTCATTCCATTCCATTCCATTCCATTCCACTCCACTCCACTCCACCCCACCCTACCCCACCCCCACTCTATTCCATTCCATTCCATTCCACTCCACTCCACCCCACCCCACCCCACTCTATTCCATTCCATTCCATTCCATTCCATTCCATTCCATTCCATTCCATTCCATTCCATTCCACTCCACCCCACCCCACTCTATTCCATTCCATTCCATTCCATTCCACTCCACTCCACTCCACCCCACCCCACTCTATTCCATTCCATTCCATTCCATTCCATTCCATTCCATTCCATTCCATTCCATTCCATTCCACTCCACCCCACCCCACTCTATTCCATTCCATTCCATTCCACTCCACTCCACTCCACCCCACCCCACTCTATTCCATTCCATTCCATTCCACCCCACTCCACCCCACCCTACTCTATTCCATTCCATTCCATTCCAACCCACCCCACCCCACCCCACTCCACTCCACTCCACTCCACTGTATTCATTTTGCCAGTTTGGGCTAATATAAGAAAAATACCATAGGCTGGATGACTTAAACACCAAGCACTTATTTTTCACAGTTCTGGAGGCTGGAAAGTCCAAGATGAAGGCTTTGGTATCTGGGGAGGGCCCACCCTTCCTGGGTCATAGACAGTGCCGTCTCGCTGTGTCCTCCCGAGGAGGAAGGGATGAGGAGCTCTGTGATGCTTCTTTCATGAGGTTGCTGATCCCATCATGAGGGCTCAGTGCTCATGGTCTAATTGTCATGAGATCTTTGGGATGTCACTTTTCTGGCCGGAAACCTGTGGCTTGTAGTGCCTTTGCCTGAGTTGCTTTTGGACACGCTGGGCTTGTTCCACCCACTCAGCCTGGCAGACGGCACTCGGCTCACATTCCCAGCCTGGATCCCGTGCCTCCAAGGGAGACTTCGAGTCAGGCATGGAGCAGGGAGGGGTGTGTGAGCAAGGGTGGGGTCTGGCCACTGTGCAGTCAGACACATCGGCTGCTGCTGCGAGGCGGGCAGCTCTAGGTGCCGGCATGGGGGCTGGCTCTCTGTGAAGCTGCGGCTGGACCAGGCACACTACAAGCAGCTTCCCTGGCTGGCACTGGGGAATGTGGTGGTGACTGGAAGCTTGGAGACACCAAGAACCACAGGGCCCCAAAGAGGGAGTCATAGCCCTGGCTTGGGGAGCTCCTAGGTCTGGGGTCCCTGAGGGCTGCAGCTATTCCTTTCTTCTTTGCCTACAATGTGGCAAGCAGGGGGCATGTCTTAGCTCTGTGTGTGTTATGGCTCTTTTAGTCTCACCTTTCAGTGGGTCCTGAGTTCTTGTTCTGTGACCAGGAAGAATGAGGTACGCAGACAAGTGGAGGGTGAGCGAGATGAAGAGGAGCTTTAATGAGCAGTAGAACAGCTCAGAAGAGACACACAGGGGGCAGCTCCTTTCCACAGCCACGGTGTCCCGACGAGTGCTCAGCTGTCAGCAGAGAGGGTGGATCTTCTCTGTGAGGCAGGTCATCCCAGTGAGTGTTCAGCTATCAGCAGGGAGGTAGCTCCTCTCTGCAGCTGGTCGTCCTTTTGTCTGCTCTGTTCTGGCTGAGCCTGGGGCTTTTATGGGCCTCAGAGAGAAGGAAGTGCCAGTTGATCCATGGGCAGCCATGGGCTGGCCTGGAAAAGGCACCACAAGTTCCCTCTCGGGTCTGTGGGACTGGCAGCTTGGCCCCCAGCCTTCAGGCCTTACCAGGGGCCCCTTCCTCCCAGGAGTCTTCTGCCTCCTGTCACTGTCCATGGTACCCAGGCTGCTCACGTCAAGAGGCACGTGCAGGCCAGGGCCAAGCTGCCCTCAGCCCCCAACTTGGCTTCCCCACTGCTCTTGCCAGCACCCAAAGTCTGGAGGTGCCCAGGGCAGCAAGGGGTTGGTGTGTCAGTGCTACCCCAAGTGTGTGCACACCTGGCTGGGCTGTGATAGTGCCCAGCTCAGCCTTGACCTAGATCTGAGATTAGAGCAGGTACTGACAGGAGAAATCAAGCAGCTGGAGCAGGCACCCTTCATCCCACAGCGGGGCAGGGGGCCTACCTGGGCCTCCTGTAAGTGCAGAAATGCCTGGGTCTGTGCTGGTGGCAGGACAGCTGCAGCTGCACCCAGGGGCTCCCGTTTCTCCCCAGCTCCACTGGCTCTGTGGAGCGTGCAGCCCCCAGTGTGCTCCCCTGAGGCCTGGGGTGGTGGCTCCAGGTTCTCTCTGGTTCAGGGCAGGAGCTCTTCCCATGGCCCCAGTGCTCAGGGGTGACCAGGGGCTCCCCCTTGCGTGACTTGTGGTCCTGCCCGGGATGGGGCATCTTCAGGAGCGGATCATGGGCCCCAGGCCCATCCTTCGGGAGCATCAGGCTCAGTGGCCCTGCCGATGTAGGTTGGACCCCTGGGAAACAGCACTGGGTGGCCCACACAGAGCCGCCTCCCAAGGTGCAGGAATCCAGCACGTTTTGCAGGGTGAGCATTGTGGCCATGCTGCTGGCTGGATCCCTGAAGTGGATGCCGCTCCCACTTCCCACTCCTGGCCCCTAAAGTGCAGCCCCAGCTCCACGCCCTGGGCCCAGCCCCAGCGTGCTCTGTGTGCAACCATGGCACCACTCCGAGCCCAGCTCTGCCTTGGGGACCCTCTCTGCTGGCCCCTTAGTGCCTGACTGTGTGGCTCGCCTGCAGGAGGGTGACTCGGCCTGGTCCCCATCACAGTGGTCCCCAGGGTAGTAGGATCCAGGGGGGCTCCTGGGGTGGACTCTGGGGACTGTAGGCCTCCTCCCCATAGCAGGGTGTGCGACAGTAGTGATTCGGGGCCAGGGTCTGGAGCAGTGGAGGCGCTGGGCCTGGGGGCAGGTCCTGCCTGGCTGTGCAAGGGTGGGAATGGTGCTCAGGGGACACAGGACACAGGGGTCCCACCACCGCTACTGTTGCTCCCGCAGGCGCTTCTACTCTGGACAGTCACTGCTGCCATCATAATAACCTCCAAAGGCCCCACCTCCTAAAACTATCACCTTGGGGGTTAGGTTTCAACATACGAAATTTGGGAGGACACAGTTCCTAACACCACTCCTGGGTCTTTTTCTGAATCAGTTGGTACGATCATATCCTCATTCTTTTTAATTTTATTATTATTATACTTTAAGTTTTAGGGTACATGTGCACAAGGTGCAGGTTTGTTACATATGTATACATGTGCCATGTTGGTGTGCTGCACCCATTAACTCGTCATTTAGCATTAGGTACATCTCGTAATGCTATCCCTCCCCCTCCCCCATCCCACAACAGTCCCTGGTGTGTGATGTGTATCCTCATTCTTTAACCTAGTAGTGGTACCTGAAAAGGGCAGACCCAAAGAGAGGGCTGATCCAGACGCGAAGAGAGGGCTGATCCAGACCCGAAGAGAGGGCTGATCAGACGTGAAGAGAGGGCTGATCCAGACGCGAAGAGAGGGCTGATCAGACGTGAAGAGAGGGCTGATCCAGACGTGAAGAGAGGGCTGATCCAGACGTGAAGAGAGGGCTGATCCAGACCCGAAGAGAGGGCTGATCCAGACCCGAAGAGAGGGCTATCCAGACGCGAAGAGAGGGCTGATCCAGACCCGAAGAGAGGGCTGATCCAGACGTGAAGAGAGGGCTGATGAGACGCGAAGAGAGGGCTGATCAGACGCGAAGAGAGGGCTGATCCAGACGCGAAGAGAGGGCTGATGAGACGCGAAGAGAGGGCTCCTGGATCTTGTGCAGGAAGGAATTCCAGGCCAGTGAAAGCAGTGAAAGGAGCAGGCTTATTGGAAACTCCTTCATTATAGAGGAGGGCGCCCTCAGAAAGCAAGCTGAGGAACACACCGTCTTTAAGTTTTTCTTATATGGGGTCTTGTCTTTGTAAAGACTAAGCTGGGGCTACGTGACGGTGAGCAGACCGTGCGACCAATTTTATTATTCTATTGATTTAAAGAAAACTACCCTTGACATTTTAGTGTGTGAGTACATCGAGGCATAACTTATTATCTTGAAAGCGTATGTTGTTATGGGCACCGGGACGTCTGGACTCGTCACTGTCAGAGGACTGTGTCCTTGTAGGTGTTTTTAGGTGGTTTCCTCAACTGCAAGCATCTGAGGACCATGGATTGTGACTGGCGAGGAACTGCCCTGTTAGTCTCCAGATGGAGCCGAACTGAAAACGGTGTCGCTTCTCTAACGGTGCGACGGATTACACTGGTTGATTTTCAGATGTGGAGCCACTCTTACATCCCTTAAATACTCCCCTCCTCCCGTCACGGTGTCCCGGTATTGATGAGTTCTACTTGCTAATACTTTGTCTCTACATTCCTGAAGGTTATTGCCCTTTGTTTTATTTTTGTATTGTCTTTGTCTATTACCTAGTGTTGGGTCATACTAGCTAGCCCCCTGAAGTGATTTGGAAAGTGTTTCTTTACCTTGTCTTTCCTGGAAACATTGTTTTAAATTGGTGTTAATTTCTATTTAAACCTTTGGTAGGAGACTCCAGTGGAATAATCTCCCCTGTAAATTTCTTTTTCAGCAATTTTTAATTACAAATTCAATTTCTTTAATGGGTATGGAAATAATCAAATTATCTAGTTCATATTGGGTTGAATTGTGATAATTTGTGCTTTTGAAGAAACTGGCCCATTTCATGTAGTTGTAAAATTTGTGTAGAGAGTTGTTAATAAGCATCCTTTGATTATGCTTTTGATGTCTGCAGAGTCCGTAGAGATATTCCCTGTTTTATTCCTGATAGTGGCAAATTGTTTCTTCACTGTTTTTTTCAGTCTTTCTAGAATTTGTCAGATTCACTGATCTTTTCACAGAACCAATTTTTTTCTCACAAATTAAATACATTCATATCAAGTTATGTCAAAACATTATGTTACAAACCACAAATGTATACAATTTTTATTTGTTAATTGTATCTCAATAGCGCTAGGGGGAAAGAACCAACTTTCTGTTTCATTGATTTTCTCTATTGTCTTTCTGTTTACAATTTCATTGGTGTTTTGCTTTCTACTTCTTCTTTCCTTTTGTCTTGGGCTTATTTTGATCTTTTTCTGCTTCATTTCAGTAAGAGATAAGAAGGCAGCTGAGGTACACGCTTTGCCTCGTGGGTGTGAACCAAGTAGCGGGCACAGAGAGCCGCCACTGAGGGACGTCGGATGAAGTGATGGGATTCGTCACCTGTCATCATTGCATCAGCTCTTTACGTAGCCATGTGTGGGCTATACCCAGCAGTGCACTCTGTATTCTGTGCAGTTAATTACATTTAACGTACCATGGTAAATTAAGTTTCAGCCACGTGGTTGGGGGAAAAGAGTTAATTAACTCAACCCTGCCAACTGACACTGGTGTACATCAGAATCATGCAAAACAAACAGTGCCTCTTTCTAACATTGTGCTGTAATGGTCGGAGATTCACATGCTGCTGTAAGACACAGTACAGAGACAGGCAGAGTGCAGAGAGAGACGCAGCGCAGAGACAGACGCAGTGCAGAGACAGACGCAGCGCAGAGACAGTACAGAGACAGACAGTGCAGAGACAGACACAGTGCAGAGACAGACAGTACAGAGACGGACACAGTGCAGAGACGGACACAGCACAGAGACGGACACAGCGCAGAGACAGGCACAGCACAGAGACAGGCACAGCGCAGAGAAAGGCACAGTGCAGAGACAGGCACAGTGCACAGACAGACACAGTGCAGAGACAGACAGACACAGTACAGAGACAGACACAGTGCAGAGACAGACACGGTACAGAGACAGACACGGTACAGAGACAGACACGGTGCAGACACAGAGAGTACAGAGACAGACACGGTGCAGAGACAGACACAGTACAGAGACAGACACAGTGCAGAGACAGACACAGTGCAGAGACAGGCAGAGCGCAGAGACAGACACAGTACAGAGACAGACAGTGCAGAGACAGACACAGTGCAGAGACAGGCAGAGCGCAGAGACAGGCACAGTACAGAGACAGACACAGTGCAGAGACAGGCACAGTGCAGAGACAGACACAGTACAGAGACAGACACAGTGCAGAGACAGACACAGTACAGAGACAGGCACAGTGCAGAGACAGACACAGTGCAGAGACAGGCACAGTGCAGAGACAGACACAGTGCAGAGACAGACACAGTGCAGAGACAGGCACAGTACAGAGACAGACACAGTGCAGAGACAGACACAGTGCAGAGACAGGCAGAGCGCAGAGACAGGCACAGTGCAGAGACAGACAGTGCAGAGACAGACACAGTGCAGAGACAGGCAGAGTGCAGAGACAGGCACAGTGCAGAGACAGACACAGTGCAGAGACAGGCACAGTGCAGAGACAGACACAGTACAGAGACAGACACAGTGCAGAGACAGACATAGTACAGAGACAGGCACAGTACAGAGACAGACACAGTGCAGAGACAGGCAGAGCGCAGAGACAGGCAGAGCGCAGAGACAGACAGTGCAGAGACAGACACAGTGCAGAGACAGACACAGTGCAGAGACAGGCACAGTACAGAGACAGGCACAGTACAGAGACAGACACAGTGCAGAGACAGGCACAGTACAGAGACAGACACAGTGCAGAGACAGACACAGTGCAGAGACAGGCACAGTACAGAGACAGACACAGTGCAGAGACAGACAGTGCAGAGACAGGCACAGTGCAGAGACAGACACAGTGCAGAGACAGATAGTACAGAGACAGACACAGTGCAGAGACAGACTCAGTACAGAGACAGACACAGTGCAGAGACAGACACAGTGCAGAGACAGACAGTACAGAGACAGACACAGTGCAGAGACAGACACAGTGCAGAGACAGGCAGAGCGCAGAGACAGGCAGAGCACAGAGACAGACACAGTGCAGAGACAGACACAGTGCAGAGACAGGCAGAGCGCAGAGACAGACACAGTGCAGAGACAGACACAGTGCAGAGACAGGCACAGTGCAGAGACAGACACAGTAGAGAGACAGACACAGTGCAGAGACAGACACAGTACACAGACAGACACAGTAGAGAGACAGACACAGTGCAGAGACAGACACAGTGCAGAGACAGGCACAGTGCAGAGACAGACACAGTACACAGACAGGCAGAGTGCAGAGGGAGACACAGTGCAGAGACAGACACTGCAGAGACAGACACTGCAGAGACAGACACAGTAGAGAGACAGACACAGTGCAGAGACAGACACAGTACAGAGACAGGCAGAGCGCAGAGACAGACACAGTGCAGAGACAGACACAGTGCAGAGACAGGCACAGTACAGAGACAGACACAGTGCAGAGACAGACACTGCAGAGACAGACACAGTAGAGAGACAGACACAGTGCAGAGACAGACACAGTGCAGAGACAGACACAGTGCAGAGACAGGCAGAGCGCAGAGACAGACACAGTGCAGAGACAGACACAGTGCAGAGACAGGCACAGTACAGAGACAGACACAGTGCAGAGACAGACACTGCAGAGACAGACACAGTAGAGAGACAGACACAGTGCAGAGACAGACACTGCAGAGACAGACACAGTAGAGAGACAGACACAGTGCAGAGACAGACACAGTGCAGAGACAGACACAGTGCAGAGACAGGCACAGTGCAGAGACCGACACAGTGCAGAGACAGACACAGTACAGAGAGAGACACAGTACACAGACAGGCAGAGCGCAGAGGGAGACACAGTGCAGAGACAGACACAGTACAGAGACAGGCAGAGCACAGAGACAGACACAGTGCAGAGACAGACACTGCAGAGACAGACACAGTAGAGAGACAGACACAGTGCAGAGACAGACAGTACAGAGACAGACACAGTGCAGAGACAGGCAGAGCACAGAGACAGACACAGTACAGAGATAGACAGGCACAGTTCAGAGACAGGCACAGTGCAGAGACAGACATAGTACAGAGACAGGCACAGTACAGAGACAGACACAGTACAGAGACAGACAGACATAGTACAGAGACAGACAGACACAGTGCAGAGACAGACACAGTGCAGAGACAGGCAGAGCGCAGAGACAGACACCGTGCAGAGAGACAGACACAGTGCAGAGACAGACACAGTACAGAGACAGGCAGAGCGCAGAGACAGACACAGTGCAGAGACAGACACAGTGCAGAGACAGGCACAGTACAGAGACAGACACAGTGCAGAGACAGACACTGCAGAGACAGACACAGTAGAGAGACAGACACAGTGCAGAGACAGACACAGTACAGAGACAGGCAGAGCGCAGAGACAGACACAGTGCAGAGACAGACACAGTGCAGAGACAGGCACAGTACAGAGACAGACACAGTGCAGAGACAGACACTGCAGAGACAGACACAGTAGAGAGACAGACACAGTGCAGAGACAGACACAGTACAGAGACAGGCAGAGCGCAGAGACAGACACAGTGCAGAGACAGACACAGTGCAGAGACAGGCACAGTACAGAGACAGACACAGTGCAGAGACAGACACAGTAGAGAGACAGACACAGTGCAGAGACAGACACAGTGCAGAGACAGACACAGTGCAGAGACAGGCAGAGCGCAGAGACAGACACAGTGCAGAGACAGACACAGTGCAGAGACAGACACAGTACAGAGAGAGACACAGTACACAGACAGGCAGAGCGCAGAGGGAGACACAGTGCAGAGACAGACACAGTACAGAGACAGGCAGAGCACAGAGACAGACACAGTGCAGAGACAGACACTGCAGAGACAGACACAGTAGAGAGACAGACACAGTGCAGAGACAGACAGTACAGAGACAGACACAGTGCAGAGACAGGCAGAGCACAGAGACAGACACAGTACAGAGATAGACAGGCACAGTTCAGAGACAGGCACAGTGCAGAGACAGACAGACACAGTACAGAGACAGGCACAGTGCAGAGACAGACATAGTACAGAGACAGGCACAGTACAGAGACAGACACAGTACAGAGACAGGCACAGTGCAGAGACAGACACAGTGCAGAGACAGGCAGAGCACAGAGACAGACACAGTACAGAGATAGACAGGCACAGTTCAGAGACAGGCACAGTACAGAGACAGACAGACACAGTACGGAGACAGGCACAGCCCAGAGACAGACAGACACAGTACAGAGATAGACAGGCACAGTTCAGAGAAGCACAGTACAGAGACAGACAGACACAGTACAGAGACAGACACAGTACAGAGAGACAGACACAGTGCAGAGACAGGCACAATGCAGAGACAGACACAGTGCAGAGAAAGCCCACGCACACTGCCCAGTTTCCCCTCAGATAATACTTTGCCAAAGTGCTGTGCCGTCATAGCTGCTGACAGCATTCATTCATGTTTTTGTGTAAGTGTTTGTGTGTGTGTGAGGTTTTTTTTTTTTTTTTTCTGGGACAGATGCCTAAGAGGGCAGTTGGTGGACCATATGATTGTTGTATGTTTAGTTTTATAAGAAACTGGCAACCTGTTTTCCAGGGCGGCTGCAGCATTTCAGCCTCCTGTCAACAGCATGAGTGGTCCAGCCCCTCCATATTCTCAGCAGCATTTGGGATTGTCGCTGTGTGTTATTTTCGCCTTTCTGATGGGTGCAGGGTGGGGCCTCACGGTGGTTTTAATGTGCGTGTTCCCGATGGCTGGTGATGCTGAATACCTTTCCGTGGGCTGCTTTGACATCTGCTTGTTGTCTTCCGTGAGACGTCTGCTCGTGTCTGTTTTCTCACTGGAGTGTTTGTACTTCTAACAATTGAGATTTGAGAGATTGCAGTACACATTCTGGATGCCAGTCCTCTGGTAGCATATGTGGTTTGTAAAACTTCTATTCCAGTCTGTGGCTTATCTTTTCCTCCACTCCAAGTGGGTGTTTCCAGAGCAAAAGTCTTTCATTGATGAAGTCCCTTAATAACTTCTAATAACCTGTGATTTTACCTCCAGAATTTCCCTGGAATGCACCCACTTTCCCCATCTCCACAGACGTGCCTTCCAGGGCACTGCTCACATGCTGGTCGGTAGCATCCCCTCCATTCCCCCTGGGGGTGTTGGTGGAACTCTCGAGAAGCTCTCGCCAGAGACCTCCTCACCAGCCCAGCCCTCCCGTGCTGGCTCCTCACCTTCTGTGCCGTCCCCATGGGGGCGAGGTCTCCTACGGATCTGGAAAGGGACATGGACATGTGCTGTTGGTGGGCTGTAGAATGTGGGGGCTATTGAATCTTGTGCCTCATTTGGAATTTTCAGTGTATTATTGTCATCGTTTTATTTTGAGGGATGGCAGAACAGTGCCGTGTTACTTCAGAGGAGCTTGTTCTCCCCTTGCTTTTGAGTGATGTACAAGTTCTTACGTATTAGAAAAGAGTAATTCTATTATTGTTTTCTTTCTTTTAACAGTAGTGGCAGGCACAGTGTGCATTTTGGGTTACAAGCCATTGCTTGTTGGACTTCTCTGCCAGCCTCTTTACTCAATTCTCACCGTCCCGGAGCAGAGAACTTCATTAGAGAAGTAGTGAGACTTTTTCAGTTTCAAAAATTTAGGTCAGTGCCAGATCTTCAGCATCCTTTGTTTGAAGGCAACAGAAACAGGCTCAGCTGATTGGTGTCAGTTATTGGAAGCTCATGGAATTGAAGAAAAAAAGCGTGGAAAGTCAAATAACGTGGAGTCTTCCGTTTCAACTGAAGGAGGGCCAGGGACAAAGCAGGTGATCTTAGATGCCCCAGGGACCCAGAAGCCAGGCTCAAAGGCTCAGTCCCCACCCTCCTGAACACAGGCACTCTCAATCAGCTGGCTGAGTTCCTTGTTTGAAGACACTGGAAGACGGATTCACTGCAGAGGCCCCTGACAGTGACTGATTGTCCACTGAGAGGCAGTTGTATAAGATCAATGTCATTCACAAGAGAAGCAAGGAGAAACACACAGCTTTCTAGACACTGGACCGTTTAGTTGTTACAAGCATACGTACATTTTATAAAACAGTAATTATATTGTAGATATGGTTTTTATCCTCATAGTTATTTTTGTACAATTATGAAATGCAAGGTTATTGCTGAGAGATTCATCCATGCTACAGCCATTGCAAATTACATCTTATCACTAAGCAGGTGCCCCACCTCCTTATTTTTTCTTATTAGTAAAAACATATTTGTGATTTAAATCTCTGTCATTTGACGTGGTGCAATGTGAGCCAGGCCCTTTCTGGCCCTCTTAGGTTAGCTCCTAGAGAGGTGTGGGGCAGCAGGGCTCACCCTTGTAGCCTCACACAGGGCACTGGGTCTTACTCACTGAATGGGCCATACTCACTGCACCGGGTCTTACTGCATCGGGTCACACTCACTGCACCGGGTCTTACTGCACCGGGTCACACTCACTGCACCTGGTCTGACTACACCGGGTCACACTCACTGCACCGGGTCTTACTACGCTGGGTCACACTCACTGCACCGGGTCTTACTGCACCGGGTCACACTCACTGCACCTGGTCTGACTACACCGGGTCACACTCACTGCACCGGGTCTTACTACGCCGGGTCACACTCACTGCACCGGGTCTTACTGCACCGGGTCACACTCACTGCACCGGGTCTTACTGCACCGGGTCACACTCACTGCACCTGGTCTGACTACACCGGGTCACACTCACTGCACCGGGTCTTACTACGCCGGGTCACACTCACTGCACCGGGTCTTACTGCACCGGGTCACACTCACTGCACCTGGTCTGACTACACCGGGTCACACTCACTGCACCGGGTCTTACTACACCGGGTCACACTCACTGCACCGGGTCTTACTACGCCAGGTCACACTCACTGCACCGGGTCTGACTACACCGGGTCACACTCACTGCACCTGGTCTTATACTGGGTCACACTCACTGCACCTGGTCTGACTACACCGGGTCACACTCACTGCACTGGGTCTTACTACACCGGGTCACACTCACTGCACTGGGTCTTACTACACCAGGTCATAGTCAGTGTACCGGGTCTTACTACGCTGGGTCACACTCACTGCACTGGGTCTTACTACACCAGGTCATAGTCAGTGTACCGGGTCTTACTACGCCAGGTCACACTCACTGCACCGGGTCTTACTACAAAGGTTCATACTCACTGCACTGGGTGTTACTACACCAGGTCATACTTACTGCACTGGGTCTTACTACACTGGGTCAGACTCACTGCACCGGGTGTTACTACACTGGGTCATACTGCACTGGGTCTTACTACACCAGGTCATAGTCACTGCACCCGTTCTTACTACACCGGGTCGTACTCACTGCACTGGGTCTTACCGCATCGGGTCATACTCACTGCAGTGGGTCTTACTACACCAGGTCTTACTCAACTGCAGCAGTTCTGACTCACTGCACCGGGTCTAATTCACTGCACTGGCTCTCACTCACTGCAGCAGGTCTCACTCACTGCACTCGGTCTAATTCACTGCACCGGCTCTCACTCACTGCACTGGGTCTTACTGCATCGGGTCACACTCACTGCAGCGGGTCTTACTACACCAGGTCTTATTCAACTGCAGCAGGTCTTACTGCACCGGCTCTCACTCACTGCAGCAGGTCTCACTCACTGCAGCAGGTCTCACTCACTGCACCGGGTCTAATTCACTGCACTGGCTCTCACTCACTGCAGTGGGTCTTACTCACTGCATCTTTTGGGGATTTGACCCCTTTCCTCTGTGCATTTTGCTCCGACTGTTGAGACACGGGGACGGTCACCAGGCCTGTGTGGAGGGGTTAAAATGACCCAGCAGCGTGGAGTCCTTGGTCTTCCCCTGTCCTCTTAGATCAGCGTCTTCACAGCAACAGGGGGGCCTGTGTGCGCTGAGCCCAGGGCAGGTGGCAGGTGGCACGGGGAAGCCGTGTGTTAGAATTCCTCTTTGCCTCCCAGCCCTGGTTCTTTTATAACCCACGCTGTCTTTTTATTGCTGTTGTTTACTCTCTTCCCCTGCATCTCAGAGATGGCGTTCCTGCCCTGCCATCTGTCTGACCATTCATTTATCCCCTGGTGTCTGTGGGCACTGAGCCTCTCTGCTTGGATTATGTCTGTGAACACCGCAGTCACTGTGCCCTGCCTGCGTAGGCTGAAACCCTCTGGGTGTTGGGGTCAGTGTGGACAATGCCTGCTCCAGGTTGGGGACAGCATGGGAGGTGTGAGCACGGGGCTCTGCCCAAAGCCCAGAGCCTGGAGAAGCGGGACTGAGTCTGTGGCCACTTGAGGCTGCTGCTGCCCCAGGTGTGACCCAGGGAGGTGCTCCTCTGCCCCAGGTCTGTCCTGTCCCTCTGAAAAGTGGGGTGGCCCACTTGTCCAAGTGTTCAGATCACTCATTGGCTGCTGATGCTCTGAGTCTGTGCAGGAACCACTGTCTGTCCCAGCTGGACAGTGCTCCCCCCACCCTGTGGCCTTTGGTGACCCACTACATGACTGAAGTCCCCAACTCTAAATGGGAAGAGCCTTGGTGTGCTCAGGTCCCTCAGGTCTGCGTGCGAGCAGGGCCAGCCTGCGCTGGGCCTTCTGAGCAGTGCCCGGATCCACCCACCCCACCTTGTTTGCCGTCAACTCCAGATACTGTAGGCTTCACTTCATTTTTTTTTACATTATTCAATTTGGAATATGATTTGGGCAGTTACATTTAAACAGACAGTTTCCATTGAAAATCCTCTGTGTAAACAAGTCAGGCAGTGTTGGTAACAGCTGTGGGTTTCAGATTTCCTGGAGTTCTCTTAATATTTTTCAGCTAATAGGTGACTGTTCGGAGAAGGAATGGACATTCTTTTTTTGAGGACAATGGATTGAGGCTCAGATTTACAAGAACTCAAACTTGTTTTGAGACAGGATCCTTCTAAGCTCTTATATTCCTCTCACTTTTCGGATGAAATGGTTTATGTTGAGATCTCCTCCTGGTGCTTCAGAAATCACGTCTTTTATAACCCTGCAGGGCAAATTCTGACCTGAAAACCTCCAGCTCCTGGGCTCTGCACAGGACACTCCTTTATCAGAGCAGAAAAGACAAACGACCTGGAGAGAAGGGGCTCACAGTAGCAGAGCTGAGCGGGGGTTGCTGGTAGAGAAGGGGCTCACGGTAGCAGAGCTGAGCGGGGGTTGCTGGTGCACCGCACGTTGGAAAAAGCTCTGGCCAGGAACACTGGGCTCTGTGAGCTACCCCCCCGAGACAGGGGCTTGCTTTCCGCCTCTGACAGCACCAGCCTCCTTTATGGCTGCTTATTCAGGATCCAGATGGGCTCTGATGTCTGAGGGGTGGAGCAGGGCTTCAGCTGTGAGACCCCCTGCACCGAGTCCCGCCCTGTTCAGGGCCCTGTCCTGAGGCTGGTGTGGGTGGGGACCTGCCAGCTTCCTGCCATTTCACCCTGACCTTTTGGCCATGTTGCCGTTGCTTCTCTCGTCTTCTCATCTGTTCCTGAACTTGGTCCCCAGGGCGAGCTCTTCTTCTGTAACTGGCACAGCTTCCAACTGGGGCAAGAGCTCTGTTCTCCCTGAGGGCTGTTGCTTCACATTCACGGAGGAATTACATGCAGCTTCCAGGGCTCTGCTGGAGGTCTGCAACCAGGCGCCTGCCTCCGCCAAGGCTGGCACGGGCTTCTCTTCCTTGGGATCCTGGGGAGGGTGTTGACGTCCAGTCCATTTCCTCCCTGCTTTCTCCTCTTTCTATGTGCATCAGTCAGGACAATATTGACCGCAAGTGACAGCAAATCTGACCCAAACTTCATGATACACAAAGGCGATTTCACGGGTTCTCTAACCCAGCAGGCATGGGTTGGTCAGGGCTGACGTGGCGCATCTGGAAGCCCCCTCTCAGCTCTGATCCACCGCACTGTGCCACTGTCAGAACAAGGTGGCCCCCGCCGCCCCTGGCCACCCCTTCCTCATCCCGAACGGGAGGTTCAAGATTCTGTCGTGCTTCCCCAGCCTGAGCCTCGCTGCATCTCACCTACCCTGACGGTGCCACTGCCAGAACACAGGGGCCAGAGAGGAGTGGCCCGGCTGGCTCAGACCCGGTGATGGGGAATCTGCTCAGTGGGGAGCCGGGGGGAGTGGGAGAGGAATCGCCGGGTGCAGAGATGCTGAGCAGCCAGACAGGGGCCTTCCACCATGTAGCCCCCTTCCCTGCTTTATGGGCGTGACTGATGAGATGCTTGTGGTCTCCCAAGCTCTTTCAGGGCAACAGGCAGCTCTGAAGGTGGGGCCTCTAGGAGGGAGCCCGGAGAATCCTAACAGATGCCTCGTACCAACTACCTTTCCCAGTAAACATTTACATCTGGCCATGTTTCCTTCAGACACAATTTTAACAGCATTCTTGAGGTATGGTTGATAGACACAAACCTGCATGTTTTTAACATCTGCAGTTTGATGTGTTTAGACATTTGCATACACTGATGAAGCCATCAGCATGGCCAGCGTGATAGCGTCAGAGATGTGTTCTGATGAGATGCGGTATTCGGGCAGAGTTGAAGCCTTCTCTGCTTCTGCCTCAGTTTTTCCAACCAGATGTAACTCCTACCTTGAATTTGGTGTCTGTCTTTCCTTTGCAAGTGCTTACGCTTCTGCCGTATATGAGTGTCTATATAAACCATGTAGAAAGTTGCTTTTTTGGTTTTAACTCTCAATAACAACAGCTAAAATGAATAAAGTACAGCTTCATACACTCACATGGGTAAGTCTCAAAAACAAATTTCCCCCAAAGGGGTAGCATTTAATTATATGTATTTTCTACGTTAATTGAGTAGTTTTCTTCCTGGTAGGTATTTGGCTAGTTTCAAATATTTCATTTTTATTTTTGCTGCTATAAACAAAGCTGCCATAATCCCACCGGTGTGTCTCTGTGTACACATGTGAGTTTCCCAGGTGCCCGCCTGGGCGCGTGGCTGGGGACAGGACCACGCATCAGGATGGCCGGTGTCTGCCGTGTCACTCTCCAGAGTGGCCACACCCACACCAGCAGCACGAGGAGTCAGGGTGGCTCTGCATCACAGCACCGCATCAGATTTTAAATTTCGGTGTGACATAGCATCCTGTGAAGGTTTACTTAGCATTTTCGTGGCTATAGGTGGCGTTGAGGGTCTTCTGTGTTCACAGCTCGCCCCAGGCTGGCGCTGCTCCTGCAGCCCTGGGGGGCCAACTCCCAAAGCTGCCCATAGGTCTCATGACCCTCGGGGGCCACCTCCCCAAAGGAGCCCACAGCCTGTCTGGACCAGAGTCCCCGCCAGGAGGCTTCCCTCTGGCTCTCCATTCCGGGTCCTGGAAATGTTTGTCTGATCTTGGGGCCCAGAGGGTCTTATTGGTTTGGGGGTTGCATTGAAAACGTCCCCCTTAAAGAGAAAGGGGAAACGGAGGGGAAGGAGTTCGTGTGCTCAGTGGGTGTAAGAAAAGCATCTTCCTGAGATTCAGGACCTGGGGAGTCTGGGCTCAACTCTTCCATTTATGAACTCGCATGGAACCTGGAAGGGGCAGTTCTGGACCAAAGGAAGCCAGGGATGGGACGTGCCGACTGTCACCTCCCCAGGCAGCCCTGGCCATGAGTGGGTAGCTCCTAGAATCCCGCTCCCCACCCCGGGTGGAACTGGGTGTCTTCCATGGGGAATGAGCTCTGGGAAGTGTGAGAGCCCCACACGTGTATCTTACCCTGGACAGCCCTAGAGCCAGGCTGTGATGTGGATCAACATTTCACAGCAGCTGAAACCTATCAGCCTTCTGATAGGAATGGAGACAGTACAGAAGTAAGACTATGATGCACCCTGGGAGGTGCTGATATCGCCCCCGCAGGGGCTGTGCCTCTAGTTGTAAGTGTGATTACCTGCTAATCCTCCCTCCAAGGAGACGTATTAGGGAGGCCTGTTGTGGACTTTGTGTTATTAAAGCAGTATTTTTTCCCATTTGAAGGCCATTTGAGAGAAAGACAGAAGATTGGGAGAAAGAAAAAGAGAGAGGCAGATTCATAATTTACCTATATTGATCCTAAACTCCTTTGGTCATGGGTTAGAGCCTATAAAGCAGTTTAATAAACTAGAAGGAAGGTTTTTTTTTTTTTTTTCTGGCTGTAGAAAGCTGCGTCTCCTGAGAAGTGGCCTTGGGAATGGGTACCTAGGAATGTTGGTGCTGGGGCCACTGCCCATCCCTTCACTGCTGTAAGAACGTCCTCATCGAGGCTGGTGCCCAGAACCAGCCCCCAGGAGTCCTGGTGTGGGGAGGAGTCCGCATAGGAAGGCTGGGAGGGTCTTTCCGGAGCCGCCTCGCTCAGCTGCTTTCTTTGCACATGGAGTGTGAATAGCACGTGAGAGTGCAGTGTGCAGAAGACTCTGGAGGAATTCAGACTGAATGATTATTATTTTTTATTTATTTATTTTTTGAGATGGAGTCTCACTGTCTTGCCAGGCTGGAGTGCAGTGGCGCGATCTCGCCTCACTACAACCTCCGCCCATCGGGATCCAGCAATTCTCCTGCCTCAGCCTCCCAAGTAGCTGGGACTACAGGCGCCCACCACCATGCCCAGCTAATTTTTGTATTTTTAGTAGAGACAGGGTTTCACCGCGTTGGCCAGGCTGGTCTCGATCTCCTGACCTTGTGATCTACCCACCTTGGCCTCCCAAAGTGTTGGGATTACAGGCATGAGCCACCGTACCCAGCCTAAATGATTTGTAACCCACCTGTTCTAGGGGCAAGAGGCCCTGGGAGAGAAGAGTCTAGAGAAGGCCTGAGGGTGGCGGCCAACGAAGCTTCTGAATGGTGGAGGCGAGACTCTGACCCAGGGCCGTGGGGGCCCTGGATGACACTGGCTGGAGTGACTGCCTCCTGGGCTCCCACCCAGGCTGCACTTGGGATACTTGTTTCCTAATAAAATCAAAGCATGTGCCTCAGGAAGCAAGCGGGGCATGGATGCAGCTGTGGCTCCAGGAGGAGAGGGGCCCAGCCTGACTGTCCTGGGTGGGGAACTGGTCACAGCTCAACCCTATGTGGGCTCCTGTGTGTGGACAGTCACTGCACGGCGAGGGTCAAGACGCCAGGGAGGGAGAATAACACTGGTAGAAGCTGGATTGCCCATGCTGTCCAACTGACGTATGGGATGAAATGAGGAGAGATGATCTTTGGGTAGCAGGGTGTGAGTAACTCTGAGTTGAGGAGCTCACCGTAGAGCTGGCCATGCTCGACCCACGACAGCCAGAGTCTGCAGACCTGCACTGCATCTGTTTCTCAGCCACTAACCTGTGTGAAGACTTCGTTTTGAGGCTTGTAGAAGTGGATGGCATGCATCTGAGCAGTCTAGTGGATTGAGGAATACTTTTGGATCACAGAAATCTTGGAAGGGGACTGATCTCCAAGATGGACAGGGTGGAGGGGACGGCTCAGGTGGCCACTAAGTCCAGATAGACGCGGTGCCAAGATCGAATATTAGAACAAGAGTGCGTCCGTCTCTCCCACCCCCTCCACCAGCTCCGAGCTCAGACCCCCACCCCTGCCTGGAGAACAGCAGATGTCTCCTTGTTGGCCCCTCTTCCACCTCACCCACCTGTCCCTCAGGAGGTAGACACACCAAGGAAGGGGAAGGTGGGCTGGCCTCTGGAATCCTTACACCTGTCTGCTGTGGGCGGAAGGGATATGAACCATGCCCCCCGGACAGCTGAGTGCAGTGTGCTCATCAGTGAGGTCGACCCGGGACACGCTGCTCGTCAATCAGAGCTCATGGGGTCGGCAGTTCCCACAAGCACTAGGGCAGAAATGCTGGAGTTTGGTTCTTATTCCATGGCCAACCTCATCACTCCCTGGCAAGGATCTTGAGGTTCCTCCCATCTAGGTCTATTCCCCTCTTCCTGCTAATTGCTTTTATAAAAAGCCACTGCTGCTTTCTTTGGAGGACAACTTTGGGATGTGGGATATAAAATCACTAATGATCTTGCTGCCCGCTCATTCCCTGGATGCTCAGGGCCCATCTCAACCATTCTTCTGCTTGACCCTTGGGCTGAGCTCATGGGATGTGTCTTCTGGGATCTTGGAGGCTCAGTCCGCCAATCCATGTTACCTGGATAGAGTGGGCAGAGTCTTGAAGTCCCCTCCTCCTAGGATGCCTTTTATGGAACATTTCCATCCTCTAACGGAACGTTTGCTATTGGGACCTGGACACCCCCGTGAGGCTCAACCTCATGAAAGAGCTCAGAGCTGTCCATGTCGTGATATTCTTCCTCCTCCAGCCCCAACTATTGCAGGCCTCAGACCAAATCTTGCAGGTCAGAGGTGTAATTATAAATAGACTTGAAATGTCTGGACCCATGGTGAGGAGCCCCGCCCTCTCAGTGTGGTGCCCACGGTCCCCAAAAGACCCTGGGGCTGCTTCCTCCAGTGACCTGGGGTGGAATTATGTCCTGAGGAGAGGGAGGGAGGAGGGCCCGTGCCACATCCAGCCTGGCCTCTTGAGAACTTTAGACACGAGTCCTCTTGGAATCAGTAGCAATCTGTTACCTGCTGCCCCTTCGCTTACTTACTTGGTGGTCAGCTCTGTGTGCAGAAACGGAATCCAGCTCAACAGAATAATACAGTCCTAGTGTAATGGCAGAGGTGGGAGACAGCCAGCTGCATTTCCTCCAGCTGCAATGCTGAACCTGGGCGGGAGAGTGCTTGGAGGAGGAAGGGACACAGCCCTGGGCAGGTAAGGGCAGGAAGTTGAGTTAATATGTTGAGGTGGCATCATTCACTCCACAGTCAGATGAGATAATATTATGTTAACACAACCCTACAAAGTGGGTCCTGTTGTTTCCACACGAGTAAATCAAGTTCAGAGACGTTGAGCTTCATGTCCAAGGTCACAGAGCTAATGCATTGCTGAGCTGGAACCTGCCTCCTAGGTCTGTCTGACCTGTCCTTTTCATAATTCCACAGGGGCCGCCTTCCTATGAGAAGAATATCTCTAGGAGGGTGGATGTTTGTCCCTTTTGTTTCTGGTGCATCACCAGGGTTTGGAATGCTGCTGGGACATAGCAGTGGCTCAGTAACTGAAGAATGGACAGATGGATGGATGGATGGGTGGGTGGATGGTGAGTGGGTGGGTGGATGGATGGATGCATGGGTAGATGGATGGATGAATGAATGGTTGGATGGGTGGATGGATGGATGGATGGGTGAATGGATGGGTAGATGGTGGATGAATGGATGGATGAATTGATAGATGAATGGATGGATGGATAGGGGATGGATAGATGGATGTTTGGATGAGTGGGTGGGTGGATGTATGGGTGGATGGATGAATGGATGGATGGATGGATGAATGGATGGGTGGATGGATAGATGGACAGATGGATGGGTGGGTGGATGCATGAGTGGATGAATAAATGGATGTATGGGTGTATGGATGAATGGATGGGTGGATGGATGGATGGATGGATGGACAGGTGGATGAATAGGTGGGTGGATGGACAAACGGGTGAATGGATGATGGATGGATGACCGGTAGATGGAGAAATGGATAGAAGGTAGTTATGGAGCTTGTACATGGGCTTTCAGTTCTATTTTTTCCCCCTGATTTGTGCTTTCTGAGTTGGACTTCCTGAGCCTTTGCCAGTTCTGAGTCTTTTCCAGTTCTTTATGTATATGTATCTGTTTGTGCACATCTAAAAGGGGTGAAGATTCAGATGTCTCCAGGGGCCAGGCAGGAAACAGAAATTAAGGGAAAGAGGGGCAGGTGAGCACAATAGGGAGGGTGGCAAGGACATGTGGATGACCTGCTAAAGACATTGAATCCCAAATTAAAATAAAATAACAATAAAATAAAAAATAAACTGAATGTCACTTGACTGCATGGAGTGCTCAGTGTACCCCCTTTAGGCTGCCAGTGTCTTTTATTTGCAAACTGTACTCTTGTTAGAGATGGTTTCCTGGGGACTCAGCTGGACCCTGGTTACAGGCATCAAATGCTACCTGTGCCCTGAGTGCATCTGCGGTCACACCTAGTGCATAGGCTGCCTGGTGATGACTTCATCTGTGGATGCAGGAAAAGGAAGCATGGCCTTCTGTTTGAGAATGGAGGAGATTTGCTGCACGGCCCATGGTGCATCAGTATGTATTTTATGAAATATCGTAGTGTAATGGACCTCACACTTAAAAAAGTCCATCTTCTAGTGGGGAGAGACAATAAAAACACGAGGTCCCTATAGTTTTCCATAGAATAACAATTGGTGCTACTTGAATGAATCAAGCAAATCCTAATGTTTCTTGCATTCGTCTCTTGCATTAGAAACAAAAGGAGAGAGGATTTTCTTGGAGAACCAGTTAGTCCTCAAGTGTTCAGCTGGCCCTTGTAAGCACCGTGGCCTGAGCTTTCCTCCTTCTCATCTCCAGCTGGTGTGCCGGTGGACAGGCCTGCTGGGCAGGACAGAAGGTCTGGATTGGAAGTCATCTCTGTTCCCCCAGCCTCGTCCACCCACTCCTCCACTCTCAGAAGCTCTTTCTCGACAGATTTGCCTCCGGTTCCGGAGTACTAGGTGCTGTCCTGCGATCTGCTTTATGGTTAGAAAGTGATGTCGGGGTTTTGATTTTTTTTCTGCACCAGGTGGGTGGCTCAGTAGAGGGGAGAAAGCAGCGTGACAGCGTGGCTTGGGACGTGATTGATCAGAGAGAAAGCACACCTGCTGGTGTTGCTCGTGCCTGATTTGATTTCTGAACCAGAGTGAACCTTGTCTGAAAAACAGTCACGGAGAAGGCTCAGGTCCTGCAGTAACAGACTTTTCCTTTGTCATCCACAGTTGAGCCCTCACGGGGGCCACAGGGGCAGCTTTGGGAAGGGCCGTTCAGATGTGCTCCATGTGGACTCCCGGCTCCGTGTGCTGCAGCCGCTGATTGAGGCTGGTGTGCGGTGCCAGAGCCCAGCTCCCTCTGGAGCCAGAACTGGAGTCACCCCTGTCCCGTGGGAGGAGGCATCAGAGACAGACCCTTGCCTGTCACTGTCTGTGTTTCCTGATGTGGATCTGTCCTGGGTTGGGCAGCTTCCCTTGTACGGATCTCAGGTGAGAGGCACCCAGGCTCTGGGTCCCTTTTGAGACCAGGCTGGAGTCTGTGATGGGAGAGAGGGGGTCAGAGTGCAGGGAAGGCCCCTGCCAGAGGCCAGGTGTGTTTAAAGATGTGATTCCTCGGCTGTTAGTGTGTGTGAGAGAGCGAGTGTGTGTTTGTTTTTATCAGTAAATAAGGGCAAGGAACTGAGGGTTTGTGGGGACATCCACTTACAGCCGTATTTGGAAACAAGCCCTCATGTTTCCAAATACAGCTGTAAGTGGATGTCCCCACAAACCCTCAGTTCCTGCTCCAGGTGATTTGATAACACAGGTGGAAACCTTCCCTTGCTGGGACACTCACCCACCTCACCTGAGAAGTTCCAGGGACAACCAGTAAGAAAGTCACAAAAACCATGGTAAAATAAACAGAATGAAAATGGTACACTAAAAAAAATACCCATTTAATACAAAAGAAGGCAGTAATGGAGAAAGAGAGGAACGAGAAAGATAATTGCTTCTAAATAAAATGTTTAAGAAAGAAGGCAGACACAAAGAGTGAATAGAACATATATCATGGTGTCCATTTGTGTAAGAAAGTAGTGTATCTTTCAACAAACATTTACTGACCATCTACATTTTGTTTATTCTTTATCCACGAATCTTGCTCAATAGTGATTGAAGGTCTGCTATCTACCAGACACCCTCCTGGGGGTGGGGCTACAGGTCCCATTTCCATGGCAGCCCTCAGCCCACAGGGAGAGCAGGGGGAATGCGTGTAACAAACCACCGTCCCACCCACGACGCCGCGGCCCCTGCAGTCGGGAGTCGTCTGATGCTGCTAGGACAGGCGCTGATGGGCCTGCCATTCAGGATCCCTCTCCCCATGCAAAGAGCAGCGGCTCGGCAGCTTGACCCTTTAATTAGAGAACCAGGAACAGCAGTCAGCTGGGGGCCAGGTCAGCGTGCACAGAAAACAGCCAGCAGGGATGCCTGGGGCCCAGCCTCCCCACCTCCCTCGCAGAGGCTCATGGACCTCCCTGGGTGTCATGACCTTTGTGTGCCTGGCTGCCCCTTTGCTGTTCCCAAGGTTCTTCCCCTCTGAGCCCCTTGTGGCTGAGGAGCAAGCTCATTTTCCCCGGCTGTTTGTGTCATGTCTAAAGATCAATAACTCCATTTGCCAACTCTCCCATATGACAAAGCTCTCCGGACTATATCCACGGCTCGGCCACCTCAGTACACCCAGTGCCGAGCTTCTGCACCTCTAGCTGCATGAGGATGACACACAGCACCAGGACCCGGCGCTGCTTTCAGTCTCCCATGGAGATGGAGCCCCGGACAGGCGCTGGGGCCAGTGGCTTGAGTGGCTGCACACCTCAGCCTGCTCTGTTCTGGAAACTCGTGTTGCTGGGTTTGATGATGCACGCTTGTGTCTCTTGGGTGGGGCTTGAACGGTCAACTCTGGGCATTTGGGTTTTTTCTCTGCCTCTGGCCCAACATTAGACAGACCATAATCTCAGATATTCTACCAGAAATGAAAGAAAGTTCATCTTACCCACCAGACAGAGGGGCGGGGAGGGAAGGCTTACAGTAGGATGGCCTTGGCCACTCTAGGTATTGGTGTTGTGACTTTTCCAGTGTGAAAAAGGACCATGTGGCTGAGGCTGTTGGGTAAATATTTAGGTCAAGAGTTGTTATCTGATTGCTATTGACAGACATTTCTGTAGCACGCGTGTCTCTGGAGGCTGCCTCTTGTTGACATTGCTTAGAGAAAGCCAGCTGCTAGCCGTCTAATAACTTTACTCTTAAAACCTGCCTCTGGCTGGAAGCCGCAGGGGAATCTGCTTCTCTTTACGCGTAGAGACATTCTCGCATTAGCAATGGGTTCTTTCCCATCTTATTAATTTCTTTGTATATCTTGTAAATGTAAATTGAGTAGAGGTCAGTTTTGACTGAATAAAGAAAATAAACACCGATAGATTGGGTCCCATGGACTTAACGCTTTGGCTAATTTAATGACAAAAAGAACAAAGGGGAAAAAAGCCCTCAAACTCTGTATGCTAGATGGAATTTCAACTAGCAATGGCCCAGGAGCCAAACTGAAAAGCTCTAACACTTTCGTAGGTGTTTTCAGATATTGATTTTGTTGCCTGACTTCAGCCCTGAGATAGGGGAGATTGCTCTTCTGATGAAAACGTGTTCATTCCGGGCACAGCAGCTATATGGATTTTCTGTTCTGCCTCTTTCTTTACTCCTGAAAAATGCCATTAGATGGAATTTGGATGCTCTGGGGCCATGGCCTTCCATGTTCTGGGAGGCTCGTGGATTCCTGTGGATCGTCCCCCCGACCCCGAGGCTCCTGGAGCTGACAGAGCCGGGGGTCCCAGCAGGCCCATCCTCCATCTCTGACGTCACAGGCATCTGAGGGCAGGGCCATGCACTACGAGTCCATGATGTACCAGGCGGGGGAGCCAGTGGCCATTCTAGAAAAATTCCATCTCCAGGGCATGAAAAGACAGATAAAGATCAGTGTAACTCACCTGTGCTGAGTAACATGGTGGGTCACGGTGGGGCTCTGGAACCAGGATGTCTTGACCTGAGTCCTGAATTGGCCCCTTCCCAGCTCCGTCACTTGCCGTGAGTCCTCCAACCACCATGTGGCTTCGTGGCTTCATTTGTAAAGTGGGGCAAGAGTGTGCGCAGCTGGCAAGGGCTGAGCAATTGAATGACTTCGCTCATGTAAAACAGAGCAGGACCAGGCGCAGGGCAGGTGCATGGAAAAGGTTAACTATTGCCATCATTAGGAACCATCAAGGGGCTCACACACATGATCTCAGTGGAGGCTTCTAGCAGCCTGTGAGGGGGTGTTAGGGACATTTGGATGCCAGCAACAGACGCTGACTTGTTCTCATAAGCAGAAAGGTAGTTTATTGGAAGGATAAGGGGAGCACAATGTATCAAAGTGAAGGTGTAAAAATTAGACAAACACGATATTAGGAATTACATTATATATTGGTGTGATATATTGTGTGTGTATTGAGACTTATTTTAAGATAATTGAATATTCACACGCAGTTGTCAGAAAGAATACAGCGAGATCCCCAATACACCTCCCCCAGTTTCCTCCAAGGGTAACATCATATACGACTATAGTACATGACAGCCAGGACGTTTACAATGATGGAGTCCACCACCTTCTTCAAATTTCTGGCTTTATATGCACTCATTTCTGTGCATTTTAATCACATGTGTAGATCCTGTGACCACCAGAATCACAATCCAGAAAAGTTGTATCACAAGGATTCCTCCTGTGTTTTATTCTAACACTTTTATAGTTTTAGCTGTTACATTTAGGTCTAATGAATTTTAAGCTATATTATGTATAATGGGAGGTAGGGGTCCAAATTCATTTTTCTGCATGTGGATGTCTAATTGTTTCAATATGACTTTTTGAAGAGACAATTCTTTTTCCATTTAATTGTATTGGTACTCTTGTTGAAAACCAACTGACCATAGATGCTAGGGTTTATTTTTGGTCTCTCAATTCTAGTCTACAGATCTATATGTCTGTCCTTATGGCAGTACCGCACGGTTTTATTACAACTGTGTAGTTAGTTTCCACACAGCGAAGTGTGAGTCTTCCACCTTTGTTCATGTTTATCAAGATTTTCTGGCCGGGCGCGGTGGCTCACGCCTGTAGTCCCAGCACTTTGGGAGGCTGAGGCGGACAGATCACTTGAGGTCAGGAGTTCAAGACCATCCTGGCCAACATGGTGAAACCCTGTCTCTACTAAAAATACAAAAATTAGCTGGGCATGGTGGTGCACGCCTGTAATCGCAGCTACTGAGGAGGCTGAGGCAGGAGAATCGCTTGAACCCTGGAGGCGGAGGTTGCAGTGAGCCAAGATTGTGACACTGCACTCCAGCCTGGGTGACAGAGTGAGAGAGACTTTGTCTCAAAAAATAAATTATATAAATTATATATGTAATTAATATAATCTTTTTCTGGACATCAGTTCCCACCCCTCCAGTGTTTGTTTCTTGAACTGTTTATTGCTGTCATTGTTTTCTTGCTTTAGACTTCCCTGGACTAATTCTATACAGTCTGCTTTCTTTTTTTTGTGAAGACACGGACATGTACTTGGTTAGCTTAGTGGTCAGATAATGACTGAACAGAGATTTCCTCAAATTCCTTGAAATGAGAATTTTCTCGGACTTTGCTGAGGGCTGTGTGGGTGTGTGTTGGGGAATGCCTTCACCATCCTGGCAGACAGCTTACAGCTCTGCCTTAGCTGTTGCCCACGCTGGCAGGGAGCATCCCAGTCAGCCCAGGTGAGCAGGGGCCCTCTTAGTTCTCTCCCAGAGGACACACAGCCCTGCATGTGCACCTGGCCTTCTAAGTTCTCAGGAATATATCGGAGCTTTTCAAAGCTTTATAAGAACATGTCATTCCACAATAATTCCTTTTAATTTTTTTTGGCCAGCCTCTTCTCAGCTTCAACTTGTATTGCTGCTTCAGGCTACTACAGTAATAAACAATCCCCACTGATTTTTTAGGACAAATATCCTAGGATAGGTAGGGCTGGTGCACAGAGCAAGCTCTCATGAGGTCAAGTAGCGAGGAGAAAGTTCTTCAGTGAGAGCACAGCTCCTCAGGGAGCGGTCATGGTGGTCCGAGGACAGCGATTCACTGGGAATGGGCCTTGTGGAGAGTTCCGATCCTCTGTGTTCCTCCAGGGGCTGCCAGCCTGCTGGCTTTTTATAGCCTCTCCTTGTTTTTTAAGACTACTGTGGGGCTGGGAGAAGAGGACTGAAATTGGGCAAATTAAAATGCCACACAATTTGCTTTTCTTACCAAGATTCAGCCATTGCTATCATTTTGAGAAACGGATTCACCCTATTGCCTAGAGTGCAGTGGCACAATCACAGCTCACTGCAGCCTCGACCTCCTGGGCTCAAGCGATCCTCCTACCTCAGCCTCCCAAGTAGGTGGGACCACAGGTGTGCGCCACCATGCCTGGCTAATTAAAAACATTTATTTATTTTTTTTATTTTGGTAGAGATGGGGTCTTGCCATGTTGCTCAGGCTGGTCTAGAACTCCTGGACTCAAGTGCTCCTCTCCCCTTGGCCTCCCAAAGTGCTGGGATTACAGGCATGAGCCACCAGGCCCGGCCATTATTATTATTTTGAATAAATGCTCTTCAGATTATTGCAAGCCTTTAGCTAGTTTTCGGAGGTCTGAAACAGTCCTTTTGACATTTATTCCAGTATTCTGATTGCTTTTATGGAGGGAGAGAATTTTGGAAGCCTTTACTCTGCTATCCCAGAAGTGCTTCTAGTATCGCATTTTGTACTCAGCATTGTGCCCTGCAAAGGCAATAATGTGAAAATATTTTAAGTGGGTTGACAGTTGCCAAATATTTTCTAAACTGTTATTGTGAATTTTTACCACACATATTAATGCATGAAGGTTGCCTTTGCAGTTTAATTGCTGGAATTCTTAACCAGGGCAATCATGGACCTCCTGCTGTGTACAGATTTGCAGACAATTGAGAGTGTCACTCATCCACGACGATCCAATGCGGAGGTTTCTATTTCCACAGAGATGAAGCCACAAGCAAAGGCCTGTCCGTGTACAGGTCTGTTCTGAAGATGAACATCCTGTCCCAGAGAGAAAATGCTCCCTCTGGGAAGAGACTCCCTGGGCACCCCCTGGGTCCTTGGAGCCCTTCTGGGCCACATCTCTGCTTAGCATTGGGGGACCTGTCACACCCGAGTGGGGTGACCACGGGCTCGTGACCTGTAGGAGGCGAGACTCCAGCATTCTAGGGGGTGACAGCAAAACCAGGCCCTCAGCAGAGACCACCTCCTTCCAGAGCCTTCTGTGGCTGGGCGGGGGTCTCCAGGCAGCTCCGCAGCCCCCGCGAATACCGCCTGGTGCTGAGTCCGCTTATACAGACAGAGACGAAGGGCAGCGACACCGTTTTTCTTTTCTGAAGTGGGAGGGTCTCGTGTCCGCAGCTCAGGAGGAAAACGAGGCGCCGGCTTTGCAGGTGGGTAGGAGTTTGTGTTGTACTCGGAGGCTGGGAGCCCCTGGGGCTTCTGTAGGGAGAGGCGGTCTGAGACGCGCTTTAGAAGTTGACCTGCTGCTCTGCGGGGACTCGGTGCGGGAGACGAGTGGAGGCTGCTGCGTCATCCAGGTGAGAGGAGAGCCAGGTGCGCAGTGAGCAGAGGTGGGAGGAAAGCTGGTTGCCACGGAGATGAGGGCGTGTCCATCACTGCAAGGCTCCACCCACAGCACTATCCTGGGCGGAACCTTCCTGGCCCCACCCACAGCCTTAGCTGATTGGAGTGTGGAGTACATGTGACTTCAGGCTGTGTTCTTATAGGTCGGGTGGCCTCTCGTGCCCTGCCCATGTAGCGATGGAGCTTTTGCAGGGGATGTCCTGGAGAATCAAGGGTGAGTCCACCATCTAGGATGGTGGAGAAGAGTTATGGGGTTAGTGGGCCTGAGAAGGGACTGTGGTTCTCACCATCAGGGGCAGGGCCATGTAAGAGGGTGTGGAGTCCCTGTGAGTGGGGTGGGGCCATGTGAGTGGGGCGGGGTCATGTGAGTGGGGTGGGGTCTTGTGAGTGGGAAGGGGCCATGTGAGTGGGGTGGGGTCATGTGAGTGGGGTGGGGTCATGTGAATGAAGAGGAGCCCTGTGACGGTTGGGGTCATGTGAGTGGGGAGGGACCATGTGAGTGGGGTCATGTGGGGTCATGTGAATGAACAGGGCAGGGCCATGTGAGTGTGGTGGGGTCATGTGAGTGGGGTGGGGTCTTGTGAGTGGGGCGGGGTCATGTGAGTGGGGCGGGGTCATGTGAGTGGGGTGGGGTCTTGTGAGTGGGAAGGGGCCATGTGAGTGGGGTGGGGTCATGTGACTGGGGTGGGGTCATGTGAATGAAGAGGAGCCCTGTGACGGGTGGGGTCATGTAAGTGGGGTGGGGTCATGTGAGTGGGGAGGGGCCATGTGAGTGGGGTCATGTGGGGTCATGTGAATGAACAGGGCGGGGCCATGTGAGTGGAGCCGAGTTATGATAATGGGGCGGGGCCTCTGGTTAATTCTCCCGTTTGTCTCTGGAGATTCCTCCTCATGGCTCCCAGATGCTCAGGGCTTCTCTCCCATGGACAGAACACCTCCACGAGTCCCATGGCCTCAGCACCAGTGACCTCAGCGCTGCTGGTTCATAGAGGGCAACTTGTGCGTGCACTGGCAGGTCCTGCCTATTTAGGAAAGAGAGGTGGAGGCTCAGATGCTGGGTTCAAGACTCACCGGGGACGCGGGCACCAGGGTGCTCCCTCCCCAGCCTCTGGCTGACAGCACTGAACTCAGCCGCCTCGCCCGGCTTCTGGTGGCTTCTGGTCCACGCTGTACCCTCCTCTGTGGGCTCCGTCTCTGCAGGGTTCTCGGAGACATCGCAGCTGCTAAATGCCAAATGCAGAACCTGGGCTGTGGGTCCCGGCCTGGCTTCGTGTGCCGCGCTTTCCACTGAGAGCCGCGTGACTGGGTGCTACCTGGGGCGAGGGGGTGATGTGAAAACACTTTCTGTTCAGTTTCGGGGCAAGCTGCCCTAACTCCAGATCCCCACGCAATTCAGAGTACTTTCTTTTCTTTGGGTTTTGAAACAGCAATGCAGTTTCCTCTCTGCGTGCCTCTCCGGCTTGCAGGCTGGCACCTGTGCATAAACCGAGCGTGAGAATCAGGTGTCTGCGGGCCCCTTTCTTCTCAAACGGGACTCCTGAGGTTTCGCAGAGGAGACAGGGACTTGGGGACCTTGGAGGGAGGGACACAGTTTAGAGTCCAGTTCACACTGGAGGGTGGGTCTCTTACCAGACCAGTGTCCCACATTGACGATGAACAGACAGAAAACCTGAGTTTCCGGGAGGCTCATGGTGTCTTTGACCCTGGTGCCTCCTGGGTGACTGTGTTGTACCTGCACATGCCTCCAGGACAATCGGGGCTAGAGTGGGTCAGGAGAAGTTCCCTCTGGACGTGACCGCGCATGGCTCTCGTGGTCCAAGCGGGGTTGAAAACAGCTACCCTGGGGCCAGGGAGGGTGCTGTCAGCAGGAAAGACCAGGGAGTGGAGGGATGGGGAGGCTCCTGGACCCTCAGCGGCTGCTCAGCTCCAGCCCTGCCCACATCCGCCTTTCCCCGGGCTTGGTCCATGCGGATACAGGCCCAGTGTTGCAGATCTTCTGAGTTTTACGTGAAATTTCTTAACATTTACAGCACCACACAGGCAAACAACACATCTGGGGCCTCCAGTTCACACCCCGCCTGACGGCCCATCACTGTGTGTGTGGTTAGGGCTCCCCAGCACCTGGGCATCTTCCTGTGCCTGAACTCGCTCCCCCAGCTCCCCTCTCCTGCTGCTTCAGAGCAGCATCCACCTGGGCTGTGCCTCCCCTGCTGGTGCTGCCCCCATCAGAGAGGGCCTTTCTGTTCCTCTGTCCCCAGAGGCCCAGGAGATTGCAAGATGCTGACTGGGGTGCTGTGGTGGGGGCCCCGGTCTGCTTCATCTCTGTCCCACGAAGCCTGGGGAACACAGAGCTGAGCCCTGCAGTGCCCGGCACATCCTCCATTCTTTCCACAGAATATTCCATTCGGCTGTGACCTTTAGGAAGGCATCCATCTGGACATTTGCAAAGTGGGTGAGTGACCCTGTGGCTTTGTTGGGATTGCCATGGTTAACTCAGTGGGCTACAGATCTGTTTTTATTCACTTATTTGGAAACTTGGAAGATTTGGGAGCAAATTCTTTTTGAACTAGCCATCCAACTTTGGAGAAACAATTTATGGATGAAAAGCAGATGTGGGTTTTGTTAAAAGCAAAGTAGCATGTTGAGTTCTCTTTTTAAAGACATTTTAATAACAGAAAAGCTGAAAGGGATGCTACAGCAAAAGCATGCACCTATTGTTCATAATTTATAATTATTAATATTTATGTTCACATTAAAAATTGCAACAAGTAAGACATTGTAGAGGATGCCAGAAACCCCGTGGCCCCTCTGCTCCGAGAGGCAGTGACCGTGGTGAGTGCTGTGTGACTTTCTTGTCCATTTATGTACATTTTAAATTCATGCACAACATTGAGCATATTGGGGTCTTTATTAATCTTTCCTCTGAGCTCTGCAGCTTGTTTTTCCCTGACACGAGGTTGCCTGGATGCAGCCACGTGTACGTGTCTTTTAGATCATGCCTTTGAACCGGGACCCCCAGGTGTCCTGATCAAACCCCTCCTGGGGCACATGCTGGTGTCTCCACCTGTCCTGTCTCCAGCCGCGCTCAGGAATCACTCTGTGCCCCTCCTCCTGCACATGTGGGATCGGATCCTTTCTCTGTGTAGACACAGACTGCTGGATCTCGACGTTGGCGTGTTGTCATGGTCACTCACCGGCCTGGTGTCCAGGGTAGACTTATCTGTGCAGGAGCTGAGGAGCCATCTGCTAGTTTTTGCTGGCTCCCTTGAGGGGTTGTCACCTCCATGCTGAGATGAGGCCACCCAGGCCTCTGCTCCCCTGACTGATTAGGGCATCGTGACCTGCGCAGCTCCCCGTGGGAAAGTGTGACCTTCCTGCTCTTCATTCCCAGTTGCCCTCTGCATGAGCAGAAGGAGCCCGCAGTGCTCCCACCCCCCCGACTCCTGCATTTGCCTCATTCATTGCATGTTAATCTCTGACCTTACCGTCAAGCAGGGCAGGGCACGATGCACCCACCAGATGGACAGTGATGTGGCCGCCATCGCTGGCTTTGCCAATTCTTCAGAAGGTTCTGGAAAATCAAACCAGATAGTGTCAGAGACAACCCATCTTATGTCCTCTGATGGAGCTATTCATGGGGCTTGCTCCTTTCAACCCCAGGGCTCAAAGGTCCCTGGCTTTGCCCCTGCCCGCCTGAGGAAAGGCCGTGCCGTGGTTAACTGTGAAACTGCCCTGTAGCTGCTGGCACTGACTTGAGGTCACGAGGTCCAGCAGCATCTCCTAGATTGTCACTGACCGCTCTGCTCTGTGGGCAGGTCAGCCGTGGTAAAGCACAGCGGGTGGAGGACCAGGCGTCCTGGGGCAGGTTCCTGTTGGCCGTGCTCGCAGCCTGCCCAGGCGTCCTGGGGCAGGTTCCTGTTGGCCCCGCTCGCAGCCTGCCCAGGCGTCCTGGGGCAGGTTCCTTTTGGCCCCGCTTGCAGCCTGCCTATTGCTGTTGAGGCTGCTGTGCAGGAATCTCCAGGCTACAGGAAGGATTCTTGGATGCTCCTACTTGTGGGAGATCCAGGTCTTCAAGGTCCTCTTGGCCGTACACGATGCCCACCTCATGGGCTAACTTCAGGACCCAAACTGAGATGGTTTGACAAAAACCAGAAAAGAGAACCAGAGACTGTGGCTGTTCTCCCGAGGGCCAGGGGGCCCCATTTCCTCAAAGTCCTCCTATATCCTCAGGGATGCTGGCGGGCTCCCCTGTGACTGCCCTCTCCCCTCTCCTGGGGAGTTCATGAACCTGGAAGGGGACACTTCTGTCTCCCTGGTCCTGGCCACATAGCGCCCACCTTTCCCGTGACAGCCACGATGCCCATGGAGAGGGAAGTCTAGCCCCAAGGAAGTTTGAACTCGCTGCCACGGCCCGAGCCAGCACTCCACACAGGCAGCTCCACCCGGCCTCGGCCTCTCTGCTTTGTCTCTGAGCCCCACAGCACGCCGGTCCCCTCCAGGGGAGCTGACACAGGTATCGTGGCAACAGCTGTCCCACTCCTGATGGGGTCCAGGACGATGTTGCAGCCCCCCTGGGTCAGGCTGAGGCCCTGCCTCCTGCACACGCTGGGTCCAGGGGAGGATGCCAGGGCCTGTGTGTGTGTATGTGGGGGGGGGGTGGGGCGGGGAATGAGCTTCCACTGAAAGGGGAGGCGCAGGCTGCGGAGTCTAGGCTTCCCCCACCCCAAACTCAGACAGCCAGGGATTGTCCTTCTCACAGAGGGAGCGTGATTCCTGTAACTCAGGAGTGATTCACGGTCGGCTGTGAATCACAGAGGCTGAGAAAAACCCTCAAGCTATCCAGTCTTTGAGTGCAGCCCTGCTGGCTCCAGAACGGCTGCCTTGGTTGGCCTTACTCGGCTTCTGCAAGAATTGGCAGGCTGGGCCCCTGCTCCGCTTGCCCGCAGCCTGGCACGCTCCATCATGTGCCCACACCTTGGTGAGCGAGGGCTGAGCTGCCATCCGCAGATGGGAGGCCTGAGGCCGAAGGCGCGGTGGGTGCTGCCCACACAGCAGCAGCACCACTGATCAGCAGCTCCCAAACTGCCCTGATCACCTGGGGGCCTTTCCCAATTACTGACATCTGCTTCCCACACAGACCTGGGCTATAATTGGTATCAGATGGGGCCTGTGCCTCAGGGATTTAAAACTCTTCCCAGGTGAGTCTAACCTGCAGCAGGGTTGGGAACTGCTGACCCAGGAGTGTGAGGCAGCAGGTTCCCAGGTGATGCTGACGCTGATGGTTGATGCCACACTCAGAACCGCTGCACTAGATCTCTGGCCGAGGCTGAGTTTTGGTGCAGGGTGTAGACGGCATTGCTGTAGACCTGAGGTTCAGCAGGTCTGGGTTTTTGCTGTAGGAACAGCTGCTGAAAATAAGCAAGAATGCGACATGTTGACTGAGCGTTGGCCTGTGTCCGAACAGGCTTCAGGAGTGGGTGCTCTGGGGACCTTGCCTGGGGAGCTCTGGGCTCCTGGAGCCCAGGGTCAGAGGTCTAGAGGTCTGAACTTGAGAGACCAACCCTGTGCTTTGGAGCCAACAGCCACCATGGTGGGTGGAGCTGGTGGGGGGTGTCCGCCTCCAGCCTGAGGGCACTGCTGTCTTGTCCCTGCTGTGGCTTCTGTCACCATCTGCAGTGGCTCCATCTCAGTTCAGCCCGCCGAGTTGGCGTCCCTTTGAAATAGTGCAAAGCAGAACAGTTATTCCTTAAGGCCGTGGCTTCATTCACTTAAGAGACTCACGGAATGTCCACCCTGTGCTGGGCACTGTGTTTGGTGGGCAGGGAGTGTGGGCTGGGTACAGCTGTCCCTGCTATCTGGGACACCCTGGAGGGTGGTGACAGTCCTACAGCTGAGAACAGGGACCGCAGTGGTCACAGCCCTGGCTATGGCCTGCTCCAGCCTGTATGGACACCAGGGAGCTCCTGCCCATCAGGGCCGTGGCCACCCTGCAGGCTCTCGGGCCTGTCTACCCTGGTCTCACCTCCCTGATGGTCCCTGGGCCCCGGTGCTGCCACTGCCCCTCCCCAGATGTAGCAAGAGAAGCCTTCAGGGTGATACAGAGGCACATCTGGGACGGGGAAAAACATGAACATCTAAGTGAGATGTTTTCACAGAGGCCTCTTGGAGATTTCCTGGAGGGCTCCATGTTGCTGAGAGAAGAGGTAGGTGGGAAGAACTTCTGTAAACAGGAAGCAAAAAAGAGCAAAACCGACCACTGAAATGCCAACTTCAAACGGAAGGGCAGCCCCAAGCTGACATACCCTCCCTGATTGCAAAGAGGGTCTGGTCACGAGGGGAGGGGAGAGGAGGACAGGGAAGGCGGCAGAGCATGGCTGTGCAGAACCTTCTGCGTTGCCCTGCCTCCCTTCTGCCTTCCCCCTGGACCCGAGGTGAGGATTTGGAGGGGTCCACAAGTACAGCCAGAGGCTGAGTCTCCCCACGGCCAGGCCTCCAGTCCTCCCTAGGTTCAGCTGCAGGTGGACGGAGCAGAATTTTAGCCTCATTTGTCACCAGATCTCCCTCCCACCCCTGGCCGTGTTTGGGCTTCGGAATTCCTAGAAAACCTGAGGAGTTGATAAACTAGGTTCCTGCTCTGTTTAATTCAGGGTCCTCATCAAGGCTCACCAGGCTGGGTTCTGCTGGAGAATGGCTCTGTCATTTCTGGGAGATTCGCTTAACTCTCTGCTTCACGCTCTTGAACCCCAAAGCCCTTTGCTTGGACAGGGTCAGGCTGGGCACATCCTGCCAGCCAGAGGGCCCTGGTACAGTCTCATCTGTGAAACCAGTTGTCAGAGGCGTTTGAACCAGAGTGACTGCATTTTGAGTAGGGGCTGGGTGAAATAAGGCTGAGTCCTGCTGGGCTGCATTCCCAGGAGGTTAGGCATTCTAAGTCACAGGATGGGATAGAAGGTCAGGCATAAGTTACAGGTCACAAAGGCCTTGCTAATAAAACAGGTTGCAGTAAAGAAGCCAGCCAAAACCTGCCAAATCCAAGATGGCGACCAAAGTGACCTCTGGTCATCCTCACTGCTTGTTATATGCTAATTATAATGCATTCACTACTAAAAGACACTCCCACCAGCACCCCGACAGTTTGCAAATGCCATGGCAATGTCAGGAGGTTACCCTATATCGTCTGAAAAGGCAGAGGAACCTTCCAGGAATTGCCTACCCCTTTCCCAGAAAGCTCATGAATAATTCACCCCTTGTTTAGCATATAATCAAGAAATAACTGTAGAAATAGTCAACCAGCAGCCCTCAGGGCTACTCTGCCTGTGGAGTAGCCATTCTTTCATTCCTTTACTTTCTTCATAAGCTTGCTTTCACTTTATGGGTTCACCTCGAATCCTTTCTTGCATGAGATCCAGAACCCTCTCTTGGGGTCTAGATTGGGACCCCTTTCTGGTAACACAATGGGTGACATGTAGTAGTTCCTCTTGGCTTTTCACGAAGTGAGGCTGGAGCTTTGGGATTCCAGTTCTGCACCTTGACCACGTAGTCTTTTTCTTGAAGAACGGCTCCATAGAGGAATATTCTGTCTGCCCCAGCCTCACTCTGATTGCACTGAGGCAGCGAGCCCCCTGGGGGGACAAGAATGAAATCGCTTTGCAAAAATTATATCAGTGAGAAAATTGTGGCAGTGGGGGAGATCTGATCTAGTTAACCTCCATTTTGCCTTTAGCCTTCAATTATTCCTGGGCTTAAGCCAAGCGAATGTTGGGAAACATTTAGTTTATAGTTTAAATGATAATAAGTCCTTCCCCCAAACTCAACTGCCTTTGTAAAGCTAATGAGAGACCACCTGGCTGGGAGGATAGAGCAGGCTGAATTCTTCTAAGGTGTAGACATAAACCATTGCCAGCCATTATTCCAGAGGTCACAAGACATGCAACTCCCCAATTACTCCTGCAGATAACATTACTATTGTAGGATGTAAGATTGGCCTTTTCAGATATCTTTTCAGGTTTTTTGCATGTCTGATGACTGACGGCTCCATCTGGTCCTGCCAACTGCTCCTGTGGCCCCACCCAGAATCGAGTTAGTAAGCAAGAAGATCATTTCCCATGCTCCTATGATTGCACCCCAACCAATAGGCAGCAAGCACACATTGCCCCAAAGCCACCCCCACCCCTTTCCCCAAACTAGAAGAACGCATTGGGCGGTTCCAAGAAGCTCTCCTCATGGGAGACCTGAGCCCTCTGGCTGAAAATGCATGGCCAAGTCACGCTGTGACCCACAGGCTACATCTAATCCATGGGTCTTCATTATTCGGCCTACCCATTTTTTATTCATTGCTAACATTAACATTTGAGACAAAGCTAGATTTATAGGTTCATTTGAATAGTGGAGCAGTGAGCCACCCCTGGGCCACATCAGGATGATGGGCTGGAGCTGAGGGGCAGTGCCGCCCTCTGGAAAGGACATGTGCCCTCCGGCTTACTGCAGTCTCCACCACTCCCTGTGGTCACTTTGTTCTGTCTGGTAGCATCGCCCTTTTTTCTCTGTCCAACCTGCGTGATTCATTATGTGTAATTACCTGGACCCTGTAAACATGTGATTTGTCTCGAGGCAGTCTGTTCTACCCTGATGTCAGAGGTGTTCGAACCAGAGCAACTCCATCTTGAGTGAGGGCTGGAAAATGAGGTTGGGACTTACTGCGCTGTGTTCCCAGAAAGTTAGGCATTCCTGGCTTCTAGATATTTACGGTTAAGGGAACAAATTAATAATCTTTACTAAACAGACCCAGACTTAGAAGTGTGCAGATATCCCGATATCTGCAGAACAAAGGCATTCCTAATTTTGCTTTAAAGATAATATCAATTCTTGCAAAATGTAGTAATTAAGAAAATTAATCCTTTATCACAAACCCTTGTAGCAGAACACATCTCCCCATATATACAAGCATTGGACCTAGGGTGGACGCCTTCCTCCTCTTATTTTTAGGAACGCCCTACTCTGTCTATGGAGTAGCTGTACTTTCCCCGCTTTCTTAATAAACTTGCTTTTGCTTTGCACTGCAGACTCGTCCTGAATTCTTTCTTGTGTGAGATCCAAGAACCCTCTCTTGGGGTCTGGGTCGGGACCCCTTTCCTGTAACGCTGGCAGTTGAAATTTTAGCAATTGATTGACCTTAGCCACATGAGAAGTGGTTACTGATGGTGTCCACATAAACAGCCTTGTTCTATTTGCATGGGGATTACGCAGTGAAGAGAAGTGTTTCTAACCCCGAGAATGCTTTTGAGTCAAGCAAAATCTTTACCATTAGGCCATTACAATCCCTATATTCCCCACTATAAGAGATGAAATTTAAAATTAGTTGGTACAATTTGAGCTAAAGATTACCTAGATCTGACATTTGTTAAGGAAAAAATGTTCATATTAAAAACAGATATGGGCCAGGCATGGTGGCTCACACCTGTAATCCCAGCGCTTTGGGAGGCCAAGGTGGGTGGATCATTTGAGGTCAGGAGTTCAAGACCAACCTGCCCAACATGGCGTTAACTCATTTAGAATAAATACAAAAATTAGATGGGTGTGGTGGCATGCACTTGTAATCCCAGCTACTTGGGAGGCTGAGGCAGGAGAATCGCTTGAACCTGGGAGGTGGAGGCTGCAGTGAGCAGAGATCATGCCACTGCACTCCAGCCTGGGTGACAGAGCAAGGCTGTCTCAAACAAACCCCCAAAAAACCCATGAATTCAACAAGGTTGCAGGATACAAGATTAATTTACAAAATCAATTGCCTTTCTATACACTTGGAATACAAAATAAAAAATGAGTTTAAGAAAATAATTCCATTTATAATAGCATCAAAAAGAATAAAATAATCAAGACATAAATTTAACAACAAACAAGTATAAAACATATACTTTGAAGACTACAGAACATTGTTTAGAAAAACTTAAGAACTAGACAAGTGAAAAAGCATCTCATATTATTGAATCAGACGACCTAATATTAGGATGGCAACACTCCCTAAATTGATCTACACATTCCTCACAATCCCTATCATTATCCCAGCTGACTTCTCTGTAGAAACTGACAAACTGATTCTAAAATTCATTCAGGATTTCAAGGGATGCCGAATAGTGATAATTACCTTGAAAAAGGAGAAGGAAGTAGAACAGCCCACAGCTCTTGCTTTCAAAACTTACCGTAAAGCAGTGGTAATCAAGACAGGGTGGTGCTGGCACAAGGATAGACATCAAGATTAATGGAATAAAATTGAGACTCCAGAAATAAAATCATATATCTGGGGCCAATTGATTTCCCATAACGGTGTCAAGACCACTCAATGGGGTAAGAATTGTTCTTTCAACATACGGTGCTGGGACCACTGGATTTCCACATGCCATAGAATGTAGCTGGACTCAACCACCCACCATACCCAAAAGCCAACTCAAAGTGGATCAAAGACCTACCTGTCAGAGCTAAAACTATAAAACCTCTTAGAGGAAAACACTACTGATGTTGATTTGGCCAAAAGTTCTTAGGTAAGGATTAAAACCATGAGCAACAACAACAAAAATGAGCCACAAAAGAAAAAATAGATAAATTGGATTTCATCAAAATGGAAAACCTTTGTGCTTCAAAGAACACCATCAAGAAAGTGGAAGGCCAGGCATGGTGGCTCATGCCTGTAATCCCAGCACTGTGGGAGGCCAAGGCAGGAGGATTGCTTGAGGCCAGGAGTTCAAGACCAGCCTGGGCAACATGGTGAGACCCTGTCTCTATATTACAAAATATATATATATATATATATATATGCATATATATATATGCGCAAATCCTACCATAGAACTCTTTTGATTCAATAATAAAAAGTCAATCCAATTACAAAATGGGCAAAGGATATGCATAGTCATTTCTCCGAGGAAAATATATACATTGCCTCATTAAATACACAATAAGCACATGAAGAATGATTGGCACCGTTAGTCATCAGGGAAATGCAAATCAAAACCACAGTAAGACACCACTTTACACACACTAAAATGCCTATGATGAAAAAGTCAGATAATAACAAGTGTTTCTGAGGATGTGGAGAAATCCGAATCCTCACCACCACTGGTGGGAGTGGAAGATGGTGCAGCCACGTTGGAGAACAGTTTGGCAGTTCCTCAAATGGTTAAACATAGAGTCACCACACCACACAGCAACTCCACTCCTAGTTACATACCCAAGAAGAAGCAAAACATATGTGCACAGAAAAACCTGGACACCAACCTTCAGGGCAGCTTTATTCATAATAGTCAAAAGCTGGGAACAACCCACATGTCCATCAAATAACAAATGGTTTAACAAAATGTAGTACAGGAGCCCCTCCTTATCTGAGGTTTTGCTTTCTGAGGTTTTAGTTACTCATGGTCAATCACAGTCCAAAAATATTAAATAGAAAATTTCGGAAATAAACAAGTCATAAGTTTTAAGTTGCACGCCATTATGAGTAGCAGATAAACTCTCTCACCGTGCCACCCGCGATGTGAATCATCTCTCTGCCCAGCGTACCCTGCTGTATGCTCGGTCTGCCCACTGGCCACTTAGTAGCTGCCTTGGTCATCAGACTTACTGTCTCGGTGTCGCTGGACTTGTGTCTTCAGTGCTGGTGTTTAAGGAACCCTGATTTTACTTAATGAACAGCCAGAAGCACAAGGCTAGTGGTGCCGGCGATTTGCACATGTCCAAGAAAGCCATAAAGTGCTTCCTTTAAGTAAAAAGGTGAAAGTTCTGTACTTAATGAGGAAAGAAAAACAATCACATAATGAGGTTGCCAGGACCTACAGTAAGAATGAATTGTCTTTCCATGACATTGTGAACAGTACATTGTTATAATTGTCCTGTTAGTGGTTATTGTTGTTAATCTCTTACCTCGTGTCATTTATAAATTAAACTTTATCGTAGCTATGTATGTATAGGAAAAAAGCAGTGTGTATAAGGTTCAATACTATCCATGGTTTCAGGCATCCACTGGGGGGTCTTGGAACTTATCCCCTGCAGATAAAGGGGGAAGATTGTGTATACATACAATGAAATATTATCCGGCCATAAAAAAAAGGATGTGGTGGCTCATGCCTGTGATCCCAACACTTTGGGAGACTGAGGCAGGAAGATTGCTTGAGACCAGGACTTTGAGACCAGCCTGGGCAACACAGCAAGACCCCATCTCTACAAAAAAATAAAAAATAAAAAATTAGCCAGGCGTGGTGGTGTGTGTCTGTAGTCCCAGCTACTCAGGAGGCTGAGGTGGGAGGATCACTTGAGTCCGGGAGGTTGAGGCTGCAGTGAGCTGTGATTATACTACTGCACTCCAGCCTGGGTGACCCAGCGAGACCCTGTCTCTATTAATAAAAAAAGGTAATGAAATACTGGGGGCCAAACACTCCTGAACAGAGAGATTCCTGGAATTATTACCTCCATGCTCCTCAGTCTGGGGTCCCTCTGCTCTGGTATCACATTCCAGGGGGTGAGTGGCCAGCCCGAGTCACACATCCACCACTTGGCTGCAGGCAGGGGTTGCCATGATGGACAGTTCCTGGGTGTGTCCAGGAGAGGAAGGTCACTTCTCCCAAAGCAAAGCCAGGAGGAGTGGACGGGAGAGAGCAAAAGGAGCAGAGGGCCAGGGCTGGAGCCCGTTACAGAAATCCTTCAATGAAAAAGGTCTGGGGAACTTCCAGAGAGGCCGACTGCTTGCAGATTCAGTCTTTGTCCTGCAAGAGACAAAAGAGTGAGAAGCCAGCTGGGATCCCTTCCAGAAAGGGGCTCGGGAGTTCATTCCAAAGACAAATAAATGAAGGGCAACTTCTCAAGCTCTACACCCGCCCTCATGGCCTTGTGAATGGGATTATATGTGAGAATCCCAGTGTGTTGGCTGAACTCCTTCTCCAGGGCATCTCGGGGCATAATTAGCAGAGGAGGGCCAGCCTCCCTCACAGGGCACCCCACCTCGGACTCAGGGGAGCATCTGAGAAGTTCTTGGATGCGCCATGGAATGGACGGGGTGTGCACTGGCCTCATGTTCTCGTGCTGGACGCTTCTCAGGCTCCCATGTGAAACCTCCCATGAGGATTCCTTACAGTACAGATTTTGATTCAGGAGCTCTGGGTGGAGCTTAGAATGCTGTATTTCTATCAATCATCCCAGTGATGTTGATGCTGCCTGTCCAAGCCCACAATGGGGAGTGAGGTCCCATTGCGTGCTGGCAGCAGGAGGGGAGGCAGGTCTGCAGCAGCTCCAGGTGTCCATTACCCCAGCTGGTGGGCCCAGAGTACTGGGAGAGCATCTTTCCTCCAGAGCCCTGTGTCTAAATCCCAGAGAAGGGCTCTGATTGGTCCTGTTCTTCCAGAACCCTGTGCCTACATCCCAGGCAAGGGCTCTGATTGGTCCTGTTCTTCCAGAGCCCTGTGTCTACATCCCAGGCAAGGGCTCTGGTTGGTCCTGTTCTTCCAGAACCCTGTGTCTACATCCCAGGGAAGGGCTCTCATTGGTCCTGTTCTTCCAGAGCCCTGTGTCTACATCCCAGGGAAGGGCTCTCATTGGTCCTGTTCTCCTAGACCTCTGTGTCTAAATCCCAGGGAAAGGCTCTGATTGGTCCCATTCTCCCAGAAACCTGTCTCTAAATCCCAGGGAAGGGCTCTGATTGGTTCTGTTCTCCCAGACTTCTGTGTCTAAATCCCAGGGAAGGCTCTGACTGGTGCTGTTTGAGTGCTGTGCCTTAGGGTAAACTTCTGTGGCAAAAGAGAAAGGATGATAGCGGTGGTTGGTTCTCACCAGAGCCTCTGGGGTGGGGAGAGGCTGCTCCCCAAAGGAAAGGGGCAGCTGGTCCTAAAAGACACATGGCCAGGTGGTGCTGGGCCAACAGATGAGCTGTGCATATTTGATATCTGCTTTTAATGAGCAAACAGAATACACTTTAGTGACCCCAAAGAATGTTTCAAGAAACTGAAGCCAGTATACCTCAGGGATATTGTGGGTTTGGTTCCAGACCACTACAGTAAAGCGAATACTGCAATAAAGCAAGTCACATGAATATTTTGTTTTCTCAGTGCATATAAAAATTACATTTACAAGATACTGTAGACTGTTAAGTGTGCAATAGCATTATGTGTAAAAAACAATGCACATACCTTAATTAAAAATACTTTATTCCTAGAAAATGCTAAGGTTCATCTGAACCTTCTGTGAGTCCTGATCTTTTTGCTGGCGGAGGGTCTTGCCTCAGTGTGAATGTCTGCTGACTGATCAGAGTGCTGATTGCTCAGGGTTAGGCTGGCTGTGGCAATGTCTTAAAATAAGACAACAATGAAGTTTTCCACATTGTTTGACTCTTCCTTTCAATAAAGATTTCTCTGTAGCATGTGATGCTGTTTGATAGCATTTTACCCACAGTAGAACCTCTTTCAAAATTAGAGTCAATTTGCTCAAACCATGCCACTGCTTAGCAACTGAGTCTGTGAAATATTCTAAATCCTTTATTGTCATTTTAACAATGTTCACAGCATCTTCACCAGGAGTAGATTTCATCTCAAGAGACCAGTTTCTTTGCTCATTCATAAGAAGCAACTCCTCATCTGTTCAGGTTTTCTCATGAGACTGCGGTGATTCAGTCCCATTTTCAGGCTCCACTTCCAGTTCTAGTTTTCTTGCTATTTCCACTACATCTGTGGTGACTTTCTCCACTAAAGCCTTGAGTCCCTCAAAGTCATCCATGAGGGTTGGAATCAACTTCTTCCAAACTCCTGTTAATGTTGTTATTTTGATCTCCTCCAATGAATCGTGAATGTTCTTAATGGCATGTGGAGTTGTGAATTCTTTCCAGAGGTTTTCAATGTACTTTGCCCAGGTTCTTCAGAGGAATCACTATTGATGACTATGGCAGCTATAGCCTCATAAAATGTATTTCCTTTTTTTTTTTGGTTTGAGATAGGGTCTCATTCGGTTGCCCAGGTGGGAGTGCAGTGGTGTGTAATCATGGTTCACTGCAGCCTCGACCTCCTAGGCTGAAGCCATGCGCTCACCTCAGCCTCCCAAGTGGCTGGGACCACAGGAACATGCCTGTGAATAGCGAGGCCTGCTGTCTTTCTCATGCCTGGCTAATTTTTAATTTTTTAAAATAGAGATGGGAGTCTCTGTGTTGCCCAGGCTGGTGTATTTCTTGAATAAGACTTGAAAGTAAAAAAATTACTCCTTGATCCATGGGCTGCAAAATGGATATTGTGTTTACAGGAATTAATCTTCTTGTACATCTCCATCAGAGCTCTTGAGAGACAAGGTGCATCGTCAATGAGCAGTAGTATTTTGAAAGAAATCTTTTCTTCTGAGCAGTAGATCTCAACAGTGGGCTTAAAATATTGAATAAACCATGCTGTAAGCAGATGTGCTGTCATCCAGGCTTTGTTGTTCCATTTACAGAGCACAGGAAGAGTAGACTTAGCATAATTCTTCAGGGCCCTGGGATTTGGGGAATGGTAAATGGCCACTGGCTTCAACTTAAAGTCACCAGCTGGATTAGCCCCTAACATGAGTCAGCCTGTCCTTTGATGCTTTGAAGCCAGGCATTGACTTCTCTTCCCCCACTGTGAAAGTCCTAGATGGCATCTTCTTCTAATAGAAGACTGTTTTGTCTACACCGAAAATCTGTTGTTTAGTGCCGCCACCATCCATGGCCTTTACTAGATCTTCTGGATAACTTACTGCGGCTTCTCCATCAGCAGTCATTGCTTCACCTTGCACTTCTATCTTATGGAGATGGTGTCTTTCCTTAAACTTCGTAAGCCAACCTCTGCTAGTTTCCAGCTTTTCTTCTGCAGCTCCTTCACCTCTCTCAACCTTCATAGACTTGAAGAGAGTTAGGGCCTTGCTCTAGATTGGGCTTTGGCTTAAAGGAATGCTGTGGCTACTTTGATCTTCTATTCAGACCACTAAACCCTTCTCCATATCAGCAAAAAGAAAAGCCTTTTTGCTTTCTTATTCATGTTTTACTGGAGAAGCACTTTTAATTTCCTTCAAGAACTTTTCATTTGCCTTCACAGCTTGGCTAGCTGTTCGGTGTGAGAGGCCTGGCTTTTGGCCTACATCATTTTGCTGTTTCTTCATTAGCTCAAACCCAGAACTGGACCAGACCTAGCCACAAGGAATGCTGGGAAATGTAGTCTCTCCAAGGAATGCTTGGACCAGGACCGACTCCTGGTCAGGGGTTGCAAACCCACCTGCCCTCTGAGATCAGACAGGGAACATAGAACTTTGAAGTGGCTGGGTACAGGAGGAGGCACAGGGGGAGTGGGGGGCAATGCCTGACCTATTGAAGAGCATGGACATAAAAAAGGATTGAGGCACTGCTGAGTGCAGGCAAAGCTGTTTGAGAGCTGGACCCAGCACCCGGCGGGTTGCTCACCAGGTCTGCTTCTGTCAGTGATACTCCGGTTTCCAAACCCCACAGCTTAAATACCCGTGCCTAAAGGAGACATTTCATGAACTGTGGCATGCACGAAGGTGATGGGGACAGCAGCCTCTTAGGGCGTTGGTTAAAGCCAGGTGATCGTTTTCTTGGTGGAAAGCCCTGTAAAGGGGGTCCCTCTAACCAAGGTCTGGGAAAGCAGTGGCTCTTCTAGGAAAGGGTCCCACCCCATGGGCTTCCTCCCATTCCCCTGCCCGCTGGTACCCTGGCACCTCCCCAGCCAGGCTCATTGATCACAGTTACTGGGGCTGACTGTAGCACAGCCCTGGGCAGCTTAGGTGCATGGAAAATGGGGTGGGGCTGTGTGACCACCGAGCTCTGGAGGGGCGTGGGTGGTGCATGGCTCGAGCTGGAGCTTCCTGGGGCAAACAGATGAATGCAGTGAGGCTGAAGGACTTCAGTTTGTGTTAGAATCCCCAGAAAAAAATGCTGTGGGGATGCAGAGGGATCAGGCCTGATGTTTCTTCCTCCCTGGCCAGCTCTGCTTGGGGCCTTCTGCGTGGCATCCTCTGGCCCCCACTTTGAGATATGGGTAAGCACACATGCACACAGAGAAGCACACACATGTGCACAGATGCACACACAGGTGCATACACACCCATACATGGATGCACACACATGCACACAGATGCACACAGGTGCACACACATGAACACCCATGCACACACAGGTGCACACACATGCCCACACAGGTACACAGACACATGCACACACAGGTGCATACATACACACACAGGTGCATACATACACACGGATGCACACACATGGACACAGATGCACACACAGGGGCACACATGCACACACATGCCACAAATGCACACACGTGCACACACATGCACACACAGGTGCACACATGCACGCACACATGCCCACAAATGCACACACAGGTGCACACATGCACACACACATGCACACACAGGTGTGCACACACACAGATACACACAGATGCACGCATATATGCACGTATATCACACAACCCACAAGCAGCAGTGAATTCAGCTGATTGAGCTGGCAGGCTCCATGGGGCTCACCTCATCCTTGTCTCTGTGGTCAGGGGCACCAGTTTCTTGCAGCTTGTCAGACAGGGTCACAAGGCAGTGACCTGTCATCCCAGTCCAGCCTGAACCTACTGAATTTGGCATGTTCAGGAAGAACCTGGACCAGATGTCAACACTTACCATGTGATTTCTCCAGGTAAGCAGTAAGGCTCAGCACTCTGGGCTCTATTCCTTCTTGACAGCCCTTGGCTAGGTCTGAGGACTTCATGTCACCAAAGCAGCCCTGGTAGGAGACTGCGCTTGTGGCCCCCAACACAAGCTCCCTACAAATGGATTGCTGGCTGGTTCTGTGAGTCCTGCAACCTCCATCTGTCTCCCTGTCAGCTTTCTCTTAATTAATTTCATCAAGAGCCCAGGAACTGCATCTTTCACTCCAACTGGCTTGGAGCTAGCTACGAGCCAAAGTCAGGTAGTCTGCAGGTAGCTGGGCTCCCTCAACCTTCAGTTTTTAATTAAAGAGTTGGAGGCTCACCCAGAGCATGACGAAGCCTCACTGCAGGGAGGGCCCCTGGAAGAGAGCAGCTTCTTCCCGTAGATTTCACCCTGGCCTTAATCCAGCCTTCAAGCAATCTGAAGCTGGTGGCAGAGGTGCCAAATGGTCACCTTCCCCTGATTTTCTGTCAGATGCCAGGCCCTGTCAAGAATGTGCGGTGAGTAGGGGTGAATGACAAATATCCTCCTTCCTCCAGAAGCCCACGAGGAAGCCAGGAATGGAGCTAAGGATAAGCATTTGAGAATTTAAATACCAGAACAGCATGCATGAGTCCCAGATCACAGAACATGGAAATGGAAGAAAGGGATTCGTTTTGTTTTTCTTTTTGTGATGCTGGCTGATTTCTTTTAGTAGCTCATGTTTAACTGGAAGGTGGAATTAATCACAGTCAATTTGGATCCCACCTTCGTCTGAGGCCACATCTTAGTTCCAGGAGGCTTAAGTGCACAGTGCCAATGAACAGGAGAGGCATCAGTCAGAATAGTCTATGCGGTGCTGCAGTAACACATAGCCCCAGCAGCTCACTGGCTTAAAACCTTTTTTCCCTTGCACACACTTCCATGTCTTTCATGTGGATTCAGGAATGATATGGTTTGGCTGTGTCCCCATCCAAATCTCATCTTGAATTGTAGCTCCCATAATTCCCACATGTTGTGGGAGGGACCCAGTGGGAGATAATTGAAACATGAGGGTGGTTTCCCCTATACTGTTCTTGTGGGAGTGAATGAGTCTCATGAGCTCTGATGGTTTTATAAGGGGAAACCCCTTTCGCTTGGTTCTCATTCTCTCTTCCCTGCTGCCATGTAAGATGTGCCTTTCACCTTCTGCCATGATTGTGAGGTCTCCCCAGCCACATGGTACTGTGAGTTAATTAAACCTCTTTTTCTTCAGAAATTACCCAGTCTCAGGTATATCTTTATCAACAGTGTGAAAATGGACTAATACAAGGAGGCTCCACTCATTATATGAAAAGCCCCAATGAAGAAAGCACAGGCTGATCCCTCTGAAAATTTTCTATGTTTAACGGAGGGAGAAAGCTTAAACTCTGAGAAGCATATTTTCAATAAAATGGGACCAGGATCCCCAAATTTTATACCCAACCTTGTTAGGCATCTCACAGTTCAGAAACTGGTAGTAGAGAAAAGTGGGTGTGGATTTGAGTTGGGTAACAACAGAAAATGTTATGATATGAACTAGTGTCATACATCAAATGTCTTAGTTTACATATACCTGGCCAGCCATACATCCTCATGAGGAAGGCACTCATCATTTTTCCACAGTGAGACCATGGATGCCCAGAGAGGTTTGGCCAGTGTTCTAGGCTGCACAGCTGGCCTGGGTTGCCCCAGGAATAGAACTGGGTGTCATCTGGCCTCAAAGCCCAGGCTGTTCCTGCTCGCTGTCTTCTCCATTCTGCTACCCCTCCCCTCATCCTCCTACCTGGGAACTTTTTCATCTTAAAAACCCCCACACACTCACTCACCCAGACTTTGTGGCTCCTGTAGCTTTTTTCAGAGAAAGCAGACAGTGGGGCCCACCCTATTCTTAGGCAGACCCTCTGGTCCCTGCCCATGGCCCAGCCTCACTGGACACAGGGGGAGATGCAGGGGAAGAAATGTCAGAGGAGCTTCTGGTGTTGCCTTTGGGATCTGATGGAATGCGGCAGCTATGAATGCAGAAGAGCCTCCCAGTCCCCACCACTTGCCTACTGATGGGCATTTGGACAGTTCTGCTATTTTGCTGCTACCATCAAGGCCACAGAGAATACTTTTATACCTGAGTTATTGTGCACATGTGGGGGCCTCTCTGTTGAAAAAATTCCTAGCACAGCACCTGGTTCTTAGTGAGTTCTTGATGAATATGGACAAATTTATCTAAATCCAGCTGTGATTAGCAGGGTCACACAGATAATTACTTATTTTAGATGTATCTATTGGATTCTCCTCATTCTTATCTGTCATCCTCCTCAACCACGTCATCACCATCACCGTCATCATCACCATCACCAACATCACCACCATCATAATCACCATTATCACCACCACCGTCATCATCCTCACTATCATGATCACCATCACCAACATCACCACCACCACCACCATTACCATCATCACCATCACTACCATCATCATCGCCACCACCACCACCATCATCACCATCACCATCACCATCATCACCACCATCACCACCATCATCACCATCATCACCATCACCACCATCATCATCACCATTGTCACCACCATTACCATCACCACCACCATCATCACCATTGTCACCACCATTACCATCACCACCACCATCATCACCATTGTCACCACCACCATTACCATCACCACCACTATCATCATCCTATCATGATAGTCATCACCAACATTACCACCATCAGCATCATCACCATCATCACCATCACTACCATCATCATCGCTACCACCACCACCATCATCACCATCACCATCACCATCATCACCACCATCACCATTGTCACCACCATTACCATCACCACCACCATCATCACCATTGTCACCACCACCATTACCATCATCACCACTATCATCATCCTATCATGATAGTCATCACCAACATCACCACCATCAGCATCATCACCACCGTCACCATCATCACCATCACCATGATCACCATCACCACCATGATCACCATCACCACCATCATTACCATCACCACCACCATCATCACCATCATCACCACCACTATCATCATCTTCACTATCATGATAATCATCACCGACATCACCACCACCATCATCATTACCAAAGCTATCATCACCACCACCACCATCATCACCAGCATCATTACCAAAACTATCATCACCACCACCATCATCACCAGCATCATCATTAGCACCATCATCACCACCATACTCATCATCCTATTATGATCGTCATCACCAACATCACTACTACTATCACCATCATCACCATCATCATCACCATCACCACCACCATCACCATCACCATCATCACCATCACCATCATCATCACCATTACCATCATCATCACCATCACCATCATCACCATCACCATCATCACCACCACCATCATTATCACCATCATCATCACTCATCACCATCATCACCCTCACCATCATCATCATCACCACCACCATCATTATTATAGCTATTACCATTATCACATTCACAATGGACATCTATTGGGCACTTTAATTTAGAGGATGCTAAGAACTTTGCATGCATCATCTTATTTAATCTTTCCAATAATCACTTGTTGAATGAATCAATTCATCAAACCACCAGACATCAATAGGGACCTTAAGAATTATTTATCTTAGGCCGGGTGTGGTGGCTCACACCTGTAATCCCAGCACTTTGGGAGGCTGAGGCAGGCGGATCACAAGGTCAGGAGATCGAGACTATCCTGGCTAACATGGTGAAACCCCGTCTCTATTAAAAATACAAAAAATTAGCTGGGCGTGGTGGTGGGCACCTGTAGTCCCAGCTACTCAGGAGGCTGAGGCAGGAGAATGGCATGAACCTGGGAGGCGGAGCTTGCAGTGAGCCGAGATCGTGCCACTGCACTCCAGCCTGGGTGACAGAGCGAGACTCCGTCTCAAAAAAAAAAAAAAAGTTCTTTATCTTAAATACTGTATCTGTGATAAAATTTTTCCTCCTCCTTCATCATCCTCCCACGAACATTTGTTGAGTTCATATTGTGAACCAAGAATGATAGGTAACTTATTTCGTTTTCTCAGTAATGATTTGCAGTAAGGACTGTTGTCATTCCCATTTTATAAATGAGGCAGCTGAATCTCAGAGAGGTAAACTCACTCATCCCCACATCACCCAGCTATGGAGGTTGGTAGAGCCTGGATTTGAACCAGGGAGTCTTGTTCAGAGACTGGGATCAAATAGGACCATGTCACTGCCTCCCAGACAGGCCACTAACATTCTGGCCTGGCCATTCAACCTTACAAATATTATCTTTCAGCGTGTCTGGAGACCCCGAATTAGGAAGATAGTGAGGAAAATTCATGGTCATGAAATCCTGGTATGAAAGAATGTTCTTTTCCATCTTTACCTTTAATCTCCACGGCTAGAGCTTGGGAAATGTGTATGGGCTGCGCACATGTTCTGATCTGACACTAAGCTGGCTTATTAAGCAGACGACTCAGGTTTTAGGTACAGACATTTTAGCATCTTGCCAGGAATCTCTGCATTTCATTTTCCCCTTTATTACAATTCCATATTTTAAATCAAGGTAGGACTTGAGAGGGCCTAAAATTGTCCTCGCTACACAGGATGGATGGTGTTTTAGAGAGAACAGAATAAATTCCTGGAAAAGATGGAGACAAAAAAATAAGCCACATGTGAGCAGCTCAGGGTGGTCTCTAGAATAATTCTCATGTTCACAGTGGTGAGACCTGCAGCTGTAGTCTGCGAGCATGTGGTCCTTTTCCATGCCTGTCTTCTTTGCCCTGATGCTCTGGAGGTCCCGTACTCAATCTCCAGAGAGGGTCAAGCCTAGAGACTCTGCAGGACTCGAACTCATTAGAGTCCCTCGTTAAGTGAAGGCTTAATGTCTGTACTTGTCAAGAACGGGTGCTGGCTGAGTCTCACACTCTGCTTTGCTCCACAGAGGGAGGCCTCTATGCTCTCAGGGGTTATTTGCAGTATTTCCAGAGCCTGTCACTGGGGCCAGGCTGCACGTCTGAAATCCTGGAGTGTGTTCACAACGGACTTCAGGGACCGGGTTCTCCAAGAACAGGGCCTCAGGGGCATCAGCTTCCTCCTGGTGAGGCAAACTTGCCGGCTCAGCTCTTTGCATCTGCCCAGGTACCTGCTCTGCACCGGAAACCAGTTTCCTCACAGGGCACCATGGCTGTAGCCATAGGTCCACTCTAGATCCTGTGCTGGGACTCTTGAGCCTTCCACTGGCCATCAAGTTGGGGAAGTTATTTATCAAGTTATTTGCTAATGATTTCCTGAGATGGGGTGACACCAGTTCATTGAACTGACAGGCACTCATTAATCATGCTGCTGTTAAAACAATAAAATTGAAAGTGCTTTCCTGTCAAGCAGATAGAAAAGTTGCCACATTTTTGAAAAACAGGACGGCAATCATAAAACACATGTACCCTGGAAGGCAATAAGCAAGATGACATTTTATCGTGTTACGCTGCTGGTATTTGGGTACCATTTCCCCTCTGTTCCCTAGACTTTTTGTAATGTCGTTGTTCCATTCAACATTTAAAGCAAGCACATTTTTCAGGCCAGGGAAGCTCCAGGAAGCTTCTTTTCTAGGTAATTAAATCAGATACTCAAGAGGTCGCCTGAAGCTGATTCTGCCACCAGAAGCCCCTGGAGATCTCCAGCTTTGAGGCCGCCAGGCCCTGGAGCCGGGAGCAACCTTCCTTTCTCCTCACTTTCCTCCTGCTGCCTGGAGGGGCCAGGCTGAGGCTTCCTCCAGGGCGAGCGCCCTTGGGTCAGCGGGACCCTTGGTCAGGGGTAGCACCCAGAGCTGCACGGCCTGGCAGTGCTCAGTTGGTGTCTTCGGCTCCCCCTCCTTATTCCAGGAATCTGAGACGTGCAATTTCCTCACTGGGAGCTGCTTTTCTTGAGCGTCCTCCTGGGGGAGAGGCTTCGTGGGCAGAGAAAGGAGCTGGTCCTTTGCCATCTCTCCACCTCGCTCCTGGCCTTCCTTGCCGGGGGAGCAGAGGGCAGAGGCTCAGGGCGGCAGCACCATACATAGACCCTGTGGACGATGCCCCACTTCCAAAGCAGCCAGGAGTGTGTTTTCAGATTTAGAAGCAGATTCATAGGGGCCTGCCTCAAAGTTCATAAGGGCGTGTGGAAGCGGGCGGGGCTGTATTTCCGTGTGTGCGCCAGAACAAGCTCCCCCAGCACCTGTGGTGGGAAATGCCACCTTCCTACGCCCTTGTTTGAGAGTCATGAGACACATCAGCCCATAAACAAGCTACACGGTGTTCTCTGGAGGAGAAAGTGGCCCCCTGTGGTTAGGCCCAGTCCATAAACACCTCCAGGCTACACGGTGTTCTCTGGAGGAGAAAATGGCCCCTTGTGGTTAGGCCCAGTCCGTAAACACCTCCAAGCTGCACAGTGTTCTCTGGAAGAGAAAGTGGCCCCCGTGGTTAGGCCAGAGTTCCCAGAGCTGTTTTTAAATGTGGATCCTTTTCTTGGGGGTGATCCAGATCAAGTTTGAAAAACTTTATTCTTAAAACCTTTATTCTTAAAACTAGAGCTTTCTTCCAACTCCCAGTCCTCAAACAGACTCTTACATGGCATTGCAAAGTATCAGGCAGATTTATTTGGTTTTAATTCAATCTCGAGCGGTAGAAACAACACAAAGCAGCTTTTGCAAAAACTAGAATTTACTGGCTCATATAACAAAAACATCCGAAGTGATGGCCTCAGGGATGGCTAGATCTAGAGGCTCAAGTGACAGTATTAAGATGTTGTTTTGTTCCGTCTCGCAGATCTGATTTCTCATTTGTGCCTTGGCTGCCCCCAGTGATACCAAGATAGCTGCCTGGATCTGAGTCTCACTAATACAGCTGTCCCTCAGTATCCTCAGGGGATTGGTTCCAGGAGCCCCCAAGGATGCCAGAATCCATGGATGTTCAAGTCCCTTACATAAATGGCATAATATCTGCATATAATGCACACACATCCTTCTGTATACTTTAAATCATCTCCAGATTATGTATATACCTGATACAATGTAAATGCTATGTCAATAGTTATTACACTGTACTTAAAAAATTTGTGCTTTTTATTGTTGTATTATTTTTTATTTTTCTTTTTTGAAAATTTTCTGTCTGTGGTTGGTTGAATCCACAGATGCAGACTCTTGTAGACACAGAAGGCCAACTGTATTTGCATCTTCCTAGAAAGCCCAGAATTCTTCTTTTTTGACAGTTTCAGTGAAATTCAGGACAGAGTCTCACTGGTCCACCCAGGCCTACGTGTCTGTCCCTGAGTCTATCTCTGGTAAGGACTGTGATGATGCAGTTAGCCAGGTGTGAGTCACACGACCATCTTAGATCCAGGAAAGTGATCAGTTGCGCTAAACACATAGAATGATGAGATGGGTGGGCTCACCAAGGAAAACGAGGCTCAGTCGTTGGGGCAGGGGGACTGCATGCAGATCCAGCCACACCAACAGATGCTCATCGTTTTTCAAGTTCCAGATAATCTCGTCTTCTCCTACCTCCTCCTCGTGTCTTTAGACCAACTGGTTCCCTCCTCCATCACTGCAGGGCCACATCTGGCCCAGGTCGTTCATTGTCATGCATACATTATCCCTTGTGTTGTGTGTGTGTGTGTGTGTGTTTCTTATCTATCTGATTAGATTCTAAGCTCTTTGGAGAGCCGTATCTTCTTTCACATTTGCTCTGTGCACACAGTGTATTAGCTCATAGTGTCTGTATCCATCAAGCGTTAAGTTCATTCTCAACCCAGAATGAGAAAAAAGGAGAATGATTGAAAGGCGACTTGAAACAAACCAACGTAATTTTCTGTTCTGATTTTTTTTTTTCTCACAGATTCTCATCTTTCAGTCTGTATCATTTCAATATCATCTGCTACAGAGAGGCAATTAGATAAGGAAACAGGAGTTTCCGATCACCCCCACCCCCCGATGGCCGTGACTTCCACGGGTAAGGTCACATCAAGGTCTGAATGTTCATGACCTTGGTCCAGTGCATTGTTCCCGTGTGGGAGTGGGGGTGGTGTATAAGGCTGGTTTTTCCCAGGCCCTGGACAATAAGGACTAGAAGGACTGAGAAACAACTCCAGCTCTGCTCTTCCCAGAAACAGATGTGGTCACACATGGAGCCCAATATCATGACCTTGTAGCCCTTTTCTGGGCAGTCAGCACAGTCCCTGGTACACAAAAGCTGCCCAGTAAATCACAGCCATGTGAGTATATGAATGCACAAATGATATGGTCTCTTGTGCACCAGGCAGGTGGTTCCTGTTACTTGGTTAGGAGGGGAAGGTAATCTATGGGGTCTGAGGTCTGTGCTGCCATTTTGAAACTGCAGCTGATAGGTCCATAGTTGAATCAGGAAGGGAATGAGATGGTGGGGGTAGGGCCAGGTGAGGTGTTCAAGCTCTAGAATGATTATTTCCCTTCCTTTTTGGAAAATTAAAAAAAGCTTTAGCTCAAATGTCTTTAGGAAGCTGCTGCCAGTTTCAGGCAAGCTGAGGAACCACTGAGTGGAATCATGAAAGGGACTCATTGAGAGTGCTTGAGACGAGAAAGGAAGTTGGGCATTTTCACAGCTTCAGGATGAGACAATATTTCAGCTGAATAGTGAAACTGGGAGAAATCCAGCCTTTTCCACGTTGGTGCAGGTTCCCTGAAGGCGAAGCATTTGTAGAAGGCAGTGTCTGAGCGCACAGTGAAACAAGCGTGGTTACGCAGACCACTGTTCTGGCCTTCCTTTCATTCTGGATGCTGTTAGAAGTTGAGGGACTAATTAGAAGAAGAATGTTCTCCTCAAACACAGCTCAATGGCATTTGTTCCCTTTTATCCCATCTGGAGCTTGGGGATGCTGGACCCACAGTCCTGAGTCCAGGGTCTGACCGTAATACAAGCCTTTTCCCACCCTCGTGCCCGAAGGCCAGGCAGCACCAGCCAGGCTCAGGAAGCTCACCAGGTTTCTGAACAGGATAGAGTGTCTACCAGAAGCCCCTCGTCGACTTAAAATTCTGCATGAAATGCTGGAAAGCACAATCTCTCTCTTTGCAGAAGCATCCTACTCTCCGGAGAGCCTGGTTTGAATCGCACCTTTGCAGAGGTACCATTCAGACTTGCAGTGCATTTTCCTTTTAAACAGTGCATCCTCAGATGAGAGGTTTCTCCTCTCCGTGCTCTGGGCATCTTACAGGTGCTGTCATCTGTTCGGAGGCACTTAGTGTCTCCTGGTCTGGGAGGTGTCGGGGAGGAATGTGGGCAGAGGGGCAGTGTGCCCCTGAGTGCTCCTGGGAGTCACTTGAGCTTTCTGGGCCTCAGCTTCCTCATCTGCAGGATGGAGTGGCCACAGCACCCACTTCGGAGGGCAGCAGGGGATAAAGGGAGATGATGTAGCACCTGGGGTCGAAGTGACGCGGGGCAGGCCCGCTGCTCAGTGAGTGGTCACCGGGGGGGTAAATTAAGGCAGCCCCGTGGAGACACCACGTCGTGTGCTAGTGAGGGCTGCGCCACGCACCTGTCCAGAGCCCAGGCATCCTGAAGCTATTCCCAGATCCAGGGAGATGAGATGTCCTTAGGGAACCCCAGGCTCTTGGCAGTTCTGATGCTCTGGAAATGAAATTGTAAGGAGCTGGCATTCTTGCCTGAGTTCCGGGAGTCACATCCCATCAACTCTTGCTGGTTAATTTCACTTCAGACTAAAACTGCCATCCATCCTCCCCCAGTTCCAGAAACCTGTTTAGGAGTCTCTGAGAAGCTCCCCTCACTGGAGCCACAAAATCCCATCTCCACATGCAGTTTTCTCCTGGCTTGTTTGATGCGGCTGAAGCGCTGGCCACAGCCTTGCAGGAAGCCTCCTGGAGTGGAGACAGTTGTTAAAGGGCCTGAATAAATCTGTTCTTGGACAACTATTAGATTATTTCTGGTGGATGGTAGTTACATCCAGAGAATTTGAAGTGGTGACGGTTATGTGTTTGCATACAAATCTATGATAAGGCAACTCGACCAATTCTGCCACATATACACGGACATTTATTAAACTCTTTATTAGGAGGCAAACACAGAATGGCCAATATCAAACTCTTCTGTAAGCCCAGAAAGATCCTGATCTTCTTTAAACCTGACCCAGCTTCCCCCTGCCAGAAGGGTTTACTAGAGGAAGGAAAAGGGAATTCCTGGGGCAGGGTCTTTACTCCTTGGGCAGCACCATGCTCAGACATCCTCTGATCCACAGGCTGAACAGAGGGCTGTGTGGGGACCGTGCGCACAGGCCACCAGGCCTGCTGGTTCCTCTACCTGCACATTCAGGGTTGGGGGCATGTCCCAACATATATGAGAAAGTCCCCTCATCGCTAACAGAAATGCTTTTCTAAGACCTGTAATGGTTTGTAATAAGTTAACAACTTCACCCATAGATACCCACTTCTAATATTCATTACGCAAATAACAACACATCTGGTGTTGATCACACTTAGTATTTGTAATGGCTGCTCTATAAACTCACCAACCCAGGTTGCAAACTCCTGGGGGCAACAGACTCACCTAGGATAGAGGTGAAACAACCCTCCTCTGCAGTCCTTTGTATCTGGGGGAGGCAGACGGCAGCTCACAGGTAGAAGATGGAGGGAGGACGTCTTGAGTGTGGTTAGGTGTGAAGGAGACAGGTCAGATGGGCTGGGGCTAAATGTGGGTTTGGATGCAGAGATTCTAGTCATGAACTGCCTCTTATTCTAGGCGGGGGATTTCGGAAAACCTGAGTCCAGCAGGTTCAATAAACACATCCAGAGCCAGTGAAACCTGCTGTACCCATGGATTTTAACTTCAGAGAATGGTAACTTGAGATTTAAGGAGAGTTCTTCATAGGATGGAAAGGCTGGGAGCAACATCACCCCAACGTCCCTGAGGAAAGACAGGTGTTTCCAAGGAAAGGCATGATGTGAGCATGTGCTTTCCTGGGGGCCTCGGGGTGCCAGATGCCCTAAAAGCCAGTGAGGAGAATTCATCTCAAATGCTGCTCAGATCGCTGAGAGCCTGAATGAGGATGCAGAACTCCAGGGGTCAGAGACACAAAGGGGTCACATGCTAGTGGGCTCTCTTCCCCGGACCCTTACCTGGTGCTCCCAAGAGAGATGGAGGCAGGGTGTGAGTGTGGGAGAGCCCCTTGGTGTGTATTTTAATAAACTCAGTTTACTGATGTATTGCGGTGAGGAAGAACACATACCTTGGGGAAGTGTGGACCTCTCAGTAAGACAGCATCAAAAGCACTTAGCGTAGGACTTGGACCTGTGTTAGGTGACTTGGGGGGAGGTTTAAGAAAGTGGAGTTTCTCTGAATTAGATGCTATTAGGAAGCGGGGAGTATTTCTGTGATTAAGCACTACTATGGTTTGAATGTTTGCCCCCTTCAAAACTCGTGATAGCGTTGAGAAGTGGGGCTGTTAAGAGGTGTTCAGCTCATGAACGGATTCATGCTGTTATGGTGGTTTACCTCCTCTCTCTGTCTGCCATGTTATGATACAGCAAGAAAGTCCTCACCAGATGCCAGGACCTTCATAATGGACTTCCTAGACTCCAGAACTCTGAGCCAATATACTTCTATTTATTATAAATTTCCCAGTTTGTGGTATTCCTTTTTTGTTGTTGTTGTTGAGACAGAGTCTCACTCTGTCACTCAGGCTGGAGTGCAGTGGCATAATCTCAGCTCAATGCAACCTCCACCTCCTGGGTTCAAGCGATTCTCCCACCTCAGCCTCCCTAGTAGCTGGGATTGCAGGCACCCACCATCATGCCTGGCCAATTTTTTTTTTTTTTTAGTAGAGACAGGGCTTTGCCATGTTGGCCAGGCTGGTCTTGAACTCCTGACCTCAGGTGATCCGCTCACCTCCTCCCAAAGTGCTGGGATTACAGGTGCGAGCCACTGTGCCTGGTCCCAGTCTGTGGTATTCTGTTATAGCAGCAGAAAATGGATGAAGACAGGCACCTTAACAATTCTTAGGTTGAAGCTAAGAAGAGCAGAGCAAGGCTGCTGCTGTGCTTGGTGCTGATGCTGCAGTCTCTCACACTGGCCAAGATAGAGGGAACGTTGATTGTTTTGTGGTTTGGAACATGCTCGTGTTTTGTCTGTAATCTGATATGATCACAGTTGTTCTTGTTTTTGTCTTGCTTCCTCATGTCACAGATGGTTCTGTGTGATCCAGGTGTTCCGTGAAGTGTGGGTTCACCAGGAGAACAGCTTCGCCTGACTGTAAGCAACAGGACGGCTCCCATCTGATGACATAACAACTTGGACAGATTGCAAGAGAATAGTGCAAAAGGCTGGTCTCAAAATGCTCCAGGCTGAATGCTTCCATTTGTGTAATATTCTTCAAGTGACACAATTACAGAGAGGAAGCTTTTAAAGAATAGCAGATCAGCTTCAACTCCCATAAGTAAAAGGACTTAAGTTCTGAGAAGGTGGGGGATCAGGGGCGGCCAGTTCCAGGCTCAGTGGAGGTAGCAGGTGTTTCTGCTCAGCCTCGGTGGATCTTCTGCATCGGCTTGGTCTTGTGACCCCATACCCCCACTTTGTGGCACCTCCTGTCCTGGCTCTGACCCATTGCCTAGCCCCCATCTGGGCTCTGATCCATCCCAGGTCTCTCCCAGCATGGACACGTGAAAGCGAGTGGTGCCCACTTGCAGCTCTGAGGTTCCCGGATAGAGAGGGAGGCTCTTTCCCAGCGCTCCCTGTGCAAGTCCTAGTCTGGTTCTGATTGGCCACAGCGGGTCACATGTTTGTCCCAGAACCAATCACTGGAAACGGGATGGAGTCGCTTGATTGGTCAGGCCTGCATCACATGACCCCCTTGTGGGGTCAGCACCCAACCACAGAAAGGGCGTGGTGGGGGTGGGGGGTCTCTGTGAAGAGAAGAGGTGCCTGCAGCAGAGCCTGCCCTGTCCCCTCCGTGGTTCCACATCCGTGCCTCTGAGGACCTTGGACCCCCAAAGCGAGGCCCGAAGGTGTGGAGAATGCCTGACAGGCTCCCTTGCCCTTCCTGTGGCCTGCGGAGGACCCCCAGGGACAGTGAGGAGGGCGCCTTGCCGGTACCGATGTTCTGCTTGTTGTGGGTCTTTTGTTCCTGATCCCATTTCTTTTCTGATTTTCAAGTTAAAGTTAATTTTTTTTCTTGCAACTCCCACCCAAACCAAAATATTTTATTTTTAATTGACAAATAATAATAGTATATACTTACGGGCTGACAGATACATGAAAAATGCTGATCATCCTGGCCCCTGCAGTCAGGGCAGAGCTGAGGTTGGCTTGGGGCCATGTCAGAGCGAGGGGGCGTCTCTGGGCTGTGCCCCCAACCAAAGCCTCCCACACCAACCCTGCATCAGGGCCAGAAGTGGCTGCACCCGGGGCCAGACAGTGGTCCACAGGAAAAGCCTCCCTTGGTGTGTCCCTGCCAGTGGATGAACCGATCACCAGCGCAAAGTCATGGGCCATAGGGCAGGACCCCAGCCTGTGTGTGTGGCCTAGACTGGGGCACAGTTGGGTTTTCTGGAGGTCTTGCCCTTTGACCTGCTGCTTTTGAAGAGTGATGCTTTCAGGAGGAGGTGAAGTCATGGGGATCTGCCCTCTGAATGGGATCTGTGGCCTTAGAAAAGAGGCCTGATCTGGTTAGGATCTGTGTCCCCTCCCAAATCTCACGTCGAATTATAATCCCCTGTGTTGGAGGTGGGGCCTGGTGGGAGGTGATGGGATCATGGGGTGGATTGTTCATGAGTGGTGTAGCAGCAGCTCTTTGCTGCTGCTCTCGTGACAGAGTTCTCATGAGATCTGGTTGTTTAAAAATGTGTGGCACCTCCCATCCCTTGGTGTTCCATTCATGTGATATGCCAGCTTCCCCTTCACCTTCCGCCATGATTGTGAGTTTCCTGAGGCCTCCCCAGAAGCCAAGCGGAAGCCACCATGCTTCCTGTACAGTCTGTGGAACCGTGAGCCAATTCAACCTCTTTTCTTTATAAATTACCCAATCTCAGGTATTTCTTTACAGCAGCATGAGAACGGCCTAATACAAAGCCTACTGAAGCTGCCTGTCCCTTCTCCCTGGGAAGATGCAGTGAGGAGGTGCGCCCGAGGACCCTCACCAGATATTGAATCCTCTGGCCCCTTGACCTTGGCCTTCCCGGCCTCCAGAACTGTGAGCAACACGTCTCTGTTGTTTCCAATGACCCAGTCTAAGGTATTTCACTATAGCAGCCCAAATGGACTCAAGACGCCTCCTCCACGTGTGTATTTCATAAATGTTATAAACCAGCGCTGCCTCGCCCACCTCCCCTGCTCCTTTCCCAGCTACTAATAGGGAAGCTCGTCGGTCTCTGCTCCACAATGGGTGGTGCTGACTGAGGCTGTGGGCCCTGGTGGTTGATGAGGAGTGAAGCAGGGGGAGGCGCTTAGAGACTGGGTTTACTCCCTCTTCCCTGAAGTTCTACTCAGACACACGAGGGGCCACGTCTGGCTCATTGGCATCTCCTGGGCTAAGTAGTTTGCAGGGGGACAGAGGATGAGAGGCCATCATTGTGGTTGTCATCATTGCTGCTGTTTGGGATGTCGGGAGGTTGGGGTGGTGCCAGCCCCGTGCACATGACTCCAACCGTCCTGGCCACATTGACTGGGCTCCCTTCCACTCCCCATCTCCTGCTGGGAGCCCTGTGTTCTGAGGGTCCACAGGTAGCAATGGGCTGTGTGGGAGGGGATCCTGAGCAGCACTGAGGTTACCAGCTGGGCGGGGTCCTGGCTGCAGCCGTCTCTCAGCCCAGGTTCCCTCTTACACATCAGTCAGGGCCTGGCCACACCCTCAGGGGCTGAGCCAGTCTTTGGGGGAGCCACAAACAAGGACAGCTTCCTCGGCCAGAGGAGTTTCTGATTAGCTGGATGTGGTCATGACCCAAACGGGTGGAGTGCGCACGTCTAGGGTGAGGCGCGTACCTGCTCTGGGATGGGATCTCCCTGCGAGGCAGTGACTGTTGCAAAGGGAAAGGATTGTGGAATTTGAGCTTCCATCAGTGGCGTCTACAAAGAGCTCTGAGCAAGGCCGATTTCTCTTTTTTAAATTTTTAAATTATTATTTTTTTAGAGTCAGGGTCTTGCTGTGTCACCCAGGCTGGAGTGCAGTGGTGCCATCACAGCTCACTGGCTCACCTTGCCTTCCTGGGCTCAGGTGGTCCTCCCACCTCAGCCTCCCAAGTAGTTGGGACCACAGGCGCCTGCCACCTCACCTGGCTAATTTTTGTATTTTTTATAGAGATGGAGCCCTGCCATGTTGCCCAGGCTGTCTCGAACTCCTGGCCTCAAGTGATCCTCCTGCTTCACCATCTTAAAGTGCTGGGATTACAGGCGTGAGTGATTTTTCTTTCAGTGAATCGCTGTCAGCTGTGGGAGGACACACCTTTGGGGCTGTGTGGTCGAGCTCCTCGGGTCCACGGGCCGCAGCGCCTCCCTGGGGGCTGCGTGAGGATCACCTGCCATTGCTTTACCAACCCTGCCCTTTAAAGAGTGTTAGAGGCTTCAGTGAGAGGTCCTCGCACTCCCTGGAGGTCTGGGAGAACCATTCATCTTGTCGACCAAAATGCAGAAATGAAATGTCTTCAGAACAGACTCCAGTCCTCTCAGTCATCAAACTCCTGGCTGGAGCATGGCCAGTTGGGAGGGGCTTTAAAGGACGTTTAGTGACAGACGGTGGGAAGGGTAAGTTGTATTCAAGCCTGCTGTTCCTTGTTCTCCCTCTCTCTACTGACTTAAACCCTCTAGAACCGCAGAGCCTGGGCAGAACAGGCCCCTGTCTCAGATGTTGCCCTTGACATCTGGCTTTTACTTCTGACCGTGGTCAGTGACAGCTGGGGTTCCGAGGTGGCGCTGCCTGGCTCCTTCACCACCCACATGGCATGGGGTATGGTGCCAAGAACCCAGCACCCCTGTGTCTCCCAGACTTTCTGCAGCCCCTGTTGTCATTCCTGTGGAGACATTACCTCCAGGGTCTCACCCCCAGAACCCCCTGGTCACACTGTGTTAATATCCATCAACCCTGGGACAACAGTTTTGGGGCTTGTGTGCAGAGGGCATCACCAGGGAGATTTAAAATGTGAAGGCAGGCCGGGCGTGGTGGCTCACGCCTGTAATCCCAGCACTTTGGGAGCTTGAGGCAGGTGGATTGCTTGAACTAGGGAGTTTGAGATCAGCCTGGCAACATGACGAGACCCCATCTCTACAAAAAATACAAAAATTAGCCAGGTGTCATGATGCGCGCCTGTGGCCCCATCTACTCGGGAGGCTGAGGTGGGAGGATGGCTTGAGCCCAGGAGGTGGAGGCTGCAGTGAGCCAAGATTGCACCACTGCACTCCAGACTGGACGACAGAGTGAGACCCTGTCTCAAAAAGAAAAATCTAGAGGCGGCTCCCACCCCGGAGACTCGGTCTGTCTTGCTCACCAGAAGCCTGAGACTTGGCATGGGGCAGGGGTGGCCTTCATGTGTCCCTTGATTTTCACTTCCCAGCCCTACAGGGGCCCAGGGGCTGCATCCATCAGAAGGAGGGACGCCTTCTCCAGTCACTCAAAAGCTCTGAGGCCGAGCTGCCACCCTGCCAGGCAGCAGCTACAGGAGCTCTGCTGGTCAGCAAGGTCCTGGCCAGTGCGGCAGGGGAGCTGGTGGAGGGGCAGGTCCAGCCAGAGCCCAGCTGCACCGTGTCAGGGATTCACAACTCAGCGGGGCTTGAGGAGCCACATCCCCCAGGTGTATGGAGGAGAAGAGATGCTCTAGCCCCTGGTCAGCGGCCGGCAGGCCCACAGGGCCAGGGAGGCAATGGCGGTATGTGCTGGGGGCACGCAAACCCGCAGCCCACCTGACCTAGGACAGCGGCCGCCGCTGCTGGGTTCGTTCCGCCCCTTACAGGCTCGGTGCTGTCAGGTTTCTGAATTTTCAAGCAAAGCCAGAAATCCAGGTTTTCACCTGAAATCTGATTCTTAAAAGTTGGTGCAATTTCAAAGACATTTTACAACAGACTGTTCAGACCCTAAAAATACTTCTGACACTACAAGATGTCCGTGGCCACCACTGTGCAATCTCTGCTAGAGAGTGCAGTTTCTGGATTGAAGGCATTTTCTTTCTTTAGGTGGAAACAGTTGCTTTATTTCTTGACAGAAAGAACTGACAACTCTCCTTCCAAGACAGGTTATTCCTACTTCAAAGATGGAGAGTTGTGTTTCACTCAACCCTATTGTTGGGGAGTTTTAATTGCTAGCCTTTCTTGTGTTTGTGTGTTTGAGGGACCACAGGTGGCCCCGGAATGTTTTATGCAGTGACAACCATTTGTTGGGGAAGGCCAGCAAATCCAGAAAATCTAAGGGTGTCCTTCCACAGCCAGAGTCCAGCTGGGACAGATCAATCCCACCCCATGCTCTAGTGAGAGGGGTGCTGGCTGCTTAGGAATCACATCCTTGTTTATTTACCAAAAAAAAGTCAATTCTCTAGTAAGCCATTCAGAGAAGAAAATGTACTAACTGTCCAAACCCAGACTCTACCTGTAGGGACATCTGGATGTGGTTTCTTTTGTTGAGGACGGCAGGTTACCATCGACAAGTGTGTGCCCTCTCGAAGGTCTACCTTAGAAGGTAAAGTGATTCTGAAGTTCTGCTTCTGGAGAATAAATGACTGCCACATCTTCCTTCGAGGTAGGATGAAGCTGAGAAGGTAGCATGTAATTTGAAGTTGTGTTGTCAGGCGGTGGATGTTTAGGATCGTCATGTCTTCCTGGCACATGGACCTGTTCGTCAGCGTAGAATCTCCTTGTTCTGAAGTCCACTTGGCCTGAAATCAATGTTGCACTCCAGCTTTCTTTCAGGTAGTGTTAGCATAGTATCCCTTCTCCTTGCTTTACTCCTGACAGGTGTACGTTTTCATGTTTAAAATGGGTTTCTTATAAACAGCCTGTATTTGATGCTTGCCTATTTCTGTCCAGTCTGGCGTTCTCTGCATGTTAACTGGTGGCTTTGACCACCCACATTTAAAAGGATTATTGATGGAATGAGAGTAATAATTACCATCTTGTCAGTTGTCTTGTATTTTTCCATTTGTTCTGTTTTTTTCCCTTTCTTTCTGCCTTGCCTGAGTTTAATGGTGCATTTGTTATTATTCCATTTCATCTTCTCAGTTGATATTATGTAGAACCTGTTTTAAAACATTTGGTTGTGAACTGTGGTTTGTAATATTCATTTTTTAAATCATCCGAGTCCACCTCCAAGTAATATACTATTGCTTCACTGGAAGCATGCGGACCTTGTAGTGGGATGTCCCCACCCCCCTCTGCCATCATGCGGACCTTGTAGCGGGATGTCCCCAGCCCCCTCTGCCATCATGCGGACCTTGTAGCGGGATGTCCCCACACCCCTCTGCCATCATGCAGACCTTGTAGCGGGATGTCCCCACCCCCTCTGCCATCCCTGTGCCACTATCACTCCCACGCATTTCTATTTTCCGTGTTATGCCCTCAGTACATTGGTACTATTTGTCTTAGTTTCTTTGGGCTGCTCTAACAAAATACCATCAGCTTGGTGGCTTCTAAACACGAACACTTATGTCTCGCAGTTTTGGAGGCTGGGAAGTCTCAGATCAAGGCACGGGCAGATTTGGCATCTTGTAAGAGCCTACCTCCTGGCTCACTGATGGCAACTTCTCACTGTGTCCTCAATGGTGGAAGGGGAAGGCAGCTCTCTGTGGTACCTTTTATGAGGGCCCTAATCCCACTCATGAAGACTCCTCCACCCTCATGACCTCATCACCTGCCAAAGACCCCACCTCCTAATGACACCACTTCAGGGGTTAGGATTTCAAAAGATGAGTTGTACAGGGGACACCAACCTTCCAACCATAGCACTACTATTGCTTAGTCATTGATCTTTCAGAGCAATTAAAAATAGAAAAAATAGATATGTTATCTTCGTTTATTCCATTTTTATGATATTGACGCCTTTTCCGCTCCGTGTTTCTGACCTGTGTCATACTCCCTTTGCTTCTTTCACCATTTCTCATAGGGCAGGTCTGCTGAGTGCATGCCCTCAGTTTTGTTTATCTGGGAGAGTCTTTCTTTCTCCTTCACTTTTGAAGGATACTTTCAATAGCTGTAGAATTCTGAGAGCTTTTTATTCTTTTAGCACTTTAAAGATGTTACTTACTTATATTTTTGCTTGCATCAATTCTTTTTTTTCTTCAACTTTTAAGTTTGGGGGTACATGTGCAGGATGTGCAGTTTTGTTACATCGGTAAACGTGTGCCGTGGTGGTTTACTGCACAGATCATCCCATCATCTGGATATTAAGCCCAGCATGCATTAGGTATTCTTCCTGATGCTCTCCCTCCCCCTTCACCCCTTCTCCGACAGGGCCCAGTGTGTGTTGTTCCCCCCAGCTGTCCATGTGTTCTCATCATTCAGCTCCCACTTATAAGTGAGAACATGCAGCAGTTGGTTTTCTGCTCCTGCATGAGTTTGCTGAGGATAACGGCTTCCAACTCCATCCATGTCCTGCAAAGGATATGATCTTGTTCCTTTTTATGGCTGCGTAGTATTCCAAGGTGTATATGTACCACATTTTCTTTACCCAGTCTATCATTGATGGACATTTGGGTTGATTCCATGTCTTTGCTATTGTGAATAGTGCTGTGGTGAACATACATGTGCATGTATCTTTATAATAGAATGATTTATATTCCTCTGGGTATATACTCAGTAATGGGATTGCTGGGTCAAATGGTATTTCTGCCTCGAAGTCTTTGAGGGATCACCACACTGTCTTCCACAATGACTGAACTTATTTTCACTCCCACCCACAGTGTGAAAGCATTCCTTTTTCTCTGCAACCTTGCCAGCATCTGTTGTCTATTGACTTTTTAATAATAGTCATTCTGATGGGTGTGAGGTGGTATCTCATTGTGGTTTTGATTTGCATTTCTCTAGTGATCAGTGACGTTGAGTTTTAAAGACCTAAATGTAAAACCCAAAACTATAAAATCCCGAGAAGAAAATCTAGGCAGTACCATCCAGGACATAGGCACGGGCAAAGGTATCATGACAAAAATGCCAAAAGCAATTGTAACAAAAGCAAAAATTGACAAATGGGATCTAATTAAACTAAAGGGCTTCTGCACAGCAAAATAAACTATCATCAGAGTGAACAGGCAACCTACAGAGTGGGAAAAAATTTTTGCAATCTACCCATCTGACAAAGGTCTAATATTCGGAGTCTACGAGAAAAAACCAACCCCATTAAAAAGCGGGCAAAGGACATGAACAGACAGACACTTCACAAGAAGACATACATGTGGCCAACAAACATATGAAAAAAAGCTTGCATAATTTCTGTGAGAAGTACTGTATAACTTTTATCCTTGTTTTTCCGTAGGAAATATACATGTGGCCAAACAAACATATGAAAAAAAGCTCACATAATTTCTATGAGAAGTATTCCATAACTTTTATCCTTGTTTCTCTATGGGTAATGCTTCCCGTTCACCCCTTTCTGGTCGTGTTCAGGATTTTCTTCCTGTCTGGTTTCGGCAGTTTGAATGTGATATGCCTCGGTGTTGTTTTTGGTGTGGTCATTGTTCATCCTTCTTGGTGTTCTTTAGTTTCTTAGATTTGTGATTTGTTGTCACTAATTTTGGTAAATTCGCAGTGATCGTTCTTTCAAATATTCCATTCTCTCTTCTCCATCTACAATTCCAAGTGCAGCCATTTTAGAGTTGCTGATTTTGTTTCACTCTTTGTGGAATTTTTCCTTCTGCTGGGCCCCTAGGGTGAGGGCCTGTGCTGACCTACCTAGTCAGGAGCCCCGTTGGGTTTGAAGTTTGCTGTTGCTATGGTTACCTTGCTCCACTGGAGACTTCCCACTCCTCTAGAGACAGGAGACACCTTGCATTTTCTCCCTCTTTGCCTTGGCTCCCCCCTTCCACGCTGCTCTTCAGAGCAGTTGCCGTCTACAGATCATCTTATTCATGGCTTCTTATCCTGGTGGTGGGATGTAGGGGCACATTCTCTGATGCTCTGGTCAGGCCTTACTTGGGGGTGGGGAGCTGTAAAATCGGATCTGGGATCTGGCATCCCAAGTGTCCCTTCCCCTCTCCCAGGGCAGAGCTGTTTTTGTTTCCTTGTTCCCCTCCCTATCTGCAGTGGGATCCCCAGGGCCCCCAGCACTGGCACCGTGGTCCCGTCCCCCCTGGGTGGTGTCTCGACAGTGGCCCAGCCCTCCCCGCTGCCTTGTTGCAGGGAAGAAGTCCTCACCCATCACCTCCCAGAGGCCAGGTCAACCACAGCCGAGCCCACACCACCTCCCAGAGACCAGATCAAATTGTTCACTGCTGGTGTATATAAATGCTACTGATTTTTATACATTGATTTTGTATCATGCAGGTTTCCTGAATTTGTTTATCAGTTCAAATAGGTTTTTGGTGGAGTCTTTAGGTTTTTCTAAATATAAAATCATGTCATCTGCAAACAAGAATAATCTGACTTCTTCCATTACAATTCGAATGTTCTTTATTTCTTTCTCTTGCCTAGTTGCTCTGGTCAGGACTTCTCGTATTATGTTTTTTTTCTGAGACGGAGTCTTGCTCTGTCGCCCAGGCTGGAGTGCAGTGGCACGATCTCGGCTCACTGCAAGCTCCGCCTCCCGGGTTCACGCCATTCTCCTGCCTCAGCCTCCCAAGTAGCTGGGACTACAGGCGCCTGCCACCATGCCTGGCTAATTTTTTGTATTTTTAGTAGAGATGGGGTTTCACTGTGTTAGCCAAGATGGTCTTGATCTCCTGACCTCGTGATCCACCGCCTTGGCCTCCCAAAGTGCTGGGATTACAGATGTGAGCCACCGCACCTGACCCTGTTTTGTTTTGTTTTGAGACAGAGTCTCACTCTGTTGCCTAGACTGGAGTGCAGTGGCGTGATCTTGGCTCACTGCAGCATCGACCTCCTGGCTCAACCAATCCTCCCAAGTGGCTGGGACTACAGATGTGTGCCACCACGCCAGGCTAATTTTTGCATTTTTAGTAGAGATAGGGTTTCACCATGTTGGTCAGGCTGGTTTCAAACTCCTGACCGCAAGTGATCTGCCTGCCTTGGCCTCCCAAAGTGTGAGATTACAGACGTGAGCCACCATGCCTATCCTCTAATACTATGCTGAATAAAAGTGGTGAAAGTGGGCATCCTTTTCTTGTTTGATCTTCCAGAAAAGGCTTTCAGTTTCTCCCCATTCAGTGTTTGGTTGGCTGTGGGTTTGTCATTTATGGCCTTTTTTATTTTGAGGTATGTTCCTTCTATTCCCAGTTACAGGTTCTTAACATGAAGGGATGTTGAATTTTATCAAATGCTTTTTCAGCATCTATTGAAATGATCATATGGTTTTTTTCTTGGTTCTGTTAATGTGATGTACCACATTTATTGATTTCCACGTGCTGAGCCATCCTTGCATCTTTGGGATGAATGCCGCTTGATCACGGTAAATGATCTTTTTAATATGTTGTTGAATTTCATTTGCCAGTAGTTTGTTGAGTATTTTTGCATATTTGTTCATCAGTGATATTGGCTTGTAGTTGTTGTTGTTGTATCCTTGTCTGGCTTTGGTATCAAGGTAATGCTGGCTTCATAGATGAGTCTGGAAATATTCCCTTCCCTTTGATTTTTTTTTTTTTGAAGCATTTGAGTAGAATTGGTATTAGTTCTTTTTTAAATGTTTGGTAGAATTCAGCAGTGAAGCCATCAGGTCCTGGGCTTTTCTTTGCTGGGAGACTGTTACAGCTTTGATCTCATTATTGGTTTGCTTAGGTTTCCTGTTTCTTCATGGTTCAATCTTGGTATATTGCATGTGTTCAGGAATTTATCCATTTCTTCTAGGTTTTCCAGTTTGTTGGTGTATTGTTGTTCATAATAGTTTCTAATTATTTGTAGTTCCGTGGTCTCCGTTGTTACGTCTTCTTTTTAATTTCTAATTTTATTTATTTGGCTCTTCTCTCTTTTTTCTTTGTCTTGCTAAAGGTTTGTTAATTTCATTTATCTTTTCAAGACCCAACTTTTCATTTTATTGATCTTATGTATTGTTTTTTAGTCTCATTTTCCCTTATTTCTGCTCTGTACTTTATTATTTCTGTCCTTCTATTAATTTTGCATTTTTTTCTTGCCTTTCTAGTTCCTTGAGGTGCATTGTTGGGTTATTTATTTGAAGTCTTTCTACTTTTGTGTTGTAGGTGTTTCTTTTTATAAACCTCCCTCTTAGTACTGCATTTGCTGTATCCCATAGCTTTTGGTATGTTGCATTTCCATTTTTATTTGTTTCAACACATTTTTAAATTTCTTTATTAACTTCTTAATTTCTTCATTGTACATTCATCATTCAGGAGCATGCTGGTTAATTTCCATGTGTTTGTGCAGTTTCTGAGTTTCCTCTTTTATTGATTTCTAGTTTTATTCCATTGTGGTTAGAAAATACTTGATGTGATTTCTACCTTTTTGAATTTGTTGAGGCTTAAGATATGGTATATTCTGGAGACTGTTCCATATGCTGATGAAAATAATGTGTATTCTGCAGCAGTTGGGTGAAATGTCCTATAAGTGTCAGTTAAACCTATTTGGTTTAGTGTATAGTTTAACTCCAGTGTTTCTTTGTTGATTTTGTTTGCATGATCTGTCCATCACCGAGAGTGGGGTGTTGAAGTCCCCTACTATTACTGTATTGTAGTCTATCTCTCTCTTTAGATCTATTAATGTTTATATATTCTGGTGTTAGGTGAATAGATATTTATAATTGTTATATCTTCTTGCTGAATTGACTCACTTTTATCTTTATATAGTGACTTTCCTTGTCTTCTTTTATACTCTTTTGACTTGTAGTCTATTTTATGTGATATAAGTACAGCTACCTCTGCTCTTTTTGGTTTCAGTTTGCATGAAATATCTTTTTCTGTCTTTTACTTTTAGTTTCTGAGTGTCTTTCTAGGTGAGGTGGGTTTCTTATAGGCAGCATATAGTTGGATCTTGTTTCTTTATCCATTCAGCCACTCTGTATTTTAACTGGAGAGCTGAGTCCATTTACATTAAGTATTATTCTTGATAAGTGAAGACTTACTATTGCCATTTTGTTCCTTGTTTTCTGTTTGTTTTGTAACTCCTCTTTTTATTTTTTCTTTTCTTACTGACTTTCTTTGTGGTTATTTCCTCTGGTAGTTAGTATGTTTTAATTCGTTGCTTTTTATTTTTAATATATTTGTTATAGGTTTTTGCATTCTGGTTAGTATGAAGCTTAGAAAAAACATCTTATAGATATAACTAGTTAATTGAAAAAGATAGTCACTTATTTTAGATAAAAAAGTAAAGTTCTTTTAGTGTGAAACCAACACTGAAAAAACTATTCAAGAAACTCCACTTTAACTCCAGCCCCCCAGATTTTGACACTTGTCTCAGTTTACATGTTTTATATTGCTTCTCTCTCAATGGGTTGCTCTAGCTACTTTTGTTTTTGATAGATTTGTCTTTCAGGCTTCATACTAGAGTTTTGAGTGGATTGCATATCACAGTTACAGTATTGGAGTAGTCTGGGGTTGTCATTGTACTGAATTTTACCATTAGGTTTTGTTTCTTCAAGTATTTTCTTTTTGCATGTTAGTGTTTTTTTTTAAAGTCTTATTTAATTTTTTATAATTTCAACTTTTATTTTAGATTTAGGGGGTACATGTGCAAGTTTGTTACATGGGTATCTTGTGTGATGCTGAGGTTTGGGGTACAATTGATCACATCACCCAGGTACTGAGCATAGTACCCAAGCGTTTTTCAACCCTTGCCCCTTCCCTCTCTCTCCCTGTAGTAATCCCCAGGATCTATTGGGTCCATCTTTATGTCCATGAGTACCCAGTGTTTAGCTCCCACTTATAAGTGAGAACTTGCAGGATTTGATTTTTTTGTTCCTGCATTAATTTGCTTAAGATAGTGGCCTCCAGCTGCATCTATGTTGCTGCAAGGGACATGATTTCATTCTTTTTTGTATGTGTGGCATTTTTTTTCCTTTCAGATGTAAGAACTCCCCTTAGTATTTCTTGTAAAACAGGTCTGGTGGTGGTGAATTCTCCTAGCTTTTGCTTGCCTGGGAAAGACTTTATCTCCCCCTCATATTTGAAGAATAGCTTTGCTAGATACAGTATTCTTGGATGGCAGCTTTTTTCTTTTAGCACTTTGAAAATTTTGTCCCACTTCCTCCTGCTCTGTATGGTTTCCATTGAGAAGTCTGTTGCCAGACAAATTGGAATTCCTTTATATGTTATTTGCTTTTCTCTCTTGCTGCTTTTAGGATCCTCTGTTTGTCCTTGACCTTTGAGAGTTTATTCTATGCTGTGGGCGAAGGATTACCCAGCTGCCAAGGCAAGAGACTAAAGACACAAACTGTTGCAGTATAATACAGAAAATAGTTAGAATAAGAATAGTTATAATACAAATTAGATATAGAGATGATCATGGACAATTATCAATCATTATTATAAAGATTATTAATCATTAGCTTTTAATATTACTCTTTGTTGCATTACTAATATAACCTAGGAATAACCTGCGGGTATAGGGTCAGGTGCTGAAGGGACATTGTGAGAAGTGACCTAGAAGGCAAGAGGTGAGCCCTCTGTCACGCCCACATAAGGGCCGCTTGAGGGCTCCTTGGTCAAGCGATAATGCCAGTACCTGGGAAGGCACCCGTTACTTAGCAGACTGCGGAAGGGAGTCTCCTTTCCTTGGAGGAGTCAGGGAACACTCTGCTCCACCAGCTTCTTGTGGGAGGCTGGATATTATCCAGGCCTGCCCGCAGTCATCCGGAGGCCTAACCCCCTCCCTGTGGTGCTTCAATGGTCACACTCCTTGTCCACTTTCATGTTCCTCCCGTACTCCTGGTTCCTCTTTGAAGTTCTTAGTAGATAGCAGAAGAAGAAATAGTGAAAATCTTAAAGTCTTTGATCTTTCTTATAAGTACAGAAGAAAATGCTGACGTTTGCTGCCTTCCCTCTCTGCTTCAGCTACCTAAAAGGGAAGGGCCCCCTGTCCTATGATCATGTGACTTGCTTGACCTTATCAATGACTTGGACGTCTCACCCTCCTTACCCTGCCCCCTTGTCTTGTATGCAATAAGTATCAGTGTGCGCAGCCATTCGGGGCCACTAGTGGTCTCTGCGTCTTAGTGGTAGTGGTCCCCTGGGCCCAGCTGTTTTTATCTCTTTGTCCTGTGTCTTTCTTTCTTACAATCTCTCGTCTCTGCACGTGGGGAGAGCAGCTGCAAAGCCCGGTAGAGTTGGACCCTGCATATGCCTTGGGGTAGTTTTATTTGGGTCAAATCTGTTTGGTGTTCTCTGATCTTCCTGAATCTGGATATGTGTTAGTCCATTCTCACACTGCTATAAAGAATTGCATGAGACTGGGTAATTTATAAAGGTAGGGGTTTAATTGACTCACAGTTCCACATAGCTGGGGAGGGCTCAGGAAACTTACAATCATGGCGGAAGGCAAAAGGGAAGCAAGACATCTTCTTCACAAGGCAGCCCGAGGGAGAACAAACAGCAGAAACTACCACACACTTATAAAACCATCAGATCTCACGAGAACCCACTCACTATAATGAGAATAGCATGGGGGAAACCGCCCCCTTGGTCCAATGACCTCCACCTCTCTCTCCACTGATACCTGGGGATTGTGGGGATTATAATTCAAGATGAGATTTGGGTGGGGACACAAAGCCTCGCCATATCAGGATATTTATATCTTTCTCAAGTTTTGAAAAGTTTTTTGTAGTATTTTTTGAATAATCTTTCCACTCCTTGCTTTTGCTCAACTTCCTCTTGAACACCAATAGTTCTTAGACTTGAGCCAGGTGTGGTGGCTCATATCTGTAATTCTGGTACTTTGGGAGGCTGAGGTGGGAGTGAGAGGATGGCTTGAGCCAGGAGTTCGGGATCAGCCCGGGCAACATAGTGTGACCCGGTCTCTACAAAAATCTAAATAAATTAGCTGGGCATGGTGGTCGTATGCCTGTAGTTCCAGCTACTTAGCAGGCTGAGGTGGGAGGATCCTTTCAGCCTGGATGGTCAAGGATGCAGTAAGCTGTGATTGCACCACTGCACTCCAGCCTGAGCAATGAAGGTGAGACCTGTCTCTCAAAAAAAAAAAATTCTTAGATTTGATCTTTTGAGGTAATTTTCTGTATCTTGTAGGTGATCTTCATTTCTTTTCATCCTTTTTTTTCTCCTCTATAATTTCAAGTAGCCTGTCTTCAAGCTCACCGATGATTTTCTCTGCTTGATCCATTCTGCCGTTGAAAGACTTTAATAAATTTTTCAGTTCAGTAAATGTATTTCTCACTTCTAAGATTTCGGTTTGATTGTTAAAATTATTTCAATGTTTTAGTTCAGTTTCTCTGACAAATGTCTTTAGTGTTATGCTGGAGATCCCTGAGTTTCCTTAAAACTGTAATTTTGAATTCTTGGTAAGAGCTCGTATCACTGTCTCATATGGAGCCAGTCACTGGTTTCTTGCTTTGTCCACTTGGGGAGACCATGGTTCCCTGTTTGCTGCTGTTTCTTGTGAATGTATATTTATGTCTTTGCACTGAAGGTTATTTATTCCAGTATTCTCTATCTGGCTTGGCCTATTTTTTTATTGGGTATGTTTGCAATTTACCTGTTGAATTTCTTCAGTTTTTTCCTGCTAGGTTGCTGCCCCTTTTTAGTGGTAGATGATCCCTTAACCTCAGGTTGGCCTTGGCTCTAGCAAACTATCGGAGTGCTCCCTGTCTGAATGGGGGAGGGCCCAAAAGGGATATCCCGGTAGCGTGGGGAAGGCTGGCTCGGGGTTGTGCCCAGGGGTCCTGTGGAACATACCTCCTACGGCATCGTGCGGCTGAATAGTCACTGTGGCTTGGTGTCTCCTTTGGCTGAGTTACAGAGCAGAGTTTCCGGGGCTGGGATGGTAGTCCCACCTCCCCACTTTGTCTCTGGCTGTCCTCAGGAATATTTCTCCCTTCAGGCACTCTCTCAATGCTTCCGTGGGTTGAGACAGAGACAAGTTTCCTGCCAGGGACTCCAAGATGGTGGGAAAGGTAATTGCCCACCTCAAGTTCACTTTTTCCGGTGTAGAAACTGAGATAGGAAAATTTTCATGTGCTTGGTGCTGGGCCATGGAAGGCAGGGGCATCATGGATATGAAAATTTGATTCTCTTACCATCTGCTCAGAGTTTCGTCACTTCTCTGTGGCCCTGGGAAGTGGCCCATCCTCATATTTGAGTTCTAGGATATTGCTGGGGATCATCTTGGCCCTGTATGTTTGTTTTCAGTTTTCTGTGGCAGTGGGTGGGGATGGGGGAGAGTGAAGCCAGCTTGCTTCTATGTCACCATTTTTTAAAAAATTGAGACAGAGTCTCACTCTGTCACCCAGCCTGGAGTGCAGTGGCATGATCTCATTGCAGCCTCCGCCTCCTGGGTTCAAGCAATTCTCCTGCTTCAGCCTCCCAAGTAACTGGAATTACAGGTATGAACCATTGGACCTGGCCCTATGTCACCATTTTGGAACCAGAAGTCTGTCCCCAGCTCTCGTCTCCAGTAAAATCTCTCACTCTCTTTTCTAAACCCTGGCACCCTTGAGACCGCTACTTTCACTGTCCCCAGAGAGACACACCTGTGTGTCCACCCTGCACCTGTGTTCCACCCCTCTGTCTCTGACCTGCTGCTCCCTCCCTCTCTGCCGTCAATGCCCACCTGCTTCTTAGGTCCAGTTCAGACCGTGTTTGTACAAGGTCACTCGGAACTCCTGAGGTACTCAGTGTCAGCTAATGTAGGTAATGGGTGGCAGGTGTGCAGAACACCCTAGGCAGGCACTGAGCTTAGCCTTTGATCTACCGTCATCTCAGTTAATCCTCTCAATACTCTGTGAGTCAGGACGTGTGTGTGTGTGGCCCTGCTACCGAGGAGTCCTTCACCAACTTAGCAAATATTTATGGAAGACTCACTGGGGATTTGTTAAAGTCACTGCTTTATTTGAGCTTTCATTCTAGTCAGGGATGACAGAGAAATGATGCCCATCATAAATAAGTATTAAAACTGTTAGAAGCCTGAATGTGCCTTGGGTGAATACAGCCATGGCACTGTTCAGGGGTGGATGAGGCCGTCAGGGCTGAGGAAGTTCCATTTAAATTACCTGGTCAGGCAAGGGCTTGCTGAGGTGATATGTGAGCAAACATAAAGGCACACATTAGCCCCGTGGACAGCCAGGGCATGGACCTTGGGCAGATGAAGGTTTTAGGGAGGGGGGCAGTCAGGGGCTCAGATGCTGGGCATGCAGAGTGAGGGGCAGAGGAGCAGGAAGTGAGGCCAGAGGCAGCATGGCCCTGGGATGCCTCACCTTGCTGTGAATGCTACAGCCGGGTCCTCTGAGAACAATCCCAACACAGGAGTGTATTAACATCTCAGTTCCCAGAACACTTTTAATTTCATTCACTCAGGTATTCATGAACACCCGTCTTCTTATGTGCTGTGTTAGAGTTCTCTAGAGGGACAGAACTAGTGGAATACAGACACACACACACACACACACACACAAACATATATATATATATATATATATATATATATATATATATATATATAGATAGATAGATAAAGGGGAGCTTATTAAGTATTAACTCGCACGATCACAAAGTCCCACAATAGGCCGTCTGCAGACTGAGGAGCAAGGAGAGCCAGTCCAAGTCCAAGTCCAGTTCAAGGGATCATCCAGGAAGCATCCAGCACGGGAGAAAGGTGTAGGCTGGGAGGCTAGGCCGGTCTCTCTTTTCACATTTTTCTGCCTGCTTATATTTGAGCTGAGCAGGCAGCTGATTAGATGGTGCCCACCCAGATTAAGGGCGGGTCTGCCTTTCCCGGCCCACTGACTCGAATGTGAATCTCCTTTGGCAACAGCCTCATAGACACACCCAGGATCAATACTTTGTATCCTTCAATCCGATCAGGTTGATACTAAGTAGTAACCATCACACGTGCATTCATCATGTGCACACACTGGTTAGGATCTGAGGGTATAGACCAGGCTCCTGTTCTCTGGGAACTGGCATCCCAGCAAGGACAGGTAGTAAACAAATAAGAACATTTAAGAACAGTGTGGGGAGGGCCTAACACTGTGCTGTGTGGTGGTACGTAGGACGCAGGCTACTGTAGACTGGGTGGTTGTGGGGAGGAGGTGACTGTGGGGAGGTGACATTGATCTGAGCCCTGGATGCCAACAAGGAGCCAGCTGTGCATGGATGGAGTTGGGAGCGGTGCCAGGCTGAGCCTGCAGGAGGTCAAGGTGCTGGTGGGAGCTCATGTGGCTGGGGACGGTGAGCATGGGCGGGACAGAGGTGGTACTTGTGCAGAAGGAATTAACCATGAAGGCCAAAGATGCCCTCCCTGCAGAGGCCTGCTGGCAAGGTTGGCCCTCAGCTGGGGCCTGGGAGCTTTGCCGATAAACAGGCCCCCACACTGATTCACTGAATGGCTGCGTGTGCAAACAATAGGGTTTATGCTGAGGACCTGCTTTCCCTCTGAGAGGCTGGGATTTTGGACTATGCCAGGCACAGGTGCTGACGTGACCAGACCCCAGTAAACCCTGGGTGCCGAGTCTCTAGTGAGCGTCCCTCATAGACAGCACTCACATGTGTTGTCACATCTCATCGCTGGGGAATTAGACATGTGCTGTGTGACTCCCCAGGGAGGGGACTCTGGGAGCTTGTGCCTGGTTCCCCTTGTGCCTTTCTCTTTGCTGTTTTTGCAGGTTGTCCTTTCACTGTAATAAATTGCAGCCTGAGTCCTGGGAGTCTCTGAACCTGGGGATGGTCCTGGAATCCCTGACACAGATGTGGCCAGAGAAGGGATGGAACCAGTCCTGCAGGGCCCTTTAGGGAATAGTGAGGTGCAGTGTGAGGGTTGCAGCGACCCGTGGGCTGCTCAGCCCAGCCTGGGGTGACTGTCTCACTTTCCCTCGGAGGACAGGGTGGGCACCACCTGCAGACTCTGGGAAGTCCTCACTCAGTCTCCACGTGCACAGGGCCTAGGAGGTGGTCTGGGTGCTGGTGGGCGGCTCTGCCACATGCCACCCTCACAGTCTTCCCCTGAGTCTGTTCCTTCCTCTTGCTTGTCCCAGGCCTCTCTCAGCAGCACCTTCCTCTGTGAGTGTCAAATGCTACTGACTCATGTACTTCCTGTCTATTCAGAGACAGGACGGGGGTGGGAAATTGGTATCATTTGCATGACGCTCACCTCCTGGGGTTGGTGAAGAGCTTGCAGGCATCAGAGCTAGCTGGGAAGTGAGCAATTATAACATCTTTAGGAAATTGACTTGGCCCTTTCTGAGTCTGTGTCTCCTGGTTTTCTCCATGCCCAGTATTCAGAGGAGGATGAGAGGAATGCTTCCTTGGGCCCCATGGCCTGGCTTTGGCTTTGGCATTGGCATTTTCAAAAAAAGTCTAGACTTACTGATCATGATTCCAGACTCCCGAGAAAGAAGCAGAGAATGTTCGGGTTGTATGAGTGGGATCTGGGATCCTGGGGGCGGGCTGTGAGGGTGAGAGCCCCACGGAAGTGCACCCAGGAGCAGGTGGATGTGGGAAGGCTGGAGCCCCCCAGACCAGGGCTGGCCTTGGGGAAACAGAAGGGGGTCATGGCATCAGAGAGGAAAGCGCATCTTCGCTACGATCCCCCCTGCCCAGAGCCTCCTCCAGATCCAGGGACCCCTCTCCTTCTGTGTTTGACCAGGGACACTGGCAGCTCTGCCTATGTTGAGAGTCCTCAGAGAGCTTCAGCTAGGCCTGTTCCCCAAAGATCTTTTGTTGTTCATTTTAAGAAACAACAGACCATCACTTTAAAAGTAGCACATTTTGGTACCTATTTCTCAGTGATTGATCCTTTCAGATACAGTTTCCCAGGATCTAAAGATGGTAGCTGAATAATGCATGATATTTTTGTTTCCCAGAAACAGGTGTTTTATTTTTATTGCATTAGTCTTATGAGAACAAGCTGGCTGCAGTTTCTCTGAGAGCCGAAGTGCTGAAACAATTCTGGGTTTTATAGGCACCCATTGCCAGGAGCTGTCATTGCCAGGCTCTTGGGCTCTTGACAAGGAAGCTCATTATGGCCGTGTCTCACCTCCTCCAGGGAGGTGCCAGATCCGTGTGCAGCAGTTTTGCACGTCCATCCATTTGTTCATCATTCATTCATTCACTCATTCTTTCAATGTTCATTTCCTGAGGGCTTCTGAGTCCTGGTGCTGGGATGCACTTTGGGGTTACAGAGACAAAAAGACCAAGTCCCAGCCTTTAGGGAACCTATAGTCTATGAGGGAGACAGAGTCTCAGTCATTGGGCCAGGTGATGAGGGGTAAACTGAGGCATACACCAGGTGTGATGGGCTGTGAAGGATCAAGCCTTGGAGCTCACCGGTGGGCGGGAGGAAGACCCCACTGAGGAGAGGAGAGAATCCGTGAGTGACAAGGAGTAGATGGGGCTCATCAGGTGGCTGTGTGGTGGGCAGGGACCCCAAAGGGCCTGAGCAGAAGTGTGACTATAGTGACTTAGAACTCAGGAGGGGCTGCCCTTGAGCCCCACTTGATTTACAACCTGGACCCTTGGTGATTTTGGCTGGAGAGAGGCAGTTGACTCCTTTGAAATATGAAGTGAAACACCAGAGGCAGGAACAGGCCAGTGGTGGTTAATGAGTGAAACAGATGGGAGTCTTAATTAGAGCAAGAGCAGGGCTAATTTAATGATCAGTGCTTCCCCGAGCATATGGCCTAGAGATACTTCCACCCACGCTGAGGGAGGCAGTGCGCAGAGTAGGAACGGCCACATGTGTGGGCAGTGGGGTTTGCAAGGGTTTGTTCCCCTGCCCGTGCCCTCTACTCCAATGCCAGCTTCTACATTTTGTTAGCTTCTTTTTCATCCTCTGTGTCAACAGGTAGGGCCTTCTCTGAGGAACTGACTTGCAGGGCGTGGCCTCGAACTGACGTGGGGATTTTGCCACACAACCTTAGGGAAAGCCAATGATGACCTAGTGACTCTCACCACATGCTTCCAACTGCTAAGACCCTGAGTGCGGGCCTGTGAAAAGGGCAGGTGGGAGAGGGATGCTTGCCAGAGCCACCTGTGACTCCAGGTTAACTGGGGCCACATCTCCCAAGAACCCTGGGGTTGACTCTCACAATTCCCCCAGGTCAGCAGCCAGCCCTACAGTAGGGCCTGCTTTTTGGATAATAGTTCTTTAGGAGGAGCATAGCACTGGGTCCTGTGCCATCTGGCAATATTGCTCCTTTCCCATTAAATCCAGTGGTTCTCAAAGTGGGGTCCCTGGGCCAGCAGCATCAGCATCACCTGGAAACTTGGTAGAAATACAAATTGTCAGTCCTGCTTCCCAGACCTGCTCAGACACTGTAGGAGTAGAGCCCAGCAATCTATGTTTTAACAAACCCTCTGGGTGATTCCCATGAATGCTGACATTTAAGACTCTGCTATAATAAGCCTTAGATTTCTTCACACTAAATAGTGCTTGGAAGGATCAGTTTATCCTGACAACATCCTGTACTCTTTAGAGAAAAGGAACTGGGTGCTCTGAGATTCTGCTTGTTCATCTTCTGCAGTAAGTGGGATCTTTGGGCTCTCCTCAAATCCTGTCAATGAGCAGGTCGGGAGCACTGATGGGGGCGTGGGAGATAGGGTTTGTGTCCATTCTCCCGGAAACCATTTTATCTTTGCCCTCAATGAGGGATTGGCCATCAGAATGAGAAATAATCTTTAAGGTCTAAGGAAACAAATCTCTGTGGCTGTGATATGTGGCCTCCACCTGCTAAAAATGGCTTCAGCCACTGTGTGTAATTCTGAGAGCTTATTTCTTTGGAAAGAGGCCATAGCCATCAATACTAACCATTGGGGGAATTTATGCCCCATCACCCAGCACCAGCAGCCCTATCAATTTCTCCAGCATGCACAGATGTGGACTCCCCTGACTGAGTGAGGGGCCGTGTAACAAACAACTGATTTGATGGTCTGCCTGGTTTCTAAAGTTCTGTATCATGATTCCTTCTTAGCTGCAAGAGATCTCCTACCAAAGCTGATATATCTCAGTGGGACATGCATTAACTCAGTCACCTTTCCAGGTAAGAGGGAGTAATTAACTGTGCCAAGATGTTCCAAATGGCTCTTTGTGGAGGTCAGGGCACCTCCAGGGGATGCGTGACACATTTCAACCTTAGATACTTGTTTTTTGCATGTGAAATGCTTGGATGCCTTGGTATTGGGAGCTGATCATTTGCCTTTACTAAATGGCCACCCAGCTAAGAAGGGTGAGAGACTTCAATCTGCTGCCCCTCTCAGTCACACCTCCTCAACATGGGATTTTAGATATTTATGAGTCCCTAGGGTGGACCTTTAGACAGTAATTCCCAGTGTCTCTTATGAGAGAACAGTGCTCAATGGAAGGAGACAGCCCTGCTTTTCAGGAAGTTGCGACTTAAAGAATTCTAGCTCTTGGTGCCATTAAGTGCCATCAATGACACCCAATTTGTCAATGACCATCAGACTAGTTGTTTGTTACGTGGCCTCTCATCAGTCAAGAGTCCGCGTCTGTGCACGCTGGAGGAGTTAAGAGGGCTGCTGGTGCTGGCTGGTAAATTCTCCCAGTGGTCAGATCCAACACACTCCTAAACCTTAGTTGTGGATCATGAGACGATGTGGACCTGGGTGTCGGGAGAATGGTGAGAGTGGGTGTTGGGGTGTCGGATGACTGGATGTGCCCTGCCCATGCCAGGGATGTCACACGGCAGGACTTCAGAGGAGACAGAGTGTGGGGAGAGAGAGTTGAACTGGAGATGCAGAGAAGGAAATGTTTCATATGGGGGAGATGGAGTCCCAAGTGAGAGTTTCCAAAGAGAGCGTGGCTGATAATCGAGCCTTGGGGAATATCTACGTTTAGGTGTCATGAGGCAGAGACAAGACAATAGTGGAGACAGATAAAAAGTCACAGAGGCAGGAGGAAGATTGAGAATGCAGTGCCAGAGAGAACAATCAATAGTTCATTTACAAGGTGGAAGAACTAGTCAGCTGTCTAAAGTGTTTCCGAGAGAATGAAGAAGACAGAATCAAAGATGAGCCACAGGTTGGAGTGACCATTAGTAGGAACAATGCTCCTCACTGTGGTCAAGGGCAGAGGTTAGGGGTGAAACCAGCTCAAGGCCCCAGGGCTGGGAGAGGGGCTAGGTGGTGCTGGTCCTTGGGGACACCACCTGCCACCGTCACATCTCCTCCAGCAGATGCAATGATTCTCTCCCTCCCTGGACAGACATCGTTAGAGAAGATTTAATCAAGAAAGAGCAATGGCATAATGGAGTCCGTCCAGATGAGTGAGATAATGGCCTGACTCCTGCCCAGCCTGCTAACATAATTGGATATGCTGGAGACTCCTCTGCTTCTATTAGGTTAACATGCTGTGATTGTCAGTGAGATTGCAAACAGCGCCTTCCCTCTGTTCTACTCCCAGTCCTGCAGATCTCCTGGGTTTTGAGAGATGTTTCCTAAATGAAGTGACTTTTTCTCTTTCCTCCCTGGTGGGTCCTGTAGACGGATGTTGGTCAGGCTCTTTCCATGTGGGGTGGGGGACACAGGGCACACAGATCCTCCTGCCTGGCTCCACGGCAGAATTACTTAGGCTTTCCCAGGGCTTGTCCCAGGATGCAGGTGACGGCTGCTATGCTTTGTGTGAAGCTGCGCGCAAGTGTCAGGTGACTGGAGAAGAGAGTAGAGTCAGATAAGGATGGTGGCCTCCCTGTTCCAGGCTGATGGAGTGCAGTGTGGGGGCTGGAGCTCATGCAGCCATCTTGGAACATGAGGAGGATCAACTATCGAAGACGCCAGGGAAGAAAGATGGAGTAGTCTCCTGCCTTTATAAAGGTGAACAATGACGCCAGCCCAGGACTACATTTCTCTATGCTGTTTCGTGAGAGAGAAGGAAACTCCTGTCTTGTTTAAACTCCTGTGTTTGTGGTTTTCAGTGGCTCACAGCTGATCTCACCTTAACCAAAATGGCCATAGCACGTGCATTTCCTGACCCTCTGTGTGGTGCTGACTGGAGAAAGCAGCTTTCCTCCTGGCTGTGGCTCAGCCCTGTGCTCCTCAGAGCAGGGTGCTCATGACCCACCTGATGCTGACTGCTAGGCCTGGGACTCTGCATTTCTGACAGGCTCCCAGGGGATTCTGTGCTGCAGGTCCAAGTGCCACACGTGGAGTAGCAGAGGCTTGGAACTCACCTGCCTTCTGCAGTCCCAGCCCAGGCGTTCTCATCTGTCCTACCCAGGACATTTTCTGTCCAGCCCTGCCTGCAAGGGCAGTATCCAGAGAAAAGCAATCAGCAAAGAGGATTCTAATGTAGACGTGCCTGGTTGGGAGTGAGTGCTCTGCAATGATTGTGAGTCCTGGAGGCCGCCCCGTGACTCTTCAGGTGCAAGTAACAGGTAATATATTACTTCTTGTCACCTGGCTGCCCCTGTGAGCTTCACCTCACAGCAGTCTTCTTGTACCTGTAAGACAGGAAGCTGGGGTATCAGTGGGGGTTACATATTAAAAGCCCAGCCAGGACCAGCAGATGCATTAGCAGTCTATTCCTGCTTTTCCTAATCTGGCAGGTGGGTTATCAGGTTGCTCGCTTAAGATCAGCTTCATTTGTCCCTTCTGATGCTAGGTTAGAAACTGGAGGCTGCGGCCCAGGAACCCTAATTTTACTTGAAGATGCCAAGCACTCTTCAAGACAGCGCATCTGCCCACAAGCGGAAGGGCTTACTCTCCCACACCTCCTTCTGTTCCTCCCTTTGGCTCCTGCACAGGCTCTTGCTGTAAACACTGATGGTGAAGCTGCAGTCCTGGGCTGGACGGCCGGGCCTGGGGGAACTGTCACCCTGGCTTCCCTTTGGTTGGGGCCCGCAGTCGTCAGTGTCCTTTCCTCATTACTCAGTGCCCTGCATTGAGCTGGCCTGGGCCTCGCCTGGCTTCTGTGATGCATCCTCAGGCTTCTCTGCTTGTGCCTGTTCAGTCTTCCTGGCTTAAAGATTTCTGCTGCTGTCCGAGCCAAACACTCCCACACATCTTTTTTTTTTTTTTTTTTTTTTTAATGGAATCAAGTTTTGACTTCATGCCGACAGCACAATTTATTATTTTTAATTTAAAAAAGTAGGACACCTCTATGCAAATAAACTAGAAAATCTAGAAGAAATGGATAAATTCCTGGACACATACACCCTCCCAAGACTAAACCAGGAAGAAGTTGAATCCCTGAATAGACCAATAACAGGCGCTGAAATTGAGGCAATAATTAATAGCCTACCAACCAAAAAAAGTCCGGGACCAGACGGATTCACAGCCGAATTCTACCAGAGGTACAAGGAGGAGCTGGTACTATTCCTTCTGAAACTATTCCAATCAATAGAAAAAGAGGGAATCCTCCCTAACTCATTTTCTGAGGCCAGCATCATCCTGATACCAAAGCCTGGCAGAGACACCACAAAAAAAGAGAATTTTAGACCAATATCCGTGATGAACATCGATGCAAAAATCCTCAATAAAATACTGGCAAACAGAATCCAGCAGCACATCAAAGAGCTTATCCACCATGATCAAGTGGGCTTCATCCCTGGGATGCAAGGCTGGTTCAACATACGCAAATCAATAAACATAATCCAGCATATAAACAGAACCAATGACAAAAACCACATGATTATCTCAATAGATGCAGAAAAGGCCTTTGACAAAATTCAACAACACTTCATGCTAAAAACTCTAAATAAATTAGGTATTGATGGGAAGTATCTCAAAATAATAAGAGCTATTTATAACAAACCCACAGCCAATATCATACTGAATGGGCAAAAACTGGAAGCATTCCCTTTGAAAACTGGCACAGGTCAGGGATGCCCTCTCTCACCATTCCTATTCAATATAGTGTTGGAAGTTCTGGCCAGGGCAATCAGGCAGGAGAAGGAAATAAAGGGTATTCAATTAGGAAAAGAGGAAGTCAAATTGCCCCTGTTTGCAGATGACATGATTGTATATTTAGAAAACCCCATCGTCTCAGCCCAAAATCTCTTAAGCTGATAAGCAACTTCAGCAAAGTCTCAGGATACAAAATCAGTGTGCAAAAATCACAAGCATTGTTATACACCAATAACAGACAGAGAGCCAAATCATGAGTGAACTCCCATTCACAATTGCTTCAAAGAGAATAAAATACCTAGGAATCCAACTTAGAAGGGATGTGAAGGACCTCTTCAAGGAGAACCACAAACCACTGCTCAACAAAATAAAAGAGGACACAAACAAATGGAAGAACATTCCATGCTCATGGATAGGAAGAATCCATGTCGTGAAAATGGCCATACTGCCCAAGGTAATTTATAGATTCAATGCCATCCCCATCAAGCTACTAATGACTTTCTTCACAGAATTGGAAAAAACTACTTTAAAGTTCATATGAAACCAAAAACGAGCCCTCATTGTCAAGACAATCCTAAGCCAAAAGAACAAAGCTGGAGGCATCATGCTACCTGACTTCAAACTATACTACAAGGCTACAGTAACCAAAACAGCATGGTACTGGTACCAAAACAGAGATATAGACCAATGGAACAGAACAGAGCCCTCAGAAATAATACCACACATCTACAACCATCTGATCTTCGACAAACCTGACAAAAACAAGAAATGGGGAAAGGATTCCCTATTCAATAAATGGTGCTGGGAAAACTGGCTAGCCATATGTAGAAAGCTGAAACTGGATCCCTTCCTTACACCTTATACAAAAATTAATTCAAGATGGATTAAAGACTTAAATGTTAGACCTAAAACCATAAAAACCCTAGAAGAAAACCTAGGCAATACCATTCAGGACATAGGCATGGGCAAGGACTTCATGTCTAAAATACCAAAAGCAATGGCAACAAAAGCCAAAATTGACAAATGGGATCTAATTAAACTAAAGAGTTTCTTCACAGCAAAAGAAACTACCATCAGAGTGAACAGGCAACCTGCAGAATGGGAGAAAATTTTTGCAATCTACTCATCTGACAAAGGGCTAATATCCAGAATCTACAAAGAACTGAAACAAATTTACAGGAAAAAAACCAACAACCCCATCAATAAGTGGGCAAAGGATATGAACAGACACTTCTCAAAAGAAGACATTTAGGCAGCCAACAGACAAATGAAAAAATGCTCATCATCACTAGCCATCAGAGAAATGCAAATCAAAACCACAATGAGATACCATCTCACACCAGTTAGAATGGCAATCATTAAAAAGTCAGGAAACAACAGGTGCTGGAGAGGATGTGGAGAAATAGGAACACTTTTACACTGTTGGTGGGACTGTAAACTAGTTCAACCATTGTGGAAGACAGTGTGGCGATTCCTCAGGGATCTAGAACTAGAAATACCATTTGACCCAGCCATCCCATTACTGGGTATATACCCAAAGGATTATAAATCATGCTGCTATAAAGACACATGCACACGTATGTTTATTGCGGCACTATTCACAGTAGCAAAGACTTGGAACCAACCCAAATGTCCATCAATGATAGACTGGATGAAGAAAATGTGGCACATATACACCATGGAATACTATGCAGCTATAACAAAGGATGAGTTCATGTCTTTTGTAGGGACATGGATGAAGCTGGAAACCGTCATTCTCAGCAAACTATCACAAGGACAAAAAACCAAACACCGCATGTTCTCACCCATAGGTGGGAATTGAACAATGAGAACACTTGGACACAGGAAGGGGAACATCACACACCAGGGCCTGTTGTGGGGTCGGGGGAGGAGGGAGGGATAGCATTAGGAGATATACCTAATATAAATGACGAGTTAATGGGTGCAGCACACCAACATGGCACATGTATACATATGTAACAAACCTGCACGTTGTGCACATGTACCCTAGAACTTAAAGTACAATAAAAATAAATCAGCTGGATTTTTATCTAAAAAAAATAAAAAAAAGTAGGTGCTTGAGCAATTTCACAACCAGCCTATGAACATCATATTTCTACTACATTTATTTATCTAAATTTTCTTCCAATTCTCATCAATTGGCATGGCTGTAATTGGGGTATAACCTCAAGCTTTTGGGTTCTGGTCTTTTCCCACTTGGCCTGTGTAGTCCCTGCTATCCTGCTTTCAATCACTATATTTGAAAGGTCATCTGCTATTTTTAAAAATAACATTTTATTACAAGTTACATATTTACTGTAGAAAAATTTAAAGTCTCTCTCTATATATCAAAAAGAAGAAAAAAAATCACCTATAATTATATCACTAGGGGGCAACCACTGGAGATATTTTGGCGCAGGGATTTTCAGATATCTTTGTGAGTGTGTATGTGTGTGACACAATATATTTGAGTGAAGTTTTTTGAATGAAACTTGGCTCACTTTATGCACACTTTATTGTAGCCTGTGTTTTTGTTCAATAATATGTGACTTTGTCTTCAAGTCATTAAACATCCTCCTTTGACAATGATGATTTCCTCAGGTGAACGTCAGAATTACCCAGGGTGTTTTTAAATAATAAACAGCTTTCTAGGCACCTCACTGCAGAGAGTGAATCTAATGTGTGGATCAGAGCATCTTCTCATATGACTTCTGAGTTTTTATTCATTCAATACCCTGTTGCTGAAAATGGAGGCTTTCCCAAAAGGTTTCCTGTTGTAGATTAAAAAAAAGTTTCTATATGCGTACATCAGGTGTTGTGGATGGAAACTGGATCAGTGGGCCAAAGAGTCTTTGTCATATCTGATGTAAACTGTCATTGACACTCCAGAAAAAAGAGACTAGTGAGCACTGCACAGTAGGGAGTGGCAATGCCTGTCTGCCCACAGCTTAGCCAGCACTGTGTTAAATGTTTTTTCCTGTCTTCCAATTTCATAGGTTCAGTCACGTATTCACTCATTCATCAGGTCTATTTTGGTCAACTGCTCTGGGCCATGCTCATTCAGGGGATGGGGCCCCTATGGTGACTCAAGACAGACATAGCCCCTGATCTTGTGCTGCTCGATTTTGTGGGAGAGTACAGTTGTCCCTCAGAATCTGCAGGGGATTGGTTCCAGGATTCCCCGTGGACATCAAAATCTGCAGATGCTCAAGTCCTTTATATAAATGGCATAGTATTTGCAGATAATGTATGCATATCCTCCCATATACAGATGCTCTTCAACTTCTGATGGGGCTATGTCCTAATAAACCCATTGTAAGTAGAAAATTTCATTTAGTCAAAAATGTGCAGTTAATAATACCCTGATAAACCCGTGGTAAAGTTGAACAATTATAAGTGAAACTGTCGTAAGTCCGTGTGCTTGTCTATTTACCATGGGGTTACATCCCAATAAACCCACCATAACTTCAAAAAATCATAAGTTGAACCATTGTAAGCCAGGGACCATCTCTACTTTAAATCATCTCTAGATTACTTGTAGTGCCTAAGACAATGTGAATGCTGTGTAAACAGTTGTTATACTGGCTGTATGCAGTGGCTCATGCCTGTAATCCCAGCTATTCAGGAAGCTGGGATGGGAAGATCACTGGAGACCAGAAGTTTGAGACTAGAAGTTTGAGACCAGCCTGAGCAATATAGTGAGATCTTGTCTCTTAAAAGAAAGAAAAGTTGTTATACTTTATTGTTTAGGGAATAATGGCAAGAAAAAGAAGTCTGTACACATACAGTGCAGATGCAACCATCGTAGGCCTAACTACATTCTGTATCCGAGGTTGGTTGAATCTGTAGATGCAGAACCTGCGGTTACATAGGACCAACTCTACTCAGAGGAGGGCCTGCATAGAGTAGGCCCCCAGTCAGCGCGGGTGGTCATGATTAGGTAACTTGTGACAGGGCGCGTGATTTTTAAGTTTCTCTGTGGGTTGGGTTGTCACTCAGTTCACTGATACCTCTTCAGGCGACCTCCCCTGCTGGTCTTGTATCTCTAGAACCCCTTTCTTATCTGAAGGGTGTGTCATCTGTGGTGGGTTTCGGGACCCCCCCCCTTGTGACTGGGCACACCTAACCAGTAACTAGTAAGCAGCTGGGCACGGAGAGGAACCCATCAGACCATCACTGAGCATCTTCTGTGTACATCCATAATGCCAGGTCCTCACCAAGCACCTACTATGTACGTAACTGGTGCCAAGCCATTATTGAGCACCTACTGTGTACACTCACAGTGCTAGACCATCACTAAGCACCATCCAATGCCAGGTAATGACTGGGAACCACCATGTACATGTACAGTGCCATGCCATCACTAAGCTTGTCGTGTACATCCATGATGCCAGACCATTGCTAAGCACTTACTGTAGACATTCATATTCCAGGATCTCAAGGCATGATGATAGTGGGTCTGGACCCTCACTGGCTCACATCCTGGCCTTTCCTCTCCATCCTTACTTTAACCCGGTCAAGAAGAACAGCCTGGTTTCTGATTCATCATGTATCAGAGACACATTTTCAAGAATTCCATTCATCCAAACATGTAATAGGTTCGAATTTTGAGCCATGCAAAACTGAAACTTACAGTAATAGCTAATACTACCTCCAAAATAACTGCACAACATTCAGTCTTAGTCAATTGTAAGTAAATGTGGTTATATCACAGTTGGGCTCAGTCAGTTCAGGAGCTCCCTCTCTCCATCTTTTCTCTGGGAAGGCATGAGTCTGATGCATCTGGCTTCTGGCCCATCATCTCCCTCCCTCACAGACCTCTGGAGAAATGTCCATCATAATCTGGTCCTTGCAAATTGATGGGTGGATGGACAGATGGATGGAAGGAAGAGAAGGAGACAGCTCAGACTAGTTATGCCAAATGCACTGAGGGCCTCCCCACAAGCCCCACTCAGGGTTGCCTGGGAGGGTATTAATCATCTTCTCTCCCAGTCACTTCCTCTCCTGGCCAGACTTAGAAAGGTGAAGACTGACCTCACACCAACCACAGCCTCACTGTCACCTGAAACATCTTGAGCAAATCAGCACAGCAAAGAAAAAGGAGCTTCCAGGTCAGACACTGGTTTCTCCCCTAGTTACTCTGAAGGAGCCCCAGGGAGGATTTGAAAAATTAACAATAGAGAGTTAAGTGGGTGAACTGCTATGTTTTTTTTTTTAACAAATGGATAGAAATGAGATGAATTAAAATAGAGTGATATCCCTGGGTGGTGTTTGAGGAGTAGACACACTGTTGGTGCATGTAGAGAATGACTCAGGCTGTAGATTATAGTCTTGGCTGCACATAAGAGTCACATGGGAAGATTTAACAACCCTGATTTCCAAACTGTGCCCCAGCCCAATTACATCAGGATCTGTGAGAATGAGGCCAGCCAGGATCCAGTCATTGCAAAGCTTCCCAGATTATTCCAGTGGACAGCGTCTTTGAGAGCCACTAGTTTAAAGTCCCCTTCTTATTGGGCTCTGGAGGTTTCTGTCCCACCCAGGCCTGGGTGCAAGGTGGGTGGGGTATGGGCGAATGTTGGGGGAAGTCTACAGCTCTCCTGCTTCTGGAGCTGCTGCCTCCCTTGGGCCATCCTTCTTTCCTCCTTCCTCTTCAAAGCCATGGTCTCAGTTAACAGAGAACCTGGAAAATACTCTCTTCTTGGTGCTGAGTTCTCCTCAATAGCCGAAGTCCTGGATGGGCCTGAAGAGTGACATTTGTTTGTTGGACATTCAGTCTTCACATTCTTCTTCCATATCTGGGTCTACATTCCCTGCCAGATCCTCTCCCCCAGTCCAGGACTCCAGATGTGACTTTGCTTTGGGCTCCAGGGAATGGGTCATGCATCCTAGCCTGGATCAATCAGAGCTTCCATTTGGGCCACAGTGATGGGTTCAGGAACAAGCATGCAATTCAAGCAAGGACTCTGGCATCCAAACAGAGGAAACCCTGGTCTTCTGCTTGAATGGCTGAGGAAAGGTGGTGGACCTTTCTTGAGATTTTTGAATCATAAACTGGAGGATGGTAAGGTTGGAGTTACTGGACAGAGCTGCTTTGAGAATAAAGGTAGCACAGAGAAGGAGAGCAGAGACTGGACTCTGGTGATGTCACCTGGGCACTTGGATCAAGCCAGGCCTGAAGTCACCACACTTTCCAGGTAAGTGCACCATTAATGTCTCTTCTCATTTATGCTGGCCTGGTTTTGGTTTGCTGTTGCTCACGACAGAAAGGATCCTGACAGATGCGATGGTCTTCAGGTTCTCATGATCTGGCTCTTGTCCTGTCCAACTCTAGTTTCTTTGCAAACCATGCAGCATCTCCTCTTGGGGCTCAGATCACTTGGAGGGATCTTAAAGAAGTTCAGCATGGAGCCAGATGGCCTGGTTCAAATTCTGGCACTGCCGCTTATGAGTTGTATAACCTTAGGCAAGTTACTTATCTGTGCCTGCTTCCATATCCTCCTCTACAGTATGGGAATCATGATTGTACTAGGTTCATTAAGCTGTCTTTACTCCTGAGGCTACACTGAGGAGTAAATGGGGAGATTAATTTAAAGCAGTGGAAAGTAATTGTAGACACAGTGAGCCTTCTGCCAGTGTCAGCTCTTGCTATGACAACAACTTTTGTACCTAAAGGGTGTGCGTCCTACTTTGGGCCTTTGCTCCTGTTGGTCCCACTACCTGGAATGCCATATCCTTTGATTGCATGTCCTTCAAATGTTAGCTCCTTAAGCCTCATTATATGTTCTCAAAACTCCCTGTAATTTTCCATCCTGACATCTATTATAGTTTGCAATTCCATTTTTAGAGTAGGTTTTCCTCTTCCGTATCCTTCTCTAGACTGCGAACTTGAGGGCAGGGGATGAGTCTGTGCTGCTGTGGCTTCTGTCTTCAGTACCAATAACACAACCCAGCACATCAGAAAATACATGTTGAATGAATGAACAAATACAATGGTATGGCCACTCAGGGGCAACTTCTTCACTGGGAAAATGTTCCCCAACTACGACTCAAACACTGTTGCTCTGACACAAACGTTCCTGACAGATGCAGTAGCCTACAGGTTCCCATGATCTGGGTCTGGCCCTACCCGACTCTAGTTTCTTTACATACCATGTTGTATCTCCTCTTGGGGCTCAAGTCACTCAGAGAGATCATTCAACATCCCAGAGATTCTAGGGCGGGGGGATGCCTTGGTGTGCAGGCTGGGAGATGCCATCCAATACTTCCTTCCTCCCTAGCCTTCAAGGCTGAAGCAGGGGGGCATGTAGACACCCCTTCAGCCTGTAGTGTGCTTGGGGATGTGGATGGGGTCCATATTCTTGGTCACATGACCAGGAGGGTGGTTGCTCACTGCTGGACTTCAACACCTGCAGCTACCAACAAAGCTCCAGCAAGGTCCATGTTGAGCATATGGGCCAAGTTAAACACACAGCGGGGTGTAGGAAATGGGCTTTAATAAGCATATAATTATCCTTAAAGGGGATCTGAGTCCTTTTCCCTTCTAAATATACTTGTGCATTATGAGCTTTTAATTAAAACTAAGGTGAGTATCACTCTGCACTAAGATCATGCATAAGAAATGAGAAGGTGGAGATGGTGCCAAAAGGGTTTGGGTGTTGATAATGCAAGGTAATTGCAATGCTGTTCCACGAAACACATTTTGTTCTTGGAAGCTGAAATTAGATTTTGATGTCTTTTGAGATTCTTACTGCCTTTCTAACTCATGGTGAATCTCCTTTCTCAGTTCTCTGCTCCACTGAGAGCATTAGGGACAGTTAACATTCTGGGAGCAGATACTCTGTAATGAGATAGTCTAGTTCCCAAGCCCATCCTATGGTGGGCAGCCTCGGAAGCATCTGAAGTCTGGGTGCAAAGAAAGAGGGGTGCCAGTCCTATCATGGCTGCAATGTTACAGTCAGGGAAGATTGCAGAAGGGTCTTTCACTTCCTAAGGAACTAGACTCTAAGGCTGTGTTGCACCAATGGGCTATGGTCTCTGCCAGGGACACGGTCATGGTTCTTTGAGTCCAAGTTGCAGACTGGACTCTGGCCCCTGAAAAGCATCAGAAAACTTGGAAACACTTGGAAATGTAATGAATTTTCACTCAGAACTTTGAGTCTTTCCTCTTGTTCTGACACCCTGTGCATGTAGCATAAAGGGAGGGGGGGAGGAGAGAGCTTGGCTTAGAGTGGTCTCTCTGTGTCCTTGCCCATTCTGGTTGGGTGTTCCCCTCAGCGTCCTGGCAGAAGACACCAGGGACAGTGTCTTCTGTCCCTGACAGAAGGGATAGCTTCTTCTACAGCCCCACCTTGATGAATTATCCACGGCTTCACAAGTGTGGACCCGCAGCAGGGAGAGCATTCCCAAGTCACTTTAAAGGTGAAGTACAGAAAAGACTCCCAGGATAGAAAGTCAAGGTGCAGCATCCTTTCCATCCACCTTTTCATGAATAGCCTTGTGAGAGTCCTGGGCTTTGTCTTTTCTTTTAGTTCTTCAGAATGGATGCGGGTGGTAAACAAGTGCTCCCTCATCTAACACCAGCTCCATCCTGATTCCTGGAGATGCCTAAGGCATCCCATCTCAGGGTTTCTCTACATCGCAGCTCAGCAGTTATGACATCCCAATTAAGCCCCACTTCCAGTAATGGGAGGGAGGTTGAGGACTTGGCAGCAGGATGTAACTTGAAAAGATTAATGAAGCAAGTCAAGGAGGAACGTCTGCATAAGCGCTTTTTTTATCTAAGAGATAAAGGCTTCACTACAAGGTATTTACTGCACCCGTGAAGCTGGAGAAGAAATAGACTCAGGAGGGTTATTTCATTTAAACATCTCGGTGTTCTTCACTGTGGAAGATCAAAGGATGATGATTTAGAATGTGACATGCTGTATAAAGGAGGGGTCACACCAGCTTGGCAAAGCCCTCCTCCCTCCCTTAGGACCAAGCACTAAAGCCAAGTGGATTGCCCTTCTCTACCCCGTACCCCAGTTTCCAAACATGCTTCTCCCAGAGCATCTGCCCTCAGGTTAGAAGGAACACTGGGCTCATATATGGTCCTTCTTCAATCCTATATCTGAGCCTGGGTCCAGAGTAAGCCCGTGTATGTGTTACCTGTGTGCTGCCTGAGTGGCCCTGCCTTACCTATCTGGTTCCCATGTGAATTGCCCATGGGTGTGACTTAGGGACTGCCAATGTGTGTTACATAGGTATGGCCTACATGCGTAATGCTGTGTGTCACCTGTGAGTGCCATATGTGTGCTGTTTCCTTGTGTTTGATGTGCTGCCTGTGTGTGCTGGCTGTGACTGTATCACCTGTGAGTGCTTCCTGTGCACTGGTGTCTGTTATCTTTGTATGTGGTTTGTTACATTTATGCTGATGTATGTTAAATCTGTGTTACCTGACCACCACATGCTCCCCTGTGCTACTTGGTATGTGTGTGTGTGTGCGTGTGTGATGTCTATATGTGTATCATCTGGCTGCATTTCTTTGGGTGTTTTCCCATGCATTATTCATGTGTACTGACTATATGTCACCTGAATTTGCTGCCTCTGTGTGTCACCCGTTTGTGTGCAGCCTGCACGTGCACTCACTTGGGTGGGTCACTCGTGTGGTGTGTTAGTGTCATAGTGTGGGCTTCTCCTGTGTGTTGTGCCATCACCTGTGTCCACGTTGCCCATGTTACTGAATGTATCACCATCTTTTGTCACTTGTACATGTCACTTGCGTGTGTTGGTGCTTGTTTGTGTTGCTGTGTGAGTCTCTTTGTATCCTCTCCTGTGTGTCACCGGTCCATGCATGCTGCGGAGGTGTGATTCCTGTGCATGTCCTCTGTGACCTGTGTGTGCCACCCCATGTTTGCTGTGCTTCTGTGCTCTGTGTTAACAGTTTCATGTTTCTCCATGTGAGCTACTGATCTCATTTTGTGGGTTATTTGCCTATACTGGCTGTATGGCGGTGTCTGTGTGGTGACGTCTGTCTCATGAGCCTCACTTGTGTGTTTTGCCATCACAATTTGTACCCCGATGTGATGTCTGGGTTTCATCCAGGCGTGGGGCCTCGTGAATACCCACGTGTTCCTACCACCCTTCCCGCTACTATGGCGAGAGGGGCAGGCAGAGACGAAGGCTGGCAGGAGACTCCTGGGAACTCCGGGTCCTCAAGCTGTTTCCGACAGGGCCCTCCGGGCCACGGGAAGAGCCGGCCGCTGTCCTCGCCGGGACCAGGACTGCATCTCCTCACCTGTCCCTGGGCCCCTCCTTCTGCTGGTCAGGACCCTCGGGAGTGAGCCTGAACCACTCGCCCTCCAACCAGGGGACGTCGGAGGCCCGGCTTGGGCGGCTCCCCTACTGCCCAGGTAGCGAGTGCAGTGGGCCTTCTGTGGACTCTGCCCCACCTGACCCTGTCCCTCTGTCTGCCGCCGACATACAAGGGGACAGCGGGCTCCACGGGCTTGGGGCTGGCATCGAGGCTCGGTTGGCCCAGGGTCACCCGCGCTGTCCTGAGGCCCCTCGTGCTCCTGATGCCCGCGCTTTCCCGGCTCCTTTCACAGCCAGGGAAACTGAGGCCATGAGCCCAGGCTCAGGACGGCAGAGGGGGAAGAGGCGAGATCCGGGTTCTGGATCCTGATCCGGCTTTGTGTGGATCGGGCTGGAAGCCACAGAAATCCTCAAATGAGCTCAAGGAAATAAAAGCGAGGAGGAGACCTGGCCCTGGCAACTGCTGCAGTACAAGTCTGGCTGCAGGCTCGGCTGGATCCAGGGCTCCAGTGATGTTTTTTTCCATCTCAGATCTGGACCTTCTGCTCTGAAGGCATCTCAGATCGGGGCTGCTCTGGCCCCACTAATGACCCAATCTAGGGCCTGTGCCCCTCAGACTGCCCCTTAGGGGCCCCATCAATAGGACAAGATGGAGGCTACAGTCTCTTCCAGTTCCTCTCACATGAGAGGCTCTTCGGCTATCCCTGAGGCAAGGCCTGGCATGCACTCTGATTGGACTGGCTGGGCCATGTGGCCAGCCCTGCACCAATCACTGGTCCAGAGTACAACCAGTGAAAGTGTAAGAGCCTTTCCCATTGGCCAGGGAACAAACCCTGATGCTCACAGTGATTGGACTTGCTCAGGCCATGTGACCAGCCCCGCACCAATCACAGAACCAGAATACAGTGGTTTCCAACCACACCCGGGGCTAGAGGCCGCTCCATAGACCAAGGACATCCGTGGGGGTCCCAGGGTCCCAGCCAGGGGTGGGCGGGCTCCTGAGTGAAACTCGGGTGGTCCTGGAAAGAGGGGGCGAGACCCTCCGTGTATCTGGAGTCTGTGCCCCAAGGCCCCACGTGGGGACTGGGAACGAAGAGAGAGGATGCTGTCGGGGGCTCAGCCTCCTCACACCTGCCCGGGCACCAGGCACGGCCTTCAGGCCTCCGGGACGGTCCTGGTGGGGCTCGGCCCCCCTCGTCCTGCGCCTCCTCTGGGCCCGCGGGTCCCCAGCTCCCCCAGCCCCGCCGCGGGCCGCACCTCTCTGGACGGCGCTGTCAGGAGTAGGAGTTCAGCCCCAGCGCATCCGCGCCAGGACCCGGGCTCTGTGGCCACTGAGTGCAGAACACGCCGAGCTTCGGAGGTCTGGGAGTTCCAAGTGGAATTTGAATTTTTAATCTAATTGTCTGATTCGTGAACTCGGAAGCTGACGTCACGCCCAGACGTCCCAAGGTATGAGCTGTAGATACGCACGTGAGCGCTGGTGGGAGACGCCAGGCTGGGATTTCCGCTCGATCTGGGAATGAGCAATGCAACCTAATGACACCCAGAGCTCCTGAATCACCCGAGGAAAATGACGAGAGACTCCCTCCGGTGGGAACGTCTCCTAGAAACAAGGCCTAAGATGGGGCGACAACAGCCCCACAGCTGTGTCCAGATGCAGGGAGCACTCGCCTGTGCTGTAAGTCTGTCCCACAGTGGAGAAAAGGCTCAGACCCCACGGCTCTGCTGTCCACCCTCAGTGCGGGGGAGAGGGGGGATCCATATCGGCAGTCAAGGAGCGGGAATCTGAAAAGGCCAAGGCTGAACCCTGCACAGAACCCAGACCTCCGTGTGCCTCCAGAAACAGCCGAGGCTGGGCCTTCCTTGAGATACTCTTCAACTTCAAGGCTCTTCTCACCTGAGCTCCTTGGAAGCTGTCCCAGACAGCTGCTGGTCCCTCCTCTGTCCCCACTGTGCAGAGTGTGGCCCCACTGGAGAGACTGTTTTTCCCCCCGTGTATTGGAGTCAGTCACCCTCACCTGGAAGAATGGGACTGTTGAATTGAGGCATCATGGGTCACTTCCATCCCAGAGCGTTTGATTTGAGTGGTGAGTCTCTCCAGAACCCACTCCCTCTGGCACGCAGAGGGCAGCAGCAGCAGGGGCCCTGCAGTGGTTACAGTGAGCAGAGAGCCCCTGTGATCTGTCATGGGTGTATGGCATAGGGAAGAAACTGACAGTGGCTTTTTAAGCCCTGGAGATTTGGGGATTGCTTGTTACTGCCTGAAACCTTTGCTTTGCATGGATTAGCCAAAGGCAGCTCTTGTAATAGAACAGCAGAGTCTTGGACAGCAGTCAGACATAGATTCCTTTCCAGTCACATTTGGCTTGTCTGTTGCCCAGGTCCAGCTGTTGTCCTGTTGTCTTGCATTCCAGGGCCCAGAGCTGTCATCTTTATTCCCTATGACAACCTCTTCTGCAAGGATTAGGCTTCATTTATTTGCACCTGGTACATCTGTTTCATTAATTCTGATTTGTTCTCCTTATCATTCTGTTTATTCTTATCATTTCCAACTACTTTTAAATATTTTATTTATATTTTGTTTCAATTTCTCCTGTTTATGCCATAGAATTGGGGTTTCATTCTAGTGTTGTTGTCCACTGATCTCTCCTCTGGGCTCTCAGATGGTTTTTCAAAGCTCATGAACATGGGTTAGAGCATCTCTAATGAGTTATCACTTCTGAGTGGAGAGTTCACAACTTATAAACAGAGGATCTTAGGCTCAGAGTGTGTACTCCCTAAATCTGTTAGACCTGTTCTTAGGTCAGTAAGACTGGGGGGCAGGTACACAACTATTTCATTAATTTAAAAGCTTAGAAAAACAAATCGTATAACACTGGTTGGCACTGTATGAATTTAAAAGAAGACATACACATTTAAAGGTATACACTGTAGAAATACATTCAGAAGAGATCAAATAAAACCAATATTCAGAATCACATTCAGACTCTACACAGAACCATTCCACATCTGCCACTGGTCAGTGACTACATTCATAAGTTAACATGAGTGGTTTCCATTAATCACTGGGATGGTGCACACTCCCTATCTAGAGTGATCACATGAAAATCTGCCCCACAGGCTCTGAGGAACAGGCCTCAGACTGATGTGTGAAAATGACCCATATTGGTGAGAGCTTGCTGTGTGTCGGGAGGACAAGGCACTCATATGCCTTGCCTGGTCTCCATGAATCCTCACACTGGCCTATAAGACAGGTATGATGTTATCCCTGTTTAAAGATGAAGAATCTAAGTTCCAGAATTGGCCATGGTCTTGTATTTAATGGGGAAGATAGGATGGGTCTCTACTAGTACATCTGCCGCTGGTCAGTGTCTACATTTATAAGTTAACATGGGTAACTGATAACACCAATTCCCATCAGTCATCAGTGGGAGGCTGTGATTGGTGGGTACAAAGAATTGGAAAAGGAGGACACTCTGGGAACCATGAGGATGGTATTGAGTGGATGTGGTTCATCTCATTCATTCCCAGGGTGTGGGGTCACTGGTACACTCCTGGACCTTGTTGAAGCCTCATTTATCATCCAACAGCTATTCATTGAGCACCTACCACATGCTGGGGAATGTTCTGGAAAGTGGGGATGAGACACTGAACAGGTCAGACACGGTTCCTGCCCTGATGAGTTAATGTTATAGGGGCAGAGGCTGACAATAAGCAAGTAACAGAATCATGGACACAATGATTCCAGGTGGTGATGTGTGTTCTGAGGACAGTGATGCAGGGTAGCGGTAGGTAGTGTGTGTCTGTGCATGTGTGTGTAAGTGTGTAGATGTGTGTTTATGTGCAAACTTAAGTGCAGTTTGTGTGTGTGGACTTGTAAGTAGGTGTGTATGCATATATGTGAATTTGTAGGGGTATGTGTGTATCCGTAAGTGTGGAGGTGTTTGTAGGTATACATGTGTGAGTGTGTAGGGGTTTGTGTTTTTATGTGTGTGTATGTACATGAATGCTAATTTAGAAAGAATGGTCAAGGGGAGCTTTCTGGGAGTTCACAGTCAAGCTGAGGTGTTGGGGAAAAGTATTGCAGGAAGAGCAAATGGCAAGAACAAACGAGCTAAGGTGGGACCTGGGCTGGAGTGTGGAGAGAAGAGAAAATTTCATTAGAGATGTGGGAAGCAATGTAGGTGGGGCCAGGTGCTATGAGGAGCAGCAGCCTGAAGTAAAGGGTTTGGGTTTTTATTCTGATTCCCATGAGAATCCCTTGGGGTTTTATCAAAACCACATTTATTAAGGGTAATTGATATGTAATAATCTGCACATTAAGTTTGATGAAGCTTGATAAGGTTTGACACATGCACACACCCATGTAACCATCATCACAATCAAGGTTGTGAACATAGCCCATTACTCTCCAAACCTTCCTCCAACTGCATCCTCACTTGCATGACAAACAGAAAGTGCTGGCTTTTGACACCCTCCAGGAACAGCCTCCCCCGATGACTGATGGGAATTGGTGTATCAGTACCCCAACTCCCTCATCCGTGGGAGGAGGATAACTCTGAGGCCTGTGTCCTACCTGGATTCTCAGATTTCCCAGTGGGATAAAGCTCTGGTTGCCACAGAGGTAACACTTGGAAACAAATTCTTTGCTAACTGCCGCCTCATCCTGCCCCATTCTCCCTTCTCTTACCAGTGTTTCCTGGGGTCACCTACCAAATACACTGCTCGTCCTGAATCTTTGTCCCGGGCCTGCCTGTTCCTGGGAGGGCAGAAACTAAGATGACATATATTACAGGCAGACCTTGTAGGACCTAGAGGAAATTAGACATGGGGCGTGAGATGATGAGGGAGGTAATGGATGAAGTCTACAGTTTTGGGCCTGAACATGAAGGCAGCACTGCTGTAGAATCATGGATTTTATAAAAGGAAAACATTCCAGAATTGGGAAAATACCAGTAAAATCTCGAGAGTCACATTATCTAAATTCTTCCTTGGCAGCCCCAGGATGATGGGCTGTGAATATTTATCCGTCATTTCAGTAGCCCCAAACTGCAGATGCCTTCTGTGGGTCTTTTCATTCCTGCCTTATAGCATTAGAAAATCTCTCTTTCTATCATCTGTTGGCAATGGAATATTCAAATAACTTCCAATGAGCAGCATTTGTGTGTAAAATGTCCAGACACTGTCCCCAAAATAATTTCATTAGCCCCCTCATTTTCAGTCACACATGACTTTATTAAAAGATTCCTCTTAGGAATTAAATTTTCATGCTTGATTAGCACCTGATGGTGAATTCACTGCAGAATTTAGTGACATTTATTTCAGTGCTTTGTGAGTTAGCAGAGTGTGTGTTTCTGACTAGTAAATGGATTTCTTCAACTTTACTTTTGACCATGCCTGGGAATTGTCAAAGGTATTCTGGTTAATAGACAATTAAAATACTGCAATTCTTTCTATAATGGAATGTGTCAAAGGTGAAATTAGCACAGTTGGTAGGCAGGAGTGGGAAGGTGAAGAGCCTGGGGCTCAGTCTGCAGCCCCCTTCTCACCCTGGCTTTGGGCTGTCCTTAGGCAAGCTCACACAGCTGCTGCTCTCAGCAACCCTTGATTCAAGTCCATCCTGGTGTGTTTGGCAGAACAATGGCCCCCAAATATGCCCAGACCCTAATCTCTGCAACCTATAAATATGTCGCCTCACATAGGATAAAAGGCTTTGCAGATGCGATGAGGGGTTTGGACCTTGAGATAGGGAGAGCATCCTGGGTTGTCCAGGTGAGCCCAGTGTCCAGGTGAGCCCGTGTCTAGGTGAGCCCAGTGTCATCACGTGAGTCCCTAAAATAGGATAACTTTCTCAGCTGGGTCAGAGAGATGAGCCAGAAGCAAGAGAGACTGTTTGAGAACCTCACCCTATTGCTGGCCTGGAAGGTAGAGGAGGGTGCCAAGGCATGCACATGGCCCCTAGAAGTTGGGAAGGCCCTGAGCCAGCCAGCCAACGAGGAAACAGGGATCTCAGTTCGATAACCACAAGGGAATTCTGCCAGCAACCTGAGTACACCAGCAAATGATCCTCCCCTAGGGGCTCCAGAAAGGAAAACAGCCTGTGGATACCTTGATGTTAGTCCAGTGAGGTCCACATCGGACTTCTGACTTACAGAACTGCAAGAAAATATATTTGTGTTGTCTAAGCCACTAAGTTTGTGGTGATTTGTTAGGGCCGTAGTGGGAATGTAATACAGGTGGTTATGGTTCTGGAAGTAAAGGAAAGCTGCCCTTCAGCTTGCAGAGACTGGAAGGCAGCTCCACCTGAGGCCAGGAGTGTATGTGCAAGGTATTGGGTGGGGAGAGCTGACCTTAGGATGGAGAATAGAAATAGATGTGCTGAGAAGGATGCGTCCAGCTGCCCAGGAGAGAACGTTGGCAGTGCTCACCAGTATCCTGAAAGCTAGAACAGGGTGAGTCAGCCCCAAATAACCACCACTGTGAACTGGAATCCTGAGAGCGAATTACCCACTTAGCAGAGTGCTGACGCTGCCATTTGCTTAGCAAACTTGGCAGAGGATCAGCAGAACGACTTCCTAGAAATGCTGGGGCAAAGAAACAGGTTGGAAAGTGTGTGATCTGCTGAAGTGTTTTTATTTTCTATCGAGAATGTCATGTTTGTGCTTTTTGTGTCCTAACTGTGAAATGATACACTGAAAGATTGATTTTGTTAAGAAACTGTGCTTTGCTTGCTGTGATCTTCTGATATTTTTGAAAGGTTCTCAGGGAGGGGGTCATTTTTTCTTTCACTGGCAGGTCTGAATCACACACTATTATTTATAGAGTAGTTGGGCAATTTCTCTCAGCTTCTCTGGTGATCACCAGCTGTACCAGCTCTGGTATGGATCCTAGAACATTGTCTGTGACCTGTGGCAGGTGACGACTTCCTGGAAAGAGCCCACATTGAGTTCTTATGATGATTTGGAGCCTGTGTACCAGTCTGTGTCTGTGACAAGGACATGGCGGAATGGTTCTGGGAACCTGGGCCCGTCCTCCACTTCTCTGACATTCACTCTTTCACCTGATCTTTCCTGAGTGTGGATTGTTGGCCAGGCCCTCCCCTGGGTGCTGGGTATGAGCATCAGTGGGAAGATCAAGTCCTGCAAATCAGCTCACATGTCAGAGACTCGGGGAGCAGAGACAGTGGGATGGTGCAGGATGAAGTCGGCACCATCTGAATACAGGGGGAGGAGGGTATTTTATTTTGACTTTGCCCCAGTGTTATAAATTAGGTTCTGCAGTGGAATGAATGTTTGTGTCTCTTTAAATTCATAAGTTAAAATCCTAACCACCACCACGGGGATGGTATTAGGAGGTGGGGCCTTTTGGGGAGTGATGAGGTCATGCAGGTGGAATCCTCATGAATGGGGTTAGTGCCCTTCTAAAAGAGACCTCAGCAAGTTTCCACCGTGCAAGGGAATGGTGAGAAGTCTGCTGTCTGCAACCTGGTAGAGCCCTCACCCTGCTGGCACCCTGATCTCATACTTCTGGCCTCCAGAACTGCGAGGAATATATTTCTGTTGCTTATCCACCCAGTCTGTGATATTTTCTTATAGCAACCTGAGCTAAGACAGAGATCCTGGAGAGATGTTCCTTTGCATTTGGGGTCAGTTAAGTTTGCTTTGTATGAGCGAGTGTGAGAAAGAGAAGGCAAAGAGGAGGGAGAGAAAGCTGCTATTGGCTGACACAAGAGCTTGAGGGAACACTAGGGAAGGCTGAGCAATTTCAGCTCTCACTCAGGGATAAATCAAAAATTACCTAAAGTGAGTTGATGGAAAACTCAGGAGATTTTTCTTCCAATTGGTAGGCAGAGGAAATGGGGTATAGAAATGAAACAGATGTTCTGACTAAATGTTAATAACCCATAGGCATGTGTGAAAGGCAAGATTGTATAAAATCAAAAAATCAATTTTAATCTAAAGGAAAAAATGCAATGATAGTTCCTGTTGCTGTCATTCTTCTAAGGTCTAGGTTGAAGCATTAGGACCAGAGTGATAAGAAAGACAGGTTAATGCAGCCAGGAGAGGAATAAAAATGTACATTCAACAGGAAGAAATATTTGCATCCAGGGTCCTAGTAATGAGACAGATGAGAAAGTATTTGATAAAAGCCTTCAAATGCAGTGCTTTATTCACAAAAGCCTTGGAACAAGGCATGACAAATTAAATAATTATTTCTGCATCCTTTACTGCAGAGTCCATCTTGTGAACTTGAAGTTAATAACCACAGCATTTATTGTGCACCTACTGTGTGGCAGGCCTTGTGCTAAAGGCCTTAGATGGATTATCTCATCTAATCCTTGCCTAGTGAGGTACGTTCTGTTATCATCCACATTTTACTTGAGGAAACCAAGGCACAGAGAGGGTATAGAGTTGACAAAGGCCATGCATCCGGCAGAGGCCACACATCCGGCAAAGGAGAGAGCCAGGATTCCCACACAAGTGTGCCCCACTCCAAGTTGGGTCCTTAATACCCAGAATGTGGCACAGTGGGATGGTGACACACAATATGTGGGGGCTATAAAAATATGGACAATGCAGTTGAACCATATATCACTCAGGGATTACGTTTACACTCAGGGCCTTTAAACAGCACCATTGCCTGGCATTGGAGCAGATTGCATTGTTTTCTGTCTAGTATCAGATGAAGTAGCTTCCTTTTTGTAGGGCCATTTTGAATGAAAAACTTCGTTTTAAACATCAAGACCAGCTTCTGAATGGTGAGATGTTCACCCCCTGGAGAGACAGATGAGGGGACAGCTCCTCTCCACTTGGGGGATTGGGCTCGTCCCTCAGCTCCTCGCCATTTGGGGGATTGGGCTCCTCGACTTGAATTAGCTGAACAGTTCAAATTACATTCTCTCTCTCTCTCTCTCTCTGTGTTTTTGGGTATATACATTTGGACTTACTAATCACATGAGTGTGGCAGGATCCCTCTGTGTACCATATAATAATAACTTAGTGGAAGGTTCCTTGGTTGATATTCACATAGCAACCCCCCAACACTGACTTTCTGTTCCCTCTGCACATGCTGACCACAGCCCAGGGCATGTGACCATGTATGGGGTCAGTCCCTCTCCATTCCCAGCCACGTCTCTTCCTACCAGGGAGGGTACTGGTTGGCCAGGAGTCAGCATGCCTAATTCCTAAGTTTTGCTTATGCCGGTTGTGTGTGTTACTGAATTTAGGTGCTTTAATAAAGCATCATATGTCAATGAGATAAGAGGGCAAAATAGGGTTATTTCTATGAAACCTAAATTGAAAGCAGTAGGTTTACTTAACAGACATACTAAAAAAAATTCTTTTGTCTTAAATGTAGTTGAAGCAACTGTAGAGAACTAGGTATAATTACTGGAGGATTTTGTACTGGAATTATAGGTTTAGTTGCTTTGTTGAAAAACACAAACAAAAACCTCTAAAACTCTGATTCCTGAGTACCATACTGTGGCTGTGGTTGATGGAAGAGAAAGTGAGTAGACTTCTAGTTACGAAACCCATACTGAAAACATTGACAAACAATTGTACATTTCCATGCATTGTGTGAAAATATTTTTAAGAAGTATAGATCTTATTTTTTTCATGATTCGCCACTTTCCCCAACTTTATTCAGTCAACCAACTAAAGAGACGTCTATTCTGATAGGAAGCTCATAGGCAGGAAAGAGAGAGTCTTACTTAAAGAACTGAGATTCATGTGTCCTTTATGCTTTGACCTTTAATTCTGTTAAGCTCAACACTGGGTGACCTCTGACTCCTCCATCATTCCAGTGAAATGGGAAAAGTTCCCTTGTTCCCCTCGCAGGTGCGTGATGAGGGGGTGCTCGCTTCTGCAGTGCCCCGCTGCTCAAACCTCTAGGGTAGCATACAGTCAGGCAGACTGTGGGGCTCCAACCCCACGGCAGTGTCTGGGGTGAATGTTTACAGCTGAAGCTCCAGTGGGCATGTGTTTCAGGGTGCTCTTTTAGTTTAGGTGTCTGTAGGTGGCTTGTGGTGGTCAGCTCAGTTAGACCCCTGCCTTATCGCAAGGACAGAGGGCTTTCTGTATCCCAGGGTTCTTGCCTTGGTGTACCAGAAGAATCAAATCACATACGGTCTTAGAGAATGAGTGCAAGGTTTTATTGAGTGGAAGTAGCTCTCAGCAGATGGGGGAGCCAGAAGGGAGATGATTTTCCCCTGGAGTTGGGCCGCTTGGGGTCTGGGCTGTCCTCCAACTGCCCCAGCCAAACTCCACATCATTCTGCCGGTTGGTGGCCTGTGGCTTGCTGGTGCCTGTCAGTGCGTCCCTCTCGACGTCCAGCCACCCGTGTGTTCCTCCGCGGATGTGCTCCTCTCGACGTCCAGCCACTTGTGTGTCTGCCTTGCTAGGGTCTTGGGTTTTTATAGGCATAGGATGGGGGCATGGCAGGCCAGGGTGGTCTTGGGAAATGCAACATTTGGGCAGGAAATGCCTGTCCTCACCTAGTTCCATGGGGCCAGGGACCATGCCCTCCTCTACCCAGCACTTTCCCACTTCCATATCATTTAAAGGGACCATGCCCTTCCCTGCCCAGCACCCGACTGCCATATCACCAACAGCTCTGCCGTCATCTTCCCCCTCCCCATCCCTGGTTTCCATCTTCATGGCTCCCACTTGTCTCCAGACTTACTGTCCACTCGCCTGGGTGATGCTGCGACTTCCCCCTCTGTCCACTCCCTTCTCTTTCTCTCCCCAACCCCATCCATTCCACCCTCCACATTATTGAGACATGGCTCACTTTACCCAAACCTAGTAAGGGAGTGAGTGCATGGGCAGATGAGGGGAGCCCCCAGCAGTCCCTTAGCATCCAGCACCACCCCAGGCGTCCACTGTGGCTCAGTCCCAGCAGGCATCTCTTCCACCCACTGTCCCTGCTCTTCAAGTCTGATCCGTTCATTGCACACGGAGGGTCTCCAGGCCCCTGGATACATCCTGCCAGAGCCTGAGACACACCAGCTAGAGGTCTCCGGTTCATGCAGGAGATGTCAGATGGTTGTTCTGCTGTTCCTGAGAGTGGCTGTGGGGATGGACTCACTGTGTTCACCACAGCCCCGCCCACAACACGCAGCAGCTGAGAGCCCCAGCATGCCCAACACCACTGGCCTCTATCTTCCTTCCTTCCCTGAATTACTGGGCTCATTTTTTTTGAGCATGGAGAAATGATTTGCCGTTCAAATACGGAAGAGTATTTCCTTCACCCTGCTTCAGGCAGGCAGGCAGGCAGGCAGACAGACCCCACAGACCCCAATCCTGAGGCTTCCTCCCCACCCTGGGCACCTGTATTGCCAACAGCATTTGCGTTGGTTGAGGGCAGACCCTTTAAAAGTGCCGTGCATGGACAGTGGATTCTTGTTGAATGCTGGGGCCAAGAACACTGACCACACCAGCAGAGAAGGCACTGGCAAAGAAACCAGACTTCTGAAGGAGCCGCGCATGTGGACACAGCAGCACAGACTCAGCTTGATCTCCAGAACGCTTCTTCTGGGAGGACCCCTGCCTCTGTATGGGAGATGCCTGGGAGCGTCCATGGGCCAGATCCACTGGTGTCACCGTGCCTCGCTGGGCTGGCCCAGGAAAGTCATTTTAGTTTTGTGTTGAAAGGGGGTGGGGCATTGGGGAAACTTCTGGGCAGTTTTCTCAGGGCCGCAGCCTTGGATTTGGGTATCATATTCTGAAATGACTGGAATGGTCAGGAAAGCTCTCTGAGAAGGTGATATTTGGGCTAAGGCCTGCATAGAGATGTGGGGGGAGAATATTCTAGACCAAGGCCATTGGGATGGGCCGAGTTCAGGCCCATCTTCTCTGAGTTCAGGGTTTGGGTGAAGCTGTCGTGGGCGTTTTATGGCCTCTAATGGTCCCTGTGAGCGCCCTTCCTATGGGCACACATCCCTCATGGTGTCTGTCACAGTTCCAAGGGGGAAACCAGACTCTATTTCCCAGCATCCCTTGCGGCCAGGCCCCTCATGTGACCTGAGCCCCCTCATGTGACTCAGGCTTAACTAATCAGAAACCTCCCATGAGCCTTTGCCCAGGAAAAGAACTGGAGGAAGATGGCAGCTGTGTGGATCCCTGTGTGGGCACTGGGGCTGGCAGGGCTGGTGGACTCAGCGGGAGTGGGAAGGAAGAAGGTTGATGTCCCCTCCCGGGGCCAGCAGAGTGAGCTGTGGGGTCAGGTTGAGTGGCCTTCCTTGGAGCAGCCCTTGTTGTGGGCTGGACATTTGTAGCCATGGAGTCTTTGCCCCCATGAAGCGTCGGGACCTTCCTGATGTCCACACTGGCCCCAAGGAATTCGCTGCCTCTGGGTCTTGTTGGAAATGCACTATCTCATATCCCAGCCAGACTTGCTGAGTCGGGGTCTGCATTTTATCAAGACCCCTGGGGATTTGTGTATAATGGGAGTCAGAGAAGTGTGATCTGTAATGAGCTACTCCTGCTTAATGCAGCTGGACGGGTGGTCTTCTGTGGTTACAGCAAAGAACCCGATGATGCAGAAGCCATGGGAGGGATGTGACCAGGGAGTGAGATGATCGGGTTCATCCTTTATCCATCCTGCTGCTGGACTGCAGACGGGCGAGACAGGCCAGCACGTATCCAGAGAAAACACATCTCTGACAAGACAAACATGCAAAACCTGTGAAAAGACCCAGACACACACACCTGCAGGTGAAACTTAGACACACATGCACACACACACAAACCCAGAAACAACCGTCTACACAGGCGCACAGAACCACAAACACACAAGCAGGGGTGGGGTGACTTCACCCCAGAACATCCCCTTTCTTATTTCCCTGGATCTGCAAGAAGGAGCCGAGCCTGCCTGACTTTGGTCCCTCACTCACCACTAGACCTTGAAAGTGAAATTGAATATCCACAAGCCCGTGACCTTGGGGTTCTGGAGAATGGGTCCTGTAATGAGTGTCATGGCTCCAGGCCAGGTGAAATGTAGGCGTTCCAGCCTCTGTCCGGGAGGGTCACTCGGCCCACTTGCTGAGGGCCGCAGATCCATGTGGCTCAAATGCTAATGGCTTTTCAGCTGGGGCTGCTAGAGCCCAGTGCAGGACCATGGGCAGTGTGTTTGCTGGAGGCACTTTTGCCCTCGACAGGACATTGCGGGCAGGCTACCTGCTGCGACCCAGGTTAGCACAATGTGATACGTGCCATTTGTGCAGCAGCAGGGGACTGGGCATAGAGACAGGGGACATCAGCCTGTGCCCGTGATCCAGCTGTAAACACAGATTTATACCCAGGCCAAATCTATCCACGAATACATTTCAAAGGAATAAAATCACATTAGAGGGATAGTAATTGTGTAATATATTGCACTTGAAATTAGAATTCTATGAAATCTCATTATTTATGTCTAGACTAAAAGAGATTGAGTTTTGGTTATTGAACTACATTTCCTGTTGCTCTGATGAGGAATGATGCTTCTCTAAGAGCCGACTGTCTCATTCCTGAAGCGTGGTGTTTTCAGAGCAGCACCACGAGGGGCTTCTGGAAGTCTCTTGGACTCAGGGTTGGTCTGGAGGGACATTGGGGCTGCCCTGGCCTGCTTGTCCTCAGGCCCCTTCATCCCCCTTCCCACGAGTCTCTGGGCTCACCCCGGTAGGCCACATTTCCCAGGCTCTGACTGGGCTGGTGTCTGCCTGGATTAGTGGTGGGGGGCTGTGGTGGAGGGTGGGGGCAGGAGGACCCAGGGCGCCTCCCTCTGCAGTGGCTGCATCTCCCCCATGGCTTCAGTCCCCGCTGTGGCCTGTTGAGCTGGGGACCCTACTCCCTCTCATGGTCTACCCCAGGGTCAGTGACAGGTTGCTGTGCTGGCTGATCCTCACCTCACAAGCTGCCTTTTGCCTTCTCAGCTTTCCATGCAAATCCCTGCATTGTCCCTTCATGGTGAAGCACCTGCAGTGACCCCTCTTTCCTTGGACCGTGGTGCAGACATGCCCCTCACCAGGACACCCAGGCCTTTACCCCACCCATTTCGTCCTCCTCTCATCCTCACACACCCTCTGCCATGGTGCCCAGACTCCCTGCTGTCCTGCACACCAGCCCCAGCACCTTCGCTCCTGCTGCCTGCTTGTCTGGAGTCCCCACCATAGAAACATCCCCTCTGTGAAGTCCCTGCTCACATGTCATCTCCGGAGACCACTCCCGAGCCTCCCACCTGCAGATAGCATCTGCTGGGACCTTCCAGAGCCTTTTTCTGTCCCCACTTGAGTGCTCAGCAAGAGTGCATCTTGCAGTAGTCAAACGTGTTCATTTGCATTCATTCTTTTATTCATCAATTATTCACCAAGTATTCACTGATGCTGACTGTGTGTAAATCACTGTGATACAGCAGGGTAATCAGGAGTTTTTCCATTGTAAGTGACGGAAAGCCCAACTCAAATTGGCTTCAGTAAGAAGGAAAGTTTTTTGACATATAACAATCCATAGGTATGTCAGCTTCAGGCATGGCTGAATCCAGGAGAGCAACTTAGGTCTCTGAAGGCTCTTTACACCTCTTGGCTCTACTTCATGTTGGTGATGAGCTGCAACAGTGTAATGAGAATTTATTTGCACTTCTAAGTGGCAGAAATCTCTAGAATTGGCTTAAACACCATTGTTTGTTGATGCAAATAACCACTCAGGGATAGTTTATCTTCAGGCATGGCTGGATCCAGGAGATCTCCGTAATTCTCTCCTGTTGCCTCTTACTGTGCTTCCTCTGTATTGGCTGCTTCCTCAGACAGAATCCCTCACTGTGGTGTCAAGATACCTTCTAGGGGTCGTGAGGCTTGCATCTCAGCCTCTCAGGAACCCTGCTGGAAGGGGAGGTGCTTGATTTCTCCAGTCCTTCAAAACCAGAGTTTCAAATTTTAGTTTCCTTGTCTCCCAAAGGTCTGGTTTTGGCCACACATCCATCTGTGTTCCTATAATTGTGGCCAGGGGAATGCAGGGTTTTGATTGTGCCTGACTCACAGGCCCAATGAACCAAGCATACATTTCAGGCAAGTCAAATATATGTGTGTAAACAATGAAAGATCATATATATTCAATTCAAAATTTGATTTTGAGAAAATTGTAGATTCATGTGCTGTTGTAAGAAGTAATGCAGGACCTTTTGCAACTTTTACCCAGTTTCCCCAGTAGTAACTTCTGGCAAAATGATGGTCCAATATCACAGCCAGAGCATTGCCAGTGAGGCCTTGTCGGGTGGAAAAGTGGCAGCCATCCCAGCCAAAATGTCAGCAGATAGATCTCCGTTGTGTTGTCAGATGCGTCATATGCTTCTGTGCATGCATCAGTGTGTTTGTAAGACCACTGCACAGGGTGGCAGAGGTTCGCCACAGAGGCCACAGGTTACAAGGGTTTCGTGAGGTGTGGTTAGATTGGAGGAGTTATGCGTTAGCTTTAGAGGGGAAAATGTTCTTACATGGGTGTAAGAAACTGAAAATTAGTTTCCCAAGATGGTGGACCAGGAATATGTTCATGCATCTCTGTGTAATTAAAATTAGTTTTTAAATAGAAATAAAATAGTGTCCATTTCCCTGAAGGCAGAATGTCTCTTATCTAGTGTGATGTTTGTCACATGAGTGGCAGACAGTGTATGATTTTATCGAATCTCCTCAGTAGATTGCTGGAAAAATTTTCCAACACAATAAGGTTAACAGCTTCTTTATTATAGCTTTATGTAATTGCAGCATTTTATTAATGACATAAACCAGCATGAACTCTCAGTCTATAAACAGTCCCCTCCCTGCCTATAGCAGAGAACGCCCTCCCTGTGGTTAATGGGGATGTATCCCTGGCTTCAGAAGGGAGGAGCTATCCTCAGAGGGTGGTCAGTTCCTCAGATCCTGGTCGTGCAGGCAGTGGGTGCTGTTGCCCTGTCCTGGGAGGGTGAAAAGTTAAGGGTGCTTTTCTACAGGGCAGGGGAGAAGGGAATACATGTACAAGATGCAGCATGCACAGCCCCTGTTCCAGGATCTGCAGTGGTTCCCTACTGACATTCATGACGGAAGAATTACAGGCGGAGGGGAGGGAAGGCCATGTGAGCATCATTTCTCTGGTGTGTGTGTGTGTGTGTGTGTGTGTGTGCACGTGTGCCAGATGCTGACTCAGTGTGTTTTATGCATCTTCTGATATGTATTTAAGGTCATCCTGTGGCAAGGTATGATGATTATCCCCATTCTACAGAGGCGGGATCTAGGCTCAGCTCCTGATAGTGGGGCCTGCATCCACACCCAAGTCTAATTTAACCAGAGCCTGTGCCTCTTGCCACAGCCCTGTAAGGCCTTAGTACAACATTGGTTCTAGCTTGCGAGCAGGTTGCCTGAGTTCATGGATGGGACGTGGGTGCCGAGTGCATGCCCTGTTTTTCTGTTGCCTCGGGGAAATGAAAGGATATAGATGGGAATGGAGTTGAGGATGGAGGTCTGGAAGGCAAAGGGGGAGGAGTTCAAGCATTTTATTCTGATCTCCTTGTTATTCCCCAATATTACCATTATCATCATCATCCTCATTATCACCATCTTGCCCACCATTGTCATTGTCATGGTCACTGTTATATTGTCATTCTCTTCATTATCATTCTGTTATTTACCGTCAACATTATCATCATTATCTTTGTCATCATCAAGATCTCCTTCATCACTATTAACTTCACCATCATCATCACTATCACCATTACCATCATCACCACCATTACCATCATCACCACCATTACCATCATCACCACCATTACCATCATCACTATGACCATTACCATCATCACCACCATTACCATCATCACCACCATTACCATCATCACTATGACCATTACCATCATCACCACCATTACCATCACCACCACCATTACCATCATCATCGTCATCATCACAGTCACCCCTTCCTCCTTTCTTTTACTAAATGTCTTTTCTTTTTTTTTCTTTATTTTACTTTATTTTTATTTTTTTTGAGATGGAGTCTCACTCTGTCACCCAGGCTGGAGTGCAGCGGTGTGGTTTCGGCTCACTGCAGCCTCCCGGTTCAAGCAATTCTCCCACCTCAGCCTCCCGAGTAGCTGGGATTACAGGCACCCGCCACCACACCTGGCTAATTTTTGTATTTTTAGTAGAGACAGAGTTTCACCATGTTGGCCAGCCTGGTCTCGAACTCCTGACCTCAGGTGATCCACCCATCTCGGCCTCCCAAATGTCTTTTCTATATGTCATTGATTTATTTGAGAAAGTGAGGTCATTTTTCATTGTGTGTTGATTCACTTGTTTTTTTTAATTTTATTTAATTTATTTAAAAATGTTTTTATTGAGATACGGTTTCACTCTGTCACCCAGGCTAGAATGCAGTGACTCCATACTGGCACCCTGCAGCCTTCACCCTTTGGGCTGAAGCAGTCCTTCCCCCTCAGCCTCCCAAGTAGCTGGGACTACAGACGCTACCATGCCTGGCTAATTTTTTTGATTTTTATTAGAGATGAGGTCTCTCTATGTTGCCCAGGCTGGTCTCAAACTCCTGGACTCAAGAGATCATCCTGCTTTGGCCTCAAAAAGTGTTGGGATTGCAGGCATGAGCCTCGGTGCCCAGCCCTCTTTTTAAAAATATATATGCACTATTCGGAGATTTACAAAGGGAATATGTTCAGATAGGGTGAAATTAAAACTAGATAATTTTTTGCCTAAAATAGCAGAAGAAAAAATCTGGTCACTCACTCTCACTAGTAGTATTTTGATAGCTCTCCTTCCAGTCTTAATTTAATGAAATGATATTCAAATAATTTTTTCACCAAGTAGGAGAGAAGGCAGTCCATGATATTTCACAACCACCCTCCCTCACTGGGTGATATGTCATAACACATCATGCCATATCATGCCACTGTGGTCCTTGTACATTTGCTTCGTGATAGGGAATCCTCAACTGTGACTCTGGCCAGCCCCTCCCAGTTGTCCTCATGGCTGGTCAGTGGGACAATCCTCTGTTCCCCACCTCCCTCTTTCCATCTTCATCCCACTATTCCTTGATCATCAGCTCCTGACCTACACCTTCCAGGGGACCCTTGCTCCCTTGTCCTCTGGGATCCTCCTCCTCACAGGGGGTTTACAGCCCTTATGTGATCTCATCCCACACCCTCGTCACACATGTCCTGAGGCGCTCCCACTCCAGACACTGGGCTGGGTATTGGGGACATAGGGACAGCCCAGCTGACATTATTTGACCCCTTACAGGCACCAGGAATTTACTTGTCTAATCCCCTGCATTTTCACAGCAGCCCTATGAGGTGTGTTCTGTTATGTTCCTGAATTGAACATAAGTAAAGTGAGGTAGAAGTTGCACAGTGAGCAAGAGGAGAGGCCGGACTTCACCCCAGGCCATCAGAATCCAGGGTTGAGCTCCGAAGTCTCATGCTAGTCCATGGCCCGAGCCTGGGAGGAGGTCACCCCGTGTCAGAGGACCCTTCCCCTGTCCCTGTCTTGTGTCGTGAGGAAGGCCAGACAGGGCCCTAAGTGCTCTGAGCAGCTGGAACTCGTTGGGATACAAGTGACAGAAAAGCCAACTTTAACCAGGGGATTTCGGATTCAAGCTCCTGCACAGTCCAGGGCTACCGCTGGCTCCTGCAAGACTGGGTTCAGGCTCCATGGCGCCATCAGGGCCCGATGCCTCTCTCCCCACACCACTGTCTCCTTGCTCCTTTCACGTTGACTCCTTTCTCTGACAGGCTCCTCCTTCATGGATGTAAAATGGCTGCAGCCCCTCCGGACCTCACATTGTCTCAGCTTCAGGTCCACTGGGAAGCCACCTGCCTCCGTCCCAGCATTCCCTGCAATCATCTCATTGGATCTCACTGGGTCGGATTGGGTCACATGTCCATCCCTCAGCCAATCACAGTGGCTGGTGGAATAAATGCCCTGATTGGCTTAGGCTTGGGGAAGTCACACGGTCTTGCCTGAGGAGTTCTGGAGCCTTTTCCAAAAGACAAGTCTAAGAGCAGGAAGGGCCCCCTCAGCAGAGATGCACTGGCGTGGGCTCACCAGGGAGAGGGAAGAGACAACGCTTGGCACAGCCCACAGCACGGCTGCTCATAAACACTCACAGCCCCTCCGTGTCAGAGGACCTTCCCCACCACTGACATCAGGCTGGGCCATGCGACTGCCTTTGTCCATAAAACTGGAGAGGAAGTGAGGGGCGTGGCTTCTGGGCAGCAGCTTTAGTGCTTCATGAGTTATTCGTCACGTTCTCTCTCCCTCCCTCTGAGCAGCAGGAAGTGCAGATGGCGAGGACGAGACGCCCAGCCAAGGGACAATGGACGAAGAGCGTGAGCGGGGGCGAGCCTTTCCCTTCGTGAGCAGCTGGGATCGGGGATGTTTGTTACCGCAGGGCAGCCTAGCACGTCCCGGCTGGTTCCCACTTACACACACAGTGCGCGTTTGTCACGGACCAGGACCTGGGCATCTCTGGGGCTTGTTTCCCTACAGAGCCAAGTCTGCAGGGCACCCAACAAATAACCCCCAAGTCACTGTTCACGCTGCTCCTGCTCCCCCGGGCTCTGGGTGGCTCCTTCCCCCTCCAGAGCCTCCGGAGCCGCCCGTGCTCCTTGCTCCAGCCTGAAGCACCCAGGAGGACCCAGCAGCAGGTCAGGAGCAGTGACAAGCTCCTGAACCGTGGAAATGAGTCTGGTTTCGATCGATTTCCTCGGGGTCTCTGCGATATCCTCGGGGCCTCTGGGCTTGGGTGTGATCAGTTTCTGCCCTGGATCAAATAGCTGGAGGGGAGAGCTGGCCTCAGATGTGCACTGGCGGCCAGAATGTTCCCCAGAGTCACACAGGGCCAGGCCTGCAATGCAGCATTTGCTCAGCGGCTGACCCATTCTGTGCACTAGGAGGCTCCTCGCTCTCAGAAACAGTCACTCCTCCCTCCCACGTGACGCAGCCTGTGCATTTTCAGGTGAGGGACGGCCGGTGTCATCGTTGGAGCTTCCTAAGAGTCCCAGAGGCTGATGCACCTCCCAGACTCTCCTCGGCCCGGCTCCCTGGGCCCTGCTCCAGGGGCTTCATTGCTCCCTGCCCCGGGTCACCCCTCGGCTCACCGTCTCTCAGGTAGGCGTCTTCACATCAGATTTGTGGCTTTTCTGTTAAAATCCTTCACAAACTGGCTGTGCCCTGGTGGGCGGGGCCCAGGGCTGAGCAGGGGCGGCTCCAGGGTCAGATGGACTCGGGCTGACTCGGGCTCCACCAATTCTGAGTGTGGGAATCGGGGACCCTTCTACCCTCGCTGAGCCTCAGTCTCCTCATCTGTAAAATGGGGATAAGGGCGCCTGCCTCCTGGGACATGCTGGGGAGTCAGCTTAGCCCCGGGACCCATGGGCACTCACTCAGGTGTTGCTGTTACCTTGCTGCTGGTGAGATGGAAGGAGCAGCCGATTCGCGCAGAGAAGGAAGCAAAACGCTCTCTCGTGGTTATGGGCATCTTGCAGTTGATCTCACAGGGACAGGCATTTCCTGTTGGGAAGGATGTGGCTCTACTGGGCTCTGCTGTGAACCTGGGTGAACCTCGTGGCCTCTCAGCTTGGAATGTTGAGGATTTTAAACCCACTTGGATGTTTCACCCTTGGCTGTCCCAGGAAAATTCTTTTTTTCCTTTAATTTTGGCAAATAGCTACTGTAAAAAGCCAAGAGTTAAATGTATGTTCCCCTTATCTCTTATACCAGCTCGCTGCCCCTTGGGGTCTTCAGTGGGAAGCCCAGACCTGCTGTCCTGAGGCTATATCTGGGTGAGGAGCCCGGGAGCGGCCGTGCATGCCTGAGCTCCCATTGGCGTAAATGGGGACACAGACAGGCGCCCCGTCCACCTGTCCTGTCCCTGCTAAGTGTCGGCCTCCTCGCTGAGTGGGGCCCCATCAGTGGCTTTTCAGATGAGTCAGGGATGCTCCAGGCAGAGCTGCTGTCACTCCAGGTGGAGCCCTTGTCTGCGGGGAGCTGCCCCTCCTCGGGTGCCTGGAGAGGGCACGTATGTGCGGGGTGGTCAGTGTGGCTCAGGCCTCCACACTACCTGCCCCTGCTTCCCTCCTGCTGAGGCCGGGTGGACTCTGGGGGAAGGGACCCGTGCTCATGGGTTCACGGACACAGAGCAGGATGTGGGGCCAGAACATGAAATCCCTGCACAGACCCCTCGGTTCTTCCCACAGATCCTGTTTTTCATGCCCAAATCACCTGGACACACTTCTGTTGCCCCGGCTGGTTCCCAAAGTGGCCCTGATCCCCCCATCCAGGGCACTATCCTTACCACGTGCCTCTTCCCCCTGGCCAGCCCCCATCCCTGCCCCAGCCCACAGCTGCCCTGCCCAGGGGACTTCAGTCCCAGATCCACAGCGGCTCTTGGGAGTCTCGCTGGGAAGGCATGGGTGGGTCACTCCCATTTCCCACCATTCCACTGGAGCCTTCCTGGTTGATTCTGAGGTCCAGACCCCTGTCTCCTCATCTAGATGGGGACACCGAGGCTTCTGGGAGGTAGACAGTGCTGGGGGAACCATCAGGAGATCAGCAGCCAGGCCTGGACTCATGTGTTCTGGGACAGACTGGGGCCCTCCTGCCTGGCCTCTGGGGCCTCTCAGTCCAAGTCTGCAGCCACCTGTGGTCTGGAGGGCCACAAAGCTCATGGTTTGCAATCCCAGCCATTTCTTTTCTAAATCAGTAAATCCTGACCTCTGTGGACACCGCCATCACTGCCAAAATCAGGTCAAAGGCAGCTCCCTTGTGCACAGAGCAGGTCCACTTCTGCTGCTGACAGGTGGGAGTCCCGATGCCCTGGGGTCCTATCAGCCACACCCCTGTCTTCACCGCAGGGCTGTGTGTGCACCCCTCACTTTGCTGATGACCAGAGGCTCCCCGGACACGGAAGCCAGATATCACCATGCTCATCCCTAGAGCAGCCGTGCGGGGCATGGAGCAGCAGAGCTCAGAGCTTATGCAGGGCTGATGCGGGGAAGCTGGTCTCCCCATGCTGCAGTCCCCATGGGGGAAGGAGCTCACCTGAAGGGGGTGCTCTCATTGGCTGGGAGCCTCCACTGACTCCACAGCACTCTCCTGACTTGTGCCAGATGCCTTTGAAACAGTCACTGGGCTGAAAAGTGACCAGAGCATGGGGTCGAGCTGTGAAGATGAGTTGGCCCTGGTTGTGGACGGTGAGGGAGGGAGCAGCGCTGGCCTGGGCTCTGGCAGCCCTGCTGAGTCCATCTCCCTGAGGATGAGCCGGGCTGGGCCGGGGCTGGCACTCCGTGATGTGGAACGGGGTGTGTTGGGGGAGCCTTTGCTGGGAAGGACTCCTGCTGAGAGGAGCCGTGTGTCGTGGAGGCTGTGGTTCCGAATCTCTCAGTGGGTGTGATTCTCTGCTTATTCGAATTAACTAAACTGTAAATCATGCCTGCCACATCCCATTCCCATTGGTTTCCGTGGATTCGCTGCTCATTTCTTGTTAGAAAGTGCTGTGGGCATCAGGAGTAGCTCAATAAGCAAAATGAAGCAGGTGCGGCAACTTCAGACAACCGAGTGTCCGCTGGGCTCTGCCTGCAGGTGTCTCCTTTTCATGAAACCAATTTGGCCCTGGTCAGCCCATTATGATAGGGAGGGTGGGGTTCGCTCCTGGGGATGGAGGGGCCGGCTCTGGGAGGATGAACCGAGGCACAAACAAGATGACATGGCTGTGCCAGGTGTTCCTGCCCAGGTGCCTCTGACATTGCAGGTGCCACGCTGCGTGGTCCTGCTCCATCCACGTCCTCCATCCCAGGACAGATGCTCTTCTCTGTTCAAGCCCAGAGGGGACAAAGTTCACCGTGACCTCATTTCCCTTTAATGCTTGGGCAGTTTCCTTCCTAAAGCACGTCTTGGCGTGGCTACACCACTCAGGGGCCTTCGCCTGTCTACAGCTCCAGGGAGGTATGGAAAAGTGTGACCACGGGCACAGCAGGAGCTCTGGGAGAGCAGGAGCAGGCCCTGGCAGCACCGCTGGCCCCGTCCTGCCTCCCCTGCACCACTGTCTCCTCTCCTGACTCCTCCTCCGCCTCTGTCGTGGCTGCGTCCCCTCCCCTCTAGATGTTCCCAGGAGCTCCCGGCTCAAGGGAACTCCTCCCTAAGCCCACATTCTCTCCTGGCATGTCCTTTAGTTCTCCTCCAGTTTACAGCCACACTTTTCCAATCTCTTAAATGATGGGTTTTAAAATTAATTTTCACCAGGAAGAATATGCTGGGATTTTAAATGAATGTCCTCTTTCTCTAACAACTACCACTTAGACAGGAATCTCCATGTTCCCTGTGGGCAACCCCGTCTTCTGTGAACCTTCCAGAGATATGTTAAACACATACAGAAACACGGAGATGTTTGTGTTTTCTAAGATAATATAGCACAGCATGGACTTGTCTTCTTCAGAATTTTTTTTCATTGTTTTCCTTCCCCTACTGGTTTTTAGGATGGACATTCTGCATCTCTTGTCGCTTACCTTTTGACAAGTGCGTTTAATTCATTACACTTTCATTAATAGCCATCTCTGCCTCCTTTCTGAATTATGATTATTAATTTCAACTATTGCCCTCTGGCTGACAGGCTGTTAACATACAGTCTTCTAGCTGGGTTTGGTTTTATTTCCTCTGTCGATATTATTATTTAATAATTATTTACTATTGTACCATATACATCATTTTCTTTTCTCACTGTAACTTACTGTATTTCAAACTGCTTCTCAGTAAATTGTCTTCTTTATGCATTTCCTTCAGGAATTCTAGTAGGGAGAGGGTCCCTGGAGTTAATCCCTCCTTTTTCTGTATCTTTGAAAACAGTTCTAGTCTCATCTACCCCTCATATTTCCTACTTTCCATCTGGCCCTGTTCAGAAACGTGTGGCTCCCTCCGGGATCCCGGGAGATGGTGTCCTCCTAAGAGGTTGACCTGGAGTCACCTTGTAGGGCCTGTTCCTCCCCAGGCGCCCCTCAGGGACATCTCAGCTCCTCTCTCACCACCACCTGTAAATAGCCCTCTGTGGGGGCTGTGATAGATCCAGCTCATGGCTACAGGGCTTCACCCCTCCCTGTGGAGCCCCCACCCTCTGCCCTTGGCTTTGGGCTTGAGCCTGGGAGTGGCTCTGGCCAGCAGAAAGGGATGGAGACGGTGCAGAATCCCTCAGGCTTCCCGTGTCCACGTCCCTGGCTCCTCACCACACCGGAACAGGACTCCCGCCAGCAGCTGGGGAGACCGTTATCTAGTGCATCCTCTGAAGGCAGCAGGCTGCTGTGGGCTGAGGCGCTTTTTAGACACTTAGGAGATAATTCACAACTCATCAGGAACACCGCATCACTGCTTATGGGTGTCTCACGACTGCAGTAGGGAAAATAGGTCTCTTATCAGAAGATTAAGGAAGAAAGATTTTCTCCCTACAGACTCCTCCTGAGGAGCCATGCACATGGCGTTTACTCCCAATGGGCGATGGGATTTTCATCAGCTTTTATGTTCAGAAGGCAGGGCACACCTGGAAGCTGTTGTCGAGGGATGGCCTGATTGAGCTCGTGAGGCCCTGGGCGTGCGGGTAGGGTCCGTTCCTGATCAGGAGCGTTCTCAGCGTCGTGAGCAGCACAGGGCTCAGAGGCTCAGAGGTCCCCAGGAGGCAGGCCCTGCAGCGTGGGGCAAGGGATGGGCACAAATGCTGGGTGCGTGCTGTTGTTGCCCTGGGAGGCCTTGGCAGTGGCGGATCCAGTAGCACAGGCATCATTGGGTATGCTCCCTGCTGGGGCCGTGGGGGTGGAGCCTTCCAGGTCCAGCCGAGGACACACAGCGTGCGGCTGTGAGTGCTGGGAGGGGCGGCCCATGGCCCTGGCAGCCCCAGGCCCACACCCTACTGTGTTCTGGGGGAGATGAGATGATTTTCCTGAAATATTCTTTCTCTTCCTGGCCCCGTTCTCCAGGTGTGGAATATCCTGCTCCAATCAAAGCCATGTCACCTGCGTTGTCCAGTGAAACATCAGTGGACAGGCGCTGCCCGGGCTCCAGGGAGCTCCTCACTGAGGCTCACTCCCTGTGCCTCTGCCATCAGCACAGGGGGACATGCCTGGCTGCCTGTGGGACCAGGGAGGACGCGCGGTGCGGGAGCAGAGCCAGCCACACTGCCGCTGCTGCACTGTTCATCTGAGTGGCGCAAGGTGAGCTGACACCCGTTGGACCCTCAGACCCCTGAGCCAGCCCCACTGAGATCTGAGCCACCGCGGCCAAACTGCAGTCACCTGGGAAGGAAGCCCCGCATTCCGCCTCTGAGATGTGCGGCACTTTGCTGTGCAGCAGGTGCGGATGCGAGCGCCTCCAGCCGCTCCCCTGCTCCCTGGTTTTGGAAGCTTCCCCTCTCCTGGGCCTCACGGTGCTAGGATCCACCACAAGCCATTGCTTTGGTTGTTTCTCAAGTCCAGAGAAGAGAGTTTTCTGTGCAGTGAAAACCTTCCTTGTAACACTGAGCAGAGGCTCCGTGTGCATTTGGCCGCCAGCCATGGAGCAGGCTCTGAGCTTCCCCTGGGGTGTGGGTTCTCCATTTTCAGTGGATTCGATGGGGGCTTTCCTGGGTGCGTTTGCCCCCTGGGTGGGAAACAATCTCGATCACAAGGCTGCTCAAACACACTCTGTCCTCTGGGCTCTGGTGTCCAAGAGGTCTTCGTGTTCATCTCAGAAACAGGATCATAAATTAAAGGCCCTCTAAGACCCCTCTGTGTGGTCTAAGCAGGAGGATGAGTGGAGGTGTGGCGCCCTCCTGACCTTCCCTCTGTCCACATACGTCCCGCCCCCCCTGCTGATGGGCAGAGTCTTGTGACTAGTCCTGGCCAATGGACTTAGGGCAAGAGGGACCTGGTGACACCTGGCTGAGGTGGAGAAAAGCCCCCTGGGCCCCTCCAGCTGCACATTTCCTGCTGCCCTGACTAAGGGGCCACATGCTCTCTTGAGTGTGGGCATGAGGAGCGGAGCCTTGGTCATCAGGGCCCTGAGTGACTCTGTGGAGCCCAGCCGAGCCCCAGCCCTGTGCTCATGGAGTGTGAGTGAGAACTGAGGTTTTGTGCTGCTGCTGGGATTTCAGGGCCATTTGTTACTGGAGAAGCTGTCACAGGGGTCCCAGACCTGGGCTTCCTCCTCGCTAGGTGCATCTTGGGAACTCTGGATATTATCATCCTCATCTCTATAGTGAGAATCATCATCATCATCAAACCTCATTCACTTATTGTGAAGATTAAATGAGTTAACATAGTAAAGCTTTAGAATAGTGTGTAGCAAATGTAGTCACTGTGTTGGTGTTGGCCATAATGAGGGGAGTCAAACTTTTGAAGGCCTTCAATACCAGGCTCAGGAATTTGGTCTTCATCTCAAAGGCCTGCCTGGGCCAGGCACAGTGGCTCATACCTGTAATCCCAGCACTTTGGGAGGCCGAGGTAGGAGGATCACTTGAGCTCATGAATTTGAGACCAGCTGGGCAATGTAGGGAGACCCTGTCTTTACAAGAATAATAAAAAACTATTAGCCGTGCATGGTGGTGCACGCTTGTAGTCCCAGCTGCTTGAGAGGCTGATGTGGGAGGATCACTTGAGCCCAGGATTTTGAGGCTGCAGTGAGCTGTGATCATGCCACTGCACTCCAGCCTGGATGACACAGTGAGACCCTGTCTCTTAAAAGGAGAAAAAAAAAAAAAGGCCTGACTTTTTCACAGTGTCTCCTGCAAACACTAATTCTACAGACTATTAAGACGTTGCACAAAAACAGTATTCTATGTTTTTATATTTTTCATTTTTTGCAAGCAGTGCATTAGCAAAGTGAATGCATTACTTTTTTTTTTAACTGCAAAACTTGTCCATGCCTTTAATCTGAGGGATGAGTCTCCAGGAGAGTTTGTTGTCAGGATTTAACACTTACTCTTGGCAAAGGAGTGATTTGTGCTGGAAGTGAACCGGGCAGACCCTGCTCCCATCTCCGTCTGCCCCAATCTCTGTGCTGCCCACTCCCCATTAACAGTGCCTGTGAACCAAGTCACTGCACAACACCCACAAATGGAGAGTGGAGGAACATCACTTTCCACCCCAGGATCATGACGAGGGCTCTGTAACTTTAACAACTGGTCAGAAGACACCTGGGCTTGGGCTTGTACAGCAGCTCTGGAGCCTGCCCTCCCTTATCATCCATGGCACTATGACTTTGGAGGGTCTCAGCTCAGTCCTACCTGCAGAGGGGCTGTCAGTGCTGGGCAAGAAATTATGCATGTTCAGGGCTGGGCCCTAAACCTCCTGTGGAGGCACCTGACATGCCCCTCCCATCCTCCTGTTGACTGAGGTGGTGATGCCCAGGTGACCCTGGAAACCGCATGTTGATGGTAGCTTAGCAGCCATCAGCCTGGGCCCCTGAATGACCGCATGGAGCAGAGTCTTTCTGCCGACTGGAATTACCACTCCACATTCCTGTGAGAGAGAAACAAGTGTTTTCCTCATGAGATTCTTGAGTTTTGGATGTTTCTGTGCCAACACAGCTAACCCTGGCCCAACATACAAGGTGAGGGCAGACTTTCCCCAAGACGAGAAAAATGGTGTTGGGCAGAGGAAGAGGTGAGGCCGGAGGGCAGGCATGGGAGGGTGACTGGCTCTTCCTGGAGTGGAGGTGGGGGTGGGATGGAGCCGTGGGCCTGTGGGCAGGTGGTTGGGGGAATTGGTGGCTGCCTTCCCACTCCCTCTGGAAAGGCAGCCCCAGGGTTCTCAGAGCTGGACTCTCTCTGTCCAACAGGAAAAGGCAGCCCTGTCCTCTTGCAGAGGGGAGAATACACCTGTGGCTGAGCAGCGGGTACAGCCCCTTCAGTCCTGTGTCCTTCCCTCTTCCAGCATCCCCTGAACTGCTGGGATGACGTGGGATGTGGACCAGGAGCCCCTCTGTCACCACTCGAGCTCAGGGGCTAGAGCCGGCCTGGCTCAGTTGCCAGGTCTGAGGGAGACATTGAGGATTCCAAAAGCTGATTGAACAAGTCCCTTCCCAAAATGAATGGGCTGAGTGGCCAGCACACCTAGGCCTTGTTTCACTTGTCCTGAGGCAGAATCATCCTCGTAAATACAACCCGGGAACATGCACTTTGGGGACGAGGGCCCTGCTCTAGGTTTAGATCAGCCTCCTCCAACCCGCGGCGTGTGGGCCACATGTGGCCCAGGACACCTTTGAATACAGCCCAACATAAATATGTAAAATTTCTTAAAACATTATGAGATTTTTTTTTGCAATTTTTTAAAGCTCATTAGCTATTGTTAGTGTATTTTATGTGTGGCCCGAGACAATTCTTCTTCTTCCAGTGTGGCCCAGGGAAGCCAAAAGGTTGGACAGCCCTGGTTTGGATGGACAAAGTCTCCATGAATGAAGTGCATTTGGGCTGGGGATGAGCAAAGGACAGGCTGAGGCTTGGTGAATAGAAACCACAGCTAAGCAGGATGCAGGGTTGTAAAGACCATAAACTCAGCTGCCAGAAGGCACATTTCCTTCTTTTCCTATAATTGGATCCATTTCATACCTTGAGCCAATATTATGACTGATGTAAAAGTATAATTTATTAAATTCTAAAGAAACTTAGACAAGATCAAAGTAATGTGTTAGACAGGGCATGAGTAGGAGTTTTGCAGAAAAAAATCCAAGGAGAGAATCGTGTGTGTGCGTGCGTGTGTGTGTGTGCGCGTATACAGTTCACCCTTGAACCACACAGGAATTGGGAGTGCTAACCTCCCGCACAGTTGAAAAATCCATGTATAATTTTCGACTCTCTCAAAACTTAACTATTAATAGCCTACTGTTGACCAGAAGCATTACTGATAACACAGTAGATTTACATATATTTTGTAAATTATATACTGTATTCTTACAATAAAGTAAACTAGCATACAGAGAATGTTATTTAAAATCATAAGAGAAAATTTATTTGCTATTCACTAGTGGAAGCACATCATTGTAAAGATCTTCACCCTCATTGTCTTCGTGTTGAGTAGGCTGAGAGGAGGAAAGGGAGGGGTTGGTTGTGCTGTCTCAGGGGTGGCAGAGATGTGAGAGGTGGAGGAGGTGGAAGGAGGGAAGGCAAGAGAGGCAGGCACACTCAGTGCAATTTCCGGGAAATTTTGTCTGACCTGTTTGCTTTTTCATTTTTCTAAAAATATTTTTATGTGAATCCTATTGCCACCGTTTGCTTTAGATTCAGTGCCTGCGTCATAGAAGGGTCCGTGTCAGTAAGGAAGTGAAAAGCAAGATGGAATACTGGAACTCTCCTGGCAGATTGTCTGAAGTCAATGTGTTTTCTGGTATGGCTTCTTCTTTGTTTTCTTCCTCATCATCCGGCGCTGGTTCAGAAGCACTCACCTCCATCAAGTCGTCTTCTGGTTATTGTCTTCTGTGAATTCCTCTGGTGTGGTGTCTGTTAGCTCTTGGATTTCTCCAAGATCCATATCTTGAAATTCTTCAACCCCCCATCATTATTTTTGCCAGATGCACAATCACTTTCATGATTTTTTTGATTGGCTCTGTTGTAAACCCTGTGAAGTCATGTACAACATCCAGACATAGTTTTTTTTTTTCCAGCAGGAATTCATAGTTTCAGACTCGATGGCTTTCACAGCTTTTTCTACCGATGGCATCTTCCACGGTGTAGTCCTTCCAGACTTACATGACATTCTTGCTACTGGAATTCTGTTCCATAACGTTGACAATCCTGGCCATACAGTACTGTGCTTAATGGGCCTTAAAAGTCCTTATGACTCCTGATCTAGAGGCTGAATTAGAGACATTGTATTTGTCTTGTCTTGTATTGTATTAAAGACATTGTATTGTATTTGGGGACAAGACCGCTTTGATGCCTTTGGTGTTGAACCCAAGGCGTTCTGGGTGGCCAGGGACATTATCCAAAATCAAACAGATTTTAAAAGGCAGTCCCTTACTGGCAAGGTACTTCCTTACATCAGGGACAAAGCATCCATGAAATCAATCCAGGAAAAGGGTGCTCACTGTCCAGACCTCCATGTTGTACAAGAGACTGGCGGCTGGTGTTTATCTTTTCTCTTCAAGCCTTGGGGGTTAGCAGCTTTATAGATAAGGGCAGTCCTGACCATAAACCCAACTGCATTTGCACAAAACAGTAGAGTTGGCCTCTCCCTGCCTGCCTTCAGTGCTGGTGCTCACTTCTCTTTCTTACTAATAAATGTCATTTGTGGCATTTTCCTCCCAAAATAGAGCACTTTCATCAGCATTAAAAATCTGTTCAGGCAGATAGCCTTTATGCTCATTGATTTTCTTAATGGTGTCTAGTAACTTGTCTCCTACTTCTTGGTAAGCAGAAGCTGCTTCTCCTGTTATCCTGACATTTTTTGAAAGCCAAACCTCTCTCTTTCTAAAATTATCAAACCATCTTTGGCTGGCATTAAACTCTCCAGCTTTAGCTTCTTCACCTTCCTTTTGCTTTAAGTTGTCAGATAATGACTTCAGTTTTTCTCAAATCATTAAAGTCTACAGTATGCCTTTCTCGTAGTAATTCTGCACCCACACAAAAGCTGCATTTTCAATATGAAATTCAAACGTATGCTACAAAAAGTGTGAGGTGTTTGTGCTTGCTGGTATAGCTGCAGCAACGGCTTCATGGATTTCCTTTTCTTTCTTTCTTTCTTTTTTTTGTAATGGTCCTTACGCTAAATTCATTTATCTTGAATTGGCAAGCAATCTCAGCTGCAGACCTTGACCTAGAGTACATATCAGGCAATTCAACTTTGTATTGTAATGTCATGACTTTTCTCTGCTTCTTGGAGCACTTCCAGCATCACTAGTGGCACTTCTCGTAGGTCTCATGGTGTTACTCAAGGTTTATGGTATTGCAGTAAATATGATTAAAAAAATACATGAGAACCACAAGAGATCACTTTTTACTGCAATATGTAATTTACTGGAGCGATGAGCTGTGCATGGGGAGGTGATTAGCATCACACTGCATTTCCAGCAAATACTCAGAACACTTGAGCTCACCGTAGTAGCAACAGGAGGTGGCCATGAAATTATGACAGTGGTATGTGACGTACTACAGTGAGTTTTATGCATCTTTATGTTTGTTTACATTTCTCTTGACTGTGAATGATGCCATGTAAAGTCTGTGTTTATATGTGTAATTTTGATAAATTTTAACTTTTATAATAATTTGTCTAACATTGTGGTAGTAAATGATAAGATAGGCTAGTATCTACATTTATTTTATGTATTCATGGTATGCCTAACTTTAATTTTTTTCCAATATTTCTAGGTTATGTGTTTCAGCTGCGAGTTTTTCAAATTGTTGCAAATCTTCAAACATTTTTCCAACAAATTTACTGAAAAAAATCCACATATAAGTGGCACCCCCACCAGTTTAAACCTGTGTTGTTCAAGAGTCAGCTATTTTTATGAGGTGTTTTCAAAAGTTTATGGAAAATGAATCTTATGAATAAAACTATGCATGGATTTCAAATCTTTTGCACCAAAATAAACTCATACTAACTTGTTATAAAATGTCTGAGTTTTATACAGTTTAGTTTGAGACACTAAGAAAGATAAGACATCAGTTTGGAAAGGGTCATCAGAGCAACGTGAATTATGCAAAACTGAAGCAAAAACAAACACCAAATTTATGGTGAAGGTTAGGTAGAGGAATGGTGAAGTCATTGATGCTTTCTAAACAGTTTAGGTGGATAATGCCCCACAGAAAGCAGCCATTTACAAATGGTTACGCCATTTTAAGAAGGAACAGGATGATGTTGAACATGAAGCCTGCAGCAGCAGACCACATCAATTTGAGAGGAAAAAATTAATCTTGCTTATGCCCTAGTTGAAGAGGACTGGTGCTTAGCAGCACAAACAATAGCCAACACCATAGACACCTCAATTGGTTCAGCTTTCCCAATCCTGGCCAAAAAATTAAAGTTGAGCAAATTTTCTACGTAATGAGTGCCCAAACTTGCACCCAGATCAGTTGCCAACCAGGGCAGAGCTTTCAATGGAAATTTTAAGCAAGAGGGGGATGAAGATCTTGAAGCATTGCTTTGAAGAATTGTAACAGGAGATGAAACATGGCTTTGCTAGTACCATTCTGGAGACACAATCAAAGCAATGGCTACCAAGAGGTGGAAGTGCTGCAGTCACAGCAAACGTGGCCACCCAAGAGCAAAGGTCATGGCAACAATTTTGGGGAATGTTCAAGGCATTTTGTCTGTTGACTTTCTGGAGGGCCAAAGAACAATAACAGCTGCTTATTATGAGAGTGTTTTGAGAAAGTTAGCCAAAGCTTTAGCAGAAAGTTGCCTAGGAAAGCTTCACCAGAGAGTCCTTCTCCACCACAACAATGCTTCTGCTATTTCTTACCATCAAACCAGGGCAGTCTTTTTTTGTTGTTGTTGTTGAGACGGAGCTTTGCTTTGTCACCCAGGCTAGAGTGCAATGGTGCGATCTTGGCTTACTGCAAACAACCTTGCCTCCCAGGTTCAAGTGATTCTCCTGCCTCAGCCTCCTGAGTAGCTGGGATTACAGGCACCCACCACCATGCCTGGTTAATTTTTGTATTTTTAGTAGAGATGAGGTTTCACCATGTTGGTCAGGCTGGTCTCAAACTCCTGACCTCGTGATCCACCCACCTCAGCCTCCCAAAGTGCTGGGATTACAAGCGTGAGCTACCACGCCTGGCCAAACCAGGGCAATCTTGAGAGCATCCCTGGGAAATCATCAGGCGTCCACCTTTCAGTCCTGATTTGGCTCCTTCTGACTTATTTTTTCCTCATCTTAAAAAGTCTTTAAAGGCCACCCCTTTTTCTTCAGTTAATAATAAAGCCCAAGGAGAGGACATTGCCTGGGCTCTTCCCTGGGGCTGCCCCCTGGCTGGGAGGAGAGCTGACAGTTGCCAGGGGTGGACATTTGGGACAACAGGGCCTTGTCCTGCAGCCTGAAAGCCCCTCTAGGGCTCCTGTCCCATTTCCCTCTTAGATCTAACCAGATGTGGCAGAGAAGCTCGTGGGCAGAGAAGGGGGTCCAGGGAACTTTCCAGAGCCCCTCTCAGCCCTGTGATGGAAACAGGGGCCACCTGGGGAGGATGGTCATAGTGTCATCAGGCACAGTGCCCACTCCACTGCCAGGGACTGTGCTGAGGGTTCATGAGCCATCCAGGGACACTGCTTACATCCCAGTGCAAGATAGCAAAAACACTGGGAAAACCTAAGAACTGAACACAGGGAACTGTCTCAACTTTAGGATGGAGGCAGACGAGTGCTCTGCAGAAATCAGCGGGTCTCACAGATCTGCGTTAATTAGAAGCAATGGTGTCTGCAATCTAGTGAAATTGGTAGATGACAAAATATTGTTTATAAAGTGGTCCCATCTAGGTATAAACAAGGTTACGCCTATTACATTCTATGTGTGCCTTTTTAGAAGTGAGACTGTAAAAGATGGTAAAAATTCAATTCAATCCTAATTGTTCACAGTGATTTGTCCCTGATAATACAAATTTATAGGGTTTATTTTCTTTGCCTGTCATTATTTCCTGACCCCCTCCCCTTCCTGCCTTTATGAGTAATGAATGTGCATTACTTATGCAGTTAGACAAATAGGAGGCTTTAACACTTGGCTTTGTTTCCTGGCTGGCATCTTCCTCTCCGGGCACATCTCCTAGCAAGAACAGCTTCTGAATTTTCCCGTGTTTGTGAAATGCATGGACATTAGCTCTGCCTGGCACAGCCGAGAGCAAGGAAAAGTCAATCAGAAAAGCAGAGAAAAACAGACCCAAACACAACTTGAGTTCCAGAATATGGTGACACTCTGTGCACCCACACTTAGGTTCGCTCATTCACTCGTCCTGGTGGAAAAGATACCAGGAGATGAGTAATCTAAGAGCAGTCCATGGATGACGGAGGATTTATATTTGGCTTGAGAATAAATTAATTCCCTTTTTAATAATGATCTCCTCCCAGGAGAATGACATTTTTAAATGCCTGATTTGGCTAAATATTAAGAGTGGAGTCCTCAGTTCACGCTGATTAATGGAGAGGGCGGGGAGGAGCAGGGGTGGGTGGGGGCACACGGAGGGCACAGGTGGATGGGGCAGCCTGTCTCGGAGCAGAAATCCCATAGACGGCATCCCTGGGCCCTTCTGTGCCGCAGCAGGAACCAGTGCATGTAGGATGTCCCTGAACCATGGGCGCCGGGGCAGAGTCCTGAAAGTAACACCTTCATGGAATTCAATAAGAAAAATCTGAGCAGACTTCATGAAATCTGATTCAATGATCTATTCTCATCGTTAAAAGGGGGACTCCGATTTGGGGCAAGGCCAGGGGAACTTACTTTTCAGGATTAATTAAATAAGCCACGTGTATTTCTCCATGGAGACCTGCCCTGTCTAGCTGCACGCCGGTTAATCAGGGAATTGTCAGGACCTGCTCTTTGCTGCTCCTGGGTCAGATCCCCGCCCCGCTTTCCCTTGTCCCCATCCCCTCCTCCAGACTGCGGTCACCTACCCAGGCCAGGGTAGCGCTGGGGGGTAGGGGGAGCAGGTCCATGCTCTGTGGCTTTGTGAGAACACAGGCGGCAGGCGCCTCTTCGCATCCACGTTTCTCTCCCCATCGCTCCTCATGCCCTGCCTTTGATGGTGAAATGGAACTAGCTCAAACTCGGCTTCCTTCTGTGAAAACAGTGAAAAGGCACAGGCAAACAAGAATATGTGACCGTCACAGCGCAGCTGGGCTGACAGTCCTTCAAGTGGCTGGGAGTTCTTGTAAGGGAGGATAATTACATTTTCATTGTGTTAAAAAAGGAGGAAATGTGGAATACACCCACCATCACTGCTTGAATCTCCTGAAATTTCATTTCCTTCTGAAACTGTTGGGAGTCACAGGCAGGCCTGTGGCTGGACTCATGACACCCCCGTGGGTGGGTGGGTGAGAAGGTGCTCGGGGCCCTTCAGTGTGGGGTGAACAAAACCCCCAGACCCTCCACCAGCTTCTATCCAGGACTCAGACCCACAACTGCACATGAGGTGCTGAGCCTCGGGCGCATAACTGAATGCCTCCCCCATAAAGATGTCATTGGCGCGGAAAAAGATGAACCTCATTGAAGAGCGAGTTTCCAGCTCAGCAGCACCTGGGCTTTGTCCAGCCTGGGCCAGGGCGGAAGTGCGTTGAGGTACTTCCCGGCGTGAGTTTGGATTTGGGGACCCGAGGGACCCGTGGAAGGTGAGGAGATTCCGTGTCGGTGTCAGTCCTGGGACCTCCCTGTGCAGAGAGGCTCACGTGTTCCCACGCTCCCTCCTTCAGCGCGGTGGGTACCAGAGCCAGATCCGCAGGGAGGGCAGGGCTGAAGCCACGTGAGACGCCCCAAGCCGGGCGATCCAGCACCCGTCAACGTGAACGCCATTGAAGCCTAATTGTCAGTCATTAAACAGGACAAGACTGCCCAGGATCTCAACTGGATAATTCAAACAATTAGAATAACAAGGGTTTGTTTCGTCCTAACATTACTGAGCCGAAGAACAATATTTGTGGCATTAACTCTGAAAGTGTCTCGTTCTCAGGACTAAGCAGCGCAGCCTGTGACTAGCAAATACTTCACTGGACAAAACCCCACTCTTCCCTGTAGGACGGCCTCAGGGTCCTCGAGGGAGAGCCCACTCTGACCCCATACCCAGGACGTTCATTACGACACATAGGCAGCTTCTTCGGGATATAAAAAACATCACATTTTAATGACATAATCACCTCTCTTCATTATGTCATTAGCAAAAGCACCATAATTACACACTTAGAACCTGAAATCATCAATAGGGGCCCTGTTTTGTAATTTGAACTATAATTTATAATGGTGAACCCTCCACAGTTCCAGGCAACATGCAGAGAAGGTAATTTCTAGATAGATGACAAGCGGTGCCTTCAGCAGCCTGGGTAGTCACACTGTTCGATAGTAAGAAAGAGGTTTGGAGCCCTGGTGGGAAGCTTCAAGTTAAAGAAGCCAAGAAATTAAATAAACGGAAAGTAGATTTGAAATACACACGGCAAACTGGCAATTTGTCTTTGAGTGTTTTAAAATCACAAACAAGACACTCTGGTGTTTTTCAAAGACAAAGGTTGGGATTTCCCCTAACATTTAGAAACAGTTGGGAGCATGTATGTGAACTCATGTGTTGAAACTGCTCTGCATTCATTTAGGACTTTTATCTTCAAGTCACCTTCTGGAGGACTTGGGCGTGTGTTTGGAAACGTCCCTCTGGAGCCGCGTGGGAATCCTTAGGGTTCAGCCGCATAGGCGCTGGGGAGTCTGGAGCAAATAGCACCCACCGGTCTGGGTCCGCTCTTCCTTGCTGAGGGGCGTCTGGAGAAAGGAGGAGCCTACAGGTGGAGGGGGGGAGGTGGGGTCCTGCCTGTGCCTGGGGTCCTGCTGCCTCAGGGTCAGGACCCTGGGAACCCCACCCCGACCCACTGTGTCCTGCTCTGACTTTGCCCTTGGTGGCGGCGGTGGGGGCCGGGGGGGGGTCTCTCCATGGTTCTGCCAGGCTGGGAAATGCCTGCTCCGCATCTAGCTTCCTGCTACCCCCTCACCATCTTGGCTGTCAGCACTGCTCCAAGACCCAAATACTGGGGCTGTGGATGGAGAACCTGGCTGGAGGCAGTCAGGGCTCCGCTGTTCAGGGACTTAAGTAAGGGGACTGAGCTGGCCTGGGGTTGGTCGCACACTCACTGTGGCTGCACATTCCCGTTCTCTGCTTCCAGGGCAAGGAGAGGACCGTGCATCCTCAGTGACAGTGGTGCCTCACCATGCTTTAGAGAAGCCTGTCCTTGCCCCCGAGCTGCTCTCCATGGAGTCCTGTTTGCGCACCGGAGGTCCCTGTGAAGGAGCGTCCATCAGGTCTGGACGTGCACCTGACCTCGCTGACTGAGAACGTGGTGACTAAGGTGACTAATGCTCCATTACTTCTGCGTCTGATACCCAGGTCCATGCAGGCTTCTCTGGCCTCTGTCCTTGGATCCTTAAATTAATCCAAGGATGCAGCAGTTGGGGCCTCACTGGAGAACTCGTGTATTTACCACACAGGAGACTGAGGCAGGGAGTGGGTTACGGAGGGGACGGGAGAGCTGAGAAGTCAGATGGGGGCTGGGAGGCAACTCAGAGGCCAGGAGAGAAGGCGGCGGCTCCATCCCTGGGCTGGAGCGGGGTGGGTGGTGCTGGCGGAGCCCAGGGCTGGGGTCTCTGGGGAAGCTGGACCCACAGCAGCCTCGGTGTGCAGGAACGACGTGCGCAGCAGGCCGGAGGCTGCCTGATTCTGACGCGTGTTCATGGAGGCCCGTGTGCAGCGATGAGCCCCAGCCAGCATCCGGGTGATCCCCAGCCAGCATCCGGGTGATCCCCAGCCAGCATCCGGGTAATCCCCAGCCAGCATCCGGGTGATCCCCAGCCAGCATCCGGGAACTTGGCTTTTGGAACGTTTCCTGAGTGACTGGTTGACCAGGTCGTTTGTGCACTCAGGGAACTAAGCCGTTCCCTACCAGCTGCCTGGACTCTGCAGTGTGATCAGCGCACGCCTGACTTCTGTCACCACAGTGGCTGCACAGGCAGAGGGTGCCTATGTGACCAGCCCCCTGTAGAAGCCCCGCACTCGGAGACCTACACGGCCTCCCTGGGAAGCGACACTCTGGATGTGTTGCTGACTTGGTTGCTGGAGCAAGACGCGTGTTTGGTGGACTCCCCTGGGTCTTTCTCCCCTGCTGATCTTGCTACGTGGCCTTTCTCTGTAATAAGCCATGGAGTCCACTCTCTAATCACGCAGTGTGTGGTGGCCCCAGGACCCCTGAGACGTGGAGCTGGCAGGGAAGACAGGCAGCTGCCCGAGGCGCTTGAGGCAGAGAAGGATGGGGAATAGCCTGGCTCCTCCCCGCCCCCCATCACCCACCAGGGCCTCTCACTGTCTGAGCTCAGCCTGAGGCTAGCTGACCAGGGGTGTGGGAAGCCCAACTCTACAAATTCGCAGCAGATCAGCCCCCAACCCCCACAAATTCCCAGCAGATCAGGAAGGGCGGGGCATGGATGAAAGGGCATCAGGGCCACAGGCCCAGGACAGGCACGTGGGTTGCTCTTGGAGGCATTTGCAGGTACACTAAGAAGCTCCAGGAAGGACACACACACACACATATACACACACATACACATACATATGCACACACATACATACACAGACACACACACACACGTACACAGACACACAGACACACATACACACACACATTCCCCTGCCCTCCCATCTCCAGACCTTGCGGTCCCCATGAGCTTCCCGATTCCTGGCACTGCCGGGCTGTCCTGAAGGCTCTTTTGGCCAGAAATGGGCAGGGATCTGAGAGCACCTGCTGTCGGGTGAGTCCTACTGTACTCATGTCAGAGATTAGGACGAGAAGACACAGGAGTGAGCTGGGCTGGAGTCTCAGCTGCAGATGACAAGGAGAGCACAGTGGAAAGCCTGGCCCACCTCCCCTCCCCACTGGGCCCCTGGGTGGGATACCACCATTTCCAGAATGGGCTGTGGGTTGCGCGGGCTCCTGAGGTTCGCTGAACCGGGGCTCTGAGGGGTCCCCAAAGTGCTTCCTCCCTGTCCTGTGCCCCCACCCCATGGGGTGGAAGAGCCGCCCACAGGCCTGGGTTCCGCCATGCACAAGGGAACTGGACCTTGGTGACTATTCAGGAGGGAGTCTCCGGGCTGCCCTTCCCATGACCACATGTCAATCCCCTTTGGCCCCAAGGGAATTTCTCATAACCCTCCCTTGGAGGAGCCCCCTCGGTGCCAGCCCACCCTCATCACTCTCTCCTGAACCCCCATGAACAGACTCCGTGGCGCCTCCACCTGCCTTTGTCCCGCCAACCCTCCCTGTCCAGAGCAGCCATGGGGCCTCTTACAGTTTTAAGTCTGTCTGCATCACGCGTTTCCTCAGAGTCTCCTCAGGCTGGGTGAGTCCTCGTCCTAATAGGCCCTGACTGCCTGGCGCTGCCTACCTCTCCTGCCTCAGCAGGAGCTGCCCACACCTGTCCTCAGCCAACCAAGCTCCTAACCGTCGGGGATCCTGGGACTCGGGCCTGCCTTTGCTGGACACTTCCGTCAGATTTCTACCTGGCCACGTTCCACTCTTTCTTAAGGATTCTGCTTAAAAGTCACGTCCTCTAAGGCTCCTCGCTGGCCTTCCCCACCACATTGATGTCCAGGTAAGGAGCTCGGGGGTTTAAGGAGCAGATGGAGCTGTGGGGCTGGGCACAGATGTTGAGGCAGGGGTGGGGGCAGGAGCCAGGGAGTGTCAGGCTTTGACCCAGAAAGGAAGGGAGCCATTGGAGGGAGCGTGTGGCCTGGTGACTGTGGTCGGGAGACGTCTCTTCCTTAGGCGATAGTTGCTGTGGGCATGTGAGGAGTGGCTGGGAGCTGCTGCATGGCCGGGCTGTGTATGCCCTGCATGGCCACAAGGGGGGCAGGTGCTCCTGCAGTGGAGCTGCTTGCAGTTCCTGTCCCTGCCGTGTCACATGGGCCTCTGCAGAGTGTGAGAGGGTCCCTTGCAACTCTGTGTGATTTTGTAGTGTCTTCCCCAGGAACACCCTCCCAGTCACATAAACCTCAGGCCCACAAGGCCTGGGCGCCTCTCCTGCTTCCCTATGCCATGTGCCCCGGGGACGAGGGCCCCACCTGCCAGCTTGTGGACTTCAATTCCCATCAGTGCTCACCCTACTGCAGCCCATTCTCACTGCAAATGCTCTTTGTTTTATTTATTTATTTATTTATTTATTTATTTATTTATTTATTTATTTTTGATAATTGGGAAAACTTTTAACTGTGATTCATTACATTAATACCCAATAGATGCATCTGGCAAAATAATTAAATGATAAAAATCACAATAATTTTAATTTTAAAATCAAAATAATTTAAATCAGCTTAGTAAAACCTTTCTCACCTTCCACCTATGCATTTCATCAGTGAGAAAAATCTTGATCTAGTGAAGTTGGGGCAGGGGCAATGTATAAGCCCTCTTACCTCCCCAGGACACAGCATAAGTCTGGAATAGACAGTTCAGGAAGCAGTCTCTTAAACTGCATCGTGATGATGAAGTCCTATATTAAGTAAGATCCCAAAGATGGTTAATAGCAGGCAGGCTAAGAGCTGTAACCTCTAGTCTTTTCCTTATGAAATATTGCTTCCAGTTTAATTGATTTTATTTAGATGGGTTTACACTTAAACACAGATATTCAGGCAGCACTTGTATTTCCCTAGGGACTCTGTTTATAAACATTCAGAGATAGTTATGGATAAAGTTAGAATATCTTTCCCTCTTTTGCTTAATATTTATTAAGGACTTACTATGTGTTATATTCTGTGCTATGTGTTTTACATAAAATACATCATCACAATGACCTTCTTTTGCAGATGAAGAAACAAAAGTTCTGAGAGGTCTTCAGGAACTTGTATATAATTACAGAGGTAATAAGGATTGGTTGGAAATGAAACCAAGGGCTACCTCCTGTCCCCAAAGCTCATGCTCTTAACCCCTTCACCATGAGTTTCTGGTTCTATTCCTAGACTCTAGGCATCATATACTCCTGTTAATACTTTCTGTCTTCAAGCAAGTCCATTTACATTTATATTATAAAAGGTTAAATTGTTCATGAATATAGCTTCTAGATTCAGACCACCTGGATTCAAATTTAGACTCCACATATACTGGCTGTGAGATATTGCCCAGTGTGCATAATCTTGCCAAGGCCTCAATTTCTTCACTTATAGTATAGGGAAGACAGTATGGCCTACCTAGTGACAATGGATGGTTGTGAGGATTAAACGAGATAAATCATGTAAAGCATTTGCCTGACTCTTATTAAGTGTTCAATAATACTCTCATAGAGTGTAAACTCCTTTGAAATTAGGCATAAGACTTTAGGTATATAAAGAGCCTGAACAGAGATGTACTTGAATTCACGTCTTTATAAAACACAAAAATTATTGCAACAATCTTCAAATAGTCTTCAAGCCTTCTCCACACATTGTTGTAATCTATGTAAAGGAAAATAAAAAAATCTCAGCCAGGAGCGGTGGCTGAAGCCTGTAATCCCAGCACTTTGGGAGGCCAAGGTGGGCGGATCACCTGAGGTCAGGAGTTCGAGACCAGTCTGGGCAACATGGTGAAACCCCGTCTCTACTAAAAATTCAAAAAATTAGCCAGACATGGTGGCATACACCTATAATCCCAGCTACTCTGAAGGCTGAGACAGGAGAATCACTTGAACCCGGGAGGCAGAGGTTGCAGTGAGCCGAGATCGCACCACTGCACTACAGGCTAGGCGACAGAAGGAGATGCTATCTCAAAAAAAAAAAAAAACAAAAAAAAATCTCAGGACCCCATTCTCCTTATGCCTGGAGACTGAGTCGTGCAACACCCCTTCCAAATGAATAGCTGTTACTAGCATCGTGAATAGCCAGATCCCCATGAAAAGGTAAAAGTCCTCAGGTATCTACAAAAGACTGGCCTGTTTTATTTTTAAAATGCAATTCCGTCCAAAGCAGGAAGGGGGCAGTGGCGCTGAGAGGCACAGCGGTGCAGAGGACGCCCCGTGGCCGGTGTGAACGCCCAGCTCCTGATTCATGTGCAGGGTGCTTCACGGGAGGGTTGGAAGGTGGTTATATCAGAATGGCACATTGCAGGAGGGACTTGCCTGCCATTGCTTGGACCCACAGCTGCAGCGTTTGCATGCTGAAAGCTGTTGTTATTCTAACTGTTGACACGGGGCAGCTCCAGCACAGCTCTCAGCAGGAAGCCTGCTCCTCCCCCAGTGTCTGTGGCACCATCACTGAACCAGTATCTGCAGCAGCCAGCAAACTGACTAATTACTGATGAGCCCCTTGTTCCTCATGACCCACTGGCTCTCATCTGGGGCAGGCCATGTGCAGAACATTTCACCCAACAACAGCAGGAAACACATTCTCTCCACGTTCACATGATACGAAGAATACATCCTATTCCAGGTGATAAAATAAGTCTCAGGAAATTTTAAAGAATGACATTATACCAAGTAAGTTCTCCAACAACACTGGAGTGAAATTAGAAATCTGTAATAGAAGAAAACTTGGTAAATTGGTCTATATGTGAAAATTAGACAACATATTTCTGAACAATAAAATGGGTCAAGAAGAAATCATAAGGGATATTAGAAAATACTTTGAGATGGATAAAAACAAAAGCACAATATACCAGAATTTATGGGATGCTGTGTCACAGGGAAATTTATTATAGCCACATACATCTAGATTAGACAAGAAGAAATATCTCAAGTCATTAACCTAACTTTCCACCTTAGGAAGCTGGGAAAAGAAGAGCACACTAAGTCCAAAGGAAGAAGAAAAAAGTGAATACAGATTAGAGCAGAAATAAATGGAATTCTACTCATTTTGAAGAATCAAGAAAATCGACAAAACTTTAGCTATGTTGACCCACGAAAAAAGAGGGACGATTCAAATGATTAAAATTAGAAATGAAAGAAGAGCATTACTACCAAGCTTATGAAGAATGAAAGATTGTAAGGAAATACGGCTAGGTGCAGTGGCCCACCCCCATAATCCCAGCACTTTGGGAGGCCAAGGTGGGCAGATATCTGAGGTCAGGAGTTCAAGACCAGCCTGGCCAACATGGTGAAAACCCATCTCTGCAAAAATACAAAAACTATCCAGGCATGATGGTGGGTGCCTGTAATCCCAGCTACTTAGGAGGCTGAGGCAGAAGAATCACTTGAACCCGGGAGGCAGAGGTTACAGTGAGCCAAGATTGTGCCATTGCACTCCAGCCTGGGTGGACAGAGAAAGACTCCATCTCAAAAAAAAAAAAAAAAAAAAAAAAGGATTATAAGTAAATACAATGTACCATGTACACCAACAAATTAGAAAACCTAAATGAAAGGAACAATCCCTAGAAAGTTGCAAATTTCCAAAACTGACCCAAGAAGAAAGAGAAAGCTTGACTAGACCTATAATAAGTAAAGACATTGAGTTCATAAATAATAACAGTTTCTACAAAGTAAATTACAGGACTAGATGGTTTCATTGAGAAATTCTCCAAATGTTCAAAGAAGAAACACCAATCCTTCAAAAACTCTCCTAAAATATGTGAGTATGGAATACTTCCTAACTCATTCTCTGAGGCCAGTTAGTACCCTGACACTAAAACCAGACAAAAGTATTACAAAAAAGGAAACCATAGATCAATGGCCTTAAGAATACAGACACAAAACTCCTCAACAAGGTACTATTAATCTAAACTGAGGAGCATATAAAATTATAATTAAAAATTATTACCAAATAAGATTTTTTCCCCTGGAATGCCATGTTGATTCAACATAAGAAAATCTATCAATATAACAGTATATTAATAGAGCAAAGAGCTAAAACTATGTGATATCTCAATAGATGTGGAAAAAAATAGTTGCATTTGACAAATCCAACACTTTTTCATAAAAAAAGTATTCAACAAATTAGGAATGAAGGGAACTTCCTCAACCAGCTGAAGGGCATCTATGAAAAGCCTATAGCTAACATCATGCTTCAGAGTGGAAGATGGAACTATTTTCCCATAAGATGAAGAATAAGATAAGGATGTCTGTGCTCACCATTTCCATTCAATATTGTACTGGAAGTTCCAGCTATGGCACTTAGGTAAGGACATGAGATAAAAGGCATCTGGATTGGAAAGGAAGAAGTAAAATTATCTCCATTTGCTGAGGATATGATCTTATCTATAGAAAACGCTAAACAACCTACACACACCCACACACAAAATCGGTTAGAGCTAATAAATGAGTTCAGCAAGGATGCAGAATACAAGATCAATACACAATCTCAGCTGCACTGCTAAACACTATCAATGAAAAAACTACAATGGAAATTAAGAAATAAGTGCCATCTATAAAAGCATCAAAAGGAATAAAACAGGAATAAATTCAACTAAAGACATGCAATATTTGCTTACTGAAAACTATGAAACATTGTTGAAAAATTAAAGAACTAATAAATGGAAAGACATCCCATGCTCATGTATTGGGAGACTGAATACTGTTAGGGTGGCAGTGTGCGCCAAATTGATACAGATTTAATGCAATCACTAGAAAACTCCAACTGTCTCTTTTGTAAAAATGAATAAGCTGATTCTAATTCCATAAAAGCCCTGACTTGACCATTATGCAATCTATGCATGCAACAAAATTGCACTTGTACCCCAATTTATCGCTTACCCCATAAATTTATAAACTGCATAAATTTATACAAGTAAAAAAATAAAATTCATGTGGACATGCAAGGGACCTAGAATAGCCAAAACAACTTTGAAAAAAGAACAAAACTGGAGGACTCACACTCTCAAGTTCAAAACTTACTATAAAGCTACAAACTGAATAGTCCACAGAAGAGTGAACTTGGATCCTCACCTCACATTATGTATGACAAATAACTCAAAATGAATTAAAGACCTAGAAATAATAGCTAAAAATATAAAACCCTTAAAAAACACAAAAGTACAAATCTTCATGACCCTGGATTAGGCAACTGTTTCTTAGATTTGATATATATATATATATATAAACAAATAACCAAGGGGAAAAAACATAAATTGGACTTCATCAAAATTAAAACATGTATGCACCAAGGAACACTATCAAGAAAGTGAAAAGGCAACCCAGAGAATATCTGATAAGTATCTGGTATCCAGGATATATGAAGAATTCTTAGAACTCAACAGTAGAATGAAAAATAAATTTTAAAATAGGCAAAGTATTTGAATAGACATTTGTGCAAAGAAGATACACAAATGTCCAATAAGCACATGAAAAAATTTGCATCTTTAGCCATCAGGGAAATTCAATCAAAATCACAATGAGATACCACTTCATACCCACTGGGATGCCTATAATTTTAAAAAAAAGCAAAATAATAAAAGAATAAGTATTGGTGAGGATATGGAGGAACTGGATCCTTTATTCATTGTTGGTGTGAATGTAAAATGGTGATGCCGATAGAGAAAATAATTGGGCAGTTCCTCAAAAAGTTAATCATAGAATTATCCCATGACTCAGCTATTCCACTCCTAGATAGACACTCAAGAGAACTGGAAGACATGTTTACGCAAATACTCATACACAAATGGTCATGGCAGCATTATTCATAATAGCCGAAAGGTGGAAATAACACAAATGTCCATCAACAGATGAATGGATTAGAAAATGTGGTCCATCTCTACGATGGAACGTTATTTAGCCATAGGAGGGAATAAAGCACCGCCACAGGTTACATAGTGGATGAACCATGAGAACATTTTGCTAAGTGAAAGAAGCCAGACACAGAGGCCACATGCCATACGATTCCATTCATATAAGGGGCCCAGAAACTGCCAATCCATAGACACAGAAAGCAGCTGGTGGTTGCCAGGGGCTGGGGAATGGAGAGAGGAATGCACGCAATTTTTGGGGGGTGGGGTGATGAAAATATGACTGTTGCATAACTCTAGGAATGTACTAGAAACTAGTAACTTGTGCAGTTGGTGCAATTATATGGTATGTGAATGATATCCCAGTTTTTAAAGTGTAAAAAATAAAAGAATTGGGGAGCGACTGGACACATTGGGGGTGCAGGTGTAGGCAGTGCAGGCCCAGTGTTTGCACTCAGTGGGGGCAGGGAGCAGCCCCCGCCTGAGGCTCCTGCACCTGGGAGCCCAGTGTGAGTCTCATTTCTTCCTTGGACCGGGAGGCAAGTGTGTGGGTGAGCAGTGCGGGGCTGGTGTGGGCTCCTCTCCTGGGCTCGCCTCCCTCCCTCCCCGTCTCCTGCACAGCGCCTGTCCCTCCCTGGTGTCTTCCGGTGCCTAATTTCCTGGGTATCCCAGACGCCTGACTACTCCTTCATGAACCTCAGTCAGTTCTGTTCCTGTCCGGAGATGCCTCGCCCAGGGAGGCCCCCACAGTCCCAGTCCCTGAGTTCTGGCCTCCTCCTGGGTCAGGGCCCCCAGCCAGGGTGTTGCCCTTCCAGCATCTCCGAAGAAGCCCTGCTCCCACCAAGGGAGGCTGTCCGCCCTACAATTTCTCCTTTTAAAATTAACTTTCCCGATATTTTCCTATTCTAAGCACAACTCATCATTGCAGGAAATTTAGAGACTGTAGAGACGTAAAAAAAAAAACAAAGTCCCCATCCATGGCCAACGTTTTCCCGAGTTGCACAAATACAGACAAGTGATATGTTTTTCTTTGTTAACAAAAAATGTAACCACCCCGTTCAGGTTATTCTTAAGCCTGACTTTCTCACTACATGGTGTTTTGTAAACGGTTCTTCATGAAAATAAAATAACCCTCCTGGGCCTCTGTTTCAGCAGCTGTGCGGCATCCCCCCGCGCCGTCTCCATGGAGAACCTGACCCCTCATTCGTGGGGCGGAAACTCACCTGAGCTGAGCTCCAGGGCATCTCCGCGGGGAAGCGGGGTTGGTGGAGCAGCATCTGCCCTCCTCAGTGCCCCAGAGACAAACTGGCCCAGAACCCTCTTCCAGCAGAGGAGCCCTGCACCCCTGGGAATGGGGATCAGTGGGCCCTGGTGGGTGGGCACTGCAGACGGGGCGCTGAGGCCGAGGAGGGTCCCCACAGACCAGGCAGACCAGACGGTGATGGCTTTAGTCTGGGCCACAGCAGCCTGTGCCCCTCAGTCTGCCTTTTCCATCTCAGGAAAAGCCCCACCCTCCCATCCACCAGGGGCACTGGTTTCTGCACCAGCTGCCTCCCTCTCTCCAGTAATGGCTTTTGCTTTGCCTTGGAGGAGCCCACCCCTGTTGGACGCAGATGAAGATGCCAAGGGGAGCCTGGCTGACCATGGAGCCATCATGGAGGGAGGCAGAGCTGAGGGCGTGGGGAGGTCCCAGCTGCATCACAGGAGCCCCTGGATCCAGCCGCACCTGAAGGTAGCTACCCTTGCACCTCTGAGTTACATGAACCAATAAATCCCTTTCATTCTTAAGCCAGTTTGAAGTGGGTTCTGTCCCTGACAAATGAAGTCCTAGTTGGTACCCTTCTCTGTTCCTCCCACCCCAACTTCAGTCTTATCAGCCTGGGAAAATTCGGAGAGAAATGAGGGGGCCGTGGAGAGCCAGGTTCTGAGGCTGTGCCCGCTGCACCCCTCCCACCACATGGGTGGGCCGATGTTTAGGAAACGCTACTTCCATCAAAGCCTTTGGTAACATCCTGGTGCCCGCGGCACCCACGACTGGAGAGCCGTCCCCAGAGTTTCTGTCTGCTCTGATGAGCCCCCAGCTGCTCTCCCCAGACACCCCTGTGCTCAGCAAGACCCCAGCTCCTCTCTGATATTGGATCCTGTCCCGCCTCCCCAGCTGTGCTGACCTCTGAAGCAGGAGCTTCGGAATGTCCTGGGTTTCTTGGCTCCTGCAGAGCCCCAGGGTCCCTGATAAATGTCTGGCAATGGTGGTGCACCCGGTAACTGTTCACCCACTCCCATAAATATGCCGTTTACTGCTGAATTATAAAGGGTGTGGGAACGAGAGAGTTTCAAATCACTTCTCATTCTTATGGTTTGAATACATTACCACCATGATCTAATTAGGCTTGTATTTCATGCAGAGACCACACTTCAAAGTAAAATTAAAAAATAATTCTACTATGAGAGGAAATGAATGTTTCTAATATAAAATTTCAACCGCTGTGCTTGGCAGGCAGGGAAGCATGCAGAGCCTCGTTATCCTAATTGAGGAAGCCCTGGAAAGGAGAGCCATTAAGAGAAGTGACATTTTCCTGGACGTCTGTCCTGAGAGCTTTCCATCCCTCCCAGATGCTCCGGGTCTCTGAGCACCCCAGCCTGTGGGTTCTGACAGGACGTGGGTGGGGACGGGACGGGGCCTCAGGCAGGTGCCCCAGCCCCGTGGAGGGGAGCAGTGGTGGGGCGGTGGGGACTTGCTCAGACCCTCCTTTTCCTGCAGTTCCAACGTCGCACGGTGGGACTCTGGGCAGGGTCCTCCCTCTCCATCTTCCCCTCGCTGGGACCCAGCACGGCACAGGAGGGGTGGCCAACACCATTTAGACATCAGAACTGTCCAGAGTGTTCTGCCCTCTGTCTTAAGTCACGACCCCGGATTCCCCAGGCAGCCACACACAGCGGTCTACACCGGGAGAAAGTCGCCGTGAGAACTGTGGCACCGCAGGAGGCTGTGCGTGTTTGCTTTTGTTGATCTGTTTAACTGCAGCCCTGATTTATTCCTGGGGTGGGGGTAGGTTGGTACGGTAGGTGGGTTAGTCTGTGACCATCAGCAGGCGGTCCTTCATCCCACTCTGCTTGTTCCCTTGGATGTATTTTTCCAGCGTGCACAGGGAACCTCCTTCCTTTTGGTAAGGGATGCTGATGGCCTAATTGATTGATTGCTGTTATTGACCTAGCCCGGCTCCCAGAGGCCTCTGTGTCAGGGCTGCTTGGGATTTGTTGAGGAAACATAGCAAGCTGTTCCTCTCATCGTCATTTGTCATCTGTGTCTGAATGTTCATGACACGTTTTTGACCTAAGGTACCTGATCTACATGACAAATTATTTGAGAACATAAAATCTGAACTTGAAATTTTAGCAAGAAGAAAGCCGACGTTCGCTTTTCACCTTCACTTGGGCTCGGAGCTGTCTCAGAAAGACATATCTGATTTCTGTTACATGAACGACATGTTTCTTTTTTTCCAAGTTCTGAGGCCTCCAGATCACAAGTCAGATTAGGACCAGGCCCTGAGAGGCGGGAAAATCCTTCCTGAGCTCTTGTGGTCCCAGGACCAGAGACCACGTGAGAGTTAACTCCTCACTCCCCACAGGGCTCTGGGGGAGTTCCCCTTCCTGCTAGAGGGCTTTGCATGGAGAGCTGGGCCCTGCCAGGGCGAGCCCCCTCCAGGCCAGCTGCCCTGGGTGCTGGGAGGAGCGGCTGCCCCGAGGCGAGGACTGATCTGTGTTAAAAACTGGAATTCTGAAATGACAATGGAATCTGAAAGAGAGACCAGGGGATTCCCAGACCTGGGAGGAAACTGCATTTCACCCCGTCAGGCCTTGCCCTTGGCCTCCGCAGCCCAGGACAAATACTTCAGGGCAGTTAAACAGCATTAAGGCTGGAGGAAGAGGACCCTGGGTGGCTCCGGTGAGGGGTGGCCCAGGTTGGGGTTGGAAGGAGGTTGTGCCTGTCCCAGGTGGAAGAACGAGGCACAACTAGTGAGGAGAGGCCTCTCATCTGCCTGCCCTGGACAAGTTCCACCCTGTGGCCCCGCGTCCTCCCCTGTCCTTTGAGGCTGCCCCAGGGCCATGGTTTAGAACAGCCGGTGCCCACGGGGAGCCCCACCCCACCCAGGCCTCTTGGCCCCACTGGGTTCTGACCTCCTCAGGAGGCTAAAGTGACTTGATGGGAGGCAGGAGAGCACAGGGGGAGCTCACTGCAAGTTGAGGTGCAGGGCCCAGGGCCACCCAGAGAGCAGCCACAGCCATGGCCCTGGGGATGGGGGGGGAAGGAGCGGGTATGCAGGGCCCTGCCCAGGTCAGCGGGAGTTGGGGGCGCAGAGGGCTTTCCCAGGGACACCGGGCTGTGGAGGGTGCAGTGAGAAATCTCAGGGCATGGGGCCCACCCTGCGCCCCCTCCTTGTTTCCTCTTGCTCCTGACTGTGCCCTCTTTTGGCCAAACCCTGGCAGGGGCCAGTGGACTTACAGCCTGGACCCTGAGGGTCAGCCCGCTGGACACAGCCAGAGAGGCTGAGGAGCCTCTGAGCAGAGCCCGGGGCGGCAGCCTCTCCATCCACCAAGGCCTGGCTTCTCAGGCTGCCCCAGTGCCCTCAGGTCCTGGTCCCGCCAGCCTCGGTCCCACCGTGGCCTAAGATGGGCCCAGGGGTGCTTGGGAGTGAGTCTCCCCTTGAAGGCAGAGCTGCTCCTCCTGCCTCACCCGCCGTGGGCTCCACCTTGGCCCAGCCGGAGGGACTCGGGGGCCCTGATGGAGGGGACTGGCCAGAACCGCTCAGAGCCCAGCGTCCCTGACTCTTCAGCACAGGCCCAGGTTCAGGAGCCGTTCCCAGAAGGGCGCCCTGGGTGCAGGTGTCAGAATATGGGGGGCAGGTGTGGGGAGGGGTTGAGAGGTAGGTTGGGGTCTCTGCCCACGTGAGGCTGGACCGAGCCCGCCCTGGCCTCCCTGGTTTTCTGTGGACTTTAGGGTCACCTCAGAGGTTTCCTCTGACAGCAGCTTCCAGTTCCTGACCCAGGAGGACCCCACACTGTCCCTGAGGCCACCTGGTCAGGGCCTTTCCTCATTGGCTGATGCCAGAGGGCTCCCACGGCTTAGGGTGGTCCCAGGATCTGCCACCTGCTGGCCTGGACACTGGGACCTCAGCACAAGCCTGGGCCTGGGAAGGGTGGGGACAGAGACCCCCAGCCGCAGCATCCCCCACAGGCGGAGTCAGCCCAGGGGTTAAGCAGAGGAAGGGAAGGGCAGAAGTGTGGGAGGAATGTTCCCCACAGTTTCGCACCTCCGGGACACGTGGCCACAGCGGGCCTGGAGCTGTCACCAGAAGACTGTGTTGTGGATCCAGCCCCCTGTGCCCTGACCCTGTGGGCGTGTTTGCCGCATGACATTGAGTGGTTCTGATGAGCACAGCCAGTCCCGAACTGCACTGCATCCAGCGTCAGCTTCCTGGAGGACGGTTCTGCTGACCCCATGCAGCTCTGGGCTTCCTCCTGTCAGCGCCAGCACAATTCCAGTGCCTGGGAGGGACAGCGGCACAGCCCACCCGACAGCAAGCCCCACCCATATGTCCGTGGTGAGGAGCGCTGGCTTGAGGTGACCGTGGGACTAAATAATTAAAGAAGACGCAGACGTCGGCCACCTGGAGGGCCCTGGGGTCTTTCCCGGCAGGAAGGCACAATTACAGCCCAGAGTCTCCCAGGCCGGCCCATCTCTTCTCAGGACCTGGATCTGCATCGCACCCCCGGGCAGGGCCACGGGGCCGGTAGACAGGCTCAGTGCTCCTGAAGTGAGCCCCTCATAAGCAGGGGGGAAGCCAGGCCTGGCAGAGCCGCACAGGTGCCCCTGCTCCATGACCCCAGAGAGCACCACAGGCTCCCAGGGAAATCGGCCACGCAGGCTTGGCGTTGGTGACCTGGGGAAACTCAGCCACTTTGAACATTAAGGGGGCTCCTGGGTGTGGCTTCCGCGGGCCCAGGGCGTCTTTGGCAGAGTGGAGAGGATTCTTTGAGCAGAGAATGTTCCCCTGACAACCCGATCGGGTGGGTTGAGCTTGGCCGAAAGAGCATCACTTGGGGACAGTGACCCACATGTGTTGGTTTGTTCTTTCATTCATTCATTCACTCACAAATTGTGTGTCACTGAGGCTACCGAGAGGAATCATGCACAGGTGACCTCGTGGGGGACTGAACACAAGTGTAGCCAGTTCAGATCAGGAATCCAAACCACGCAGGCCCCAACCCGCTCCCCTTCCACTCCTGTGTTCCCTGGGTAACCGCCCAAGGGGTCCACCTTGCCTGCTGCCTAGACAGAACCGATTTATCAAGACAGGGGAATTGCAGTGGAGACAGAGTAATTCACGCAGAGCCCGCTGTGCGGCAGACCAGAGTTCTATCATTACTCAAATCAGTCTCCCGAGCATTTGGGGAGCAGAGGTTTTAAAGATAGTTTGGTGGGTCGAGGCTTGGGAAGTGGGGAGTGCTGATTGGTCAGGTTGGAGATGCAATCAGGGGGTTGAAGTGAGATTTTCTTGCTGTCTTCTGTTCCTGGCTGCGATGGCAGCACTGATTGGGCCAGATTACCGGTCTGGGTGGTGGCAGCTGATCCATCCAGTGCAGGGCCTGCAAAACACCTGAAGCCCTGATGTTAGGTTTACAACAGTGATGTTATTCTCAGGAGCAGTTTGGGGAGGTTCAGACTCTTGGAGCCAGAAGCTGCATGACACCTAAACCGTAATTTCGAATCTTGTAGCTAATTTGTTAGTCCTGCAAAGGCAGACCGGTCCCCAGGCAAGAACGGGGCCTTTTCGGGAAAGGGCCTTTATCAATTTTGTTTCAGAGTCAAACCATGAACTGAATTCCTTCCCAAAGTGAGTTCAGCTTACACCCAGGAAAGAACAAGGACAGCTTAAAGGTTAGAAGCAAGATGGAGTCGGTTAGGTCTGATTTCTTTCATAGTCATAATTTCCTCAGTTATAATTTTAAGAGAACCTGGGACAGGTTCTTTAATGTCTCTGTTTCTTCCTCTATAAAATGAGGACAGCAGCCAGCTCACCTTCTGGGGGTGCTGGGCTGACTGAGTCCTGCGTGGAAGGTGTTTAGAGTGGGGCCTGGCCCAGGAGGCCCCTCAGCTCTCAGCGGCCCTCACTGCGGAGCTGTGAGGTGGATGGTAATTGATTTTCTGGTTCTGCTGATGTGAGACTCTGCACCTGCGAGGCAGAGGCTGCCCAGTGCTGTTCAGGGAGCCTGGGCTCTGACTGGCCATTCCATGATTCAGCAACTTTGGATTCTCACCATATCCACATGTGAGTTATAGGAATTCCAAGATATGCATTTTGCAAGACAAAATGAGAGAAATAGTTCAAATCGAATATGCCCAGTTAGATTTAACACATATGCCATTTATTATCTGCTGTTCATTTCAGTCTGTGTTCTGCTTCCTGAATATGTTTACATCTGTTCTGTATATATTTTGGAGAACCACTGAGCATTGTGTTTTGGGGTGATGTGTAAGGGCGATTTTGACCAAGCAGTTTGCCCTCTGTGCTAGCGTTAGGACAGAGTCCACATACGGTGTGTGGGTCTGCCCCATAAACAAGGGATCCGTTCCCATCTCAGGATGAACATAGAGGTGTGAAATGAGAATTCTGGCAGTGCCCTCCCTCTGCTTCCGGGCTCCAGAAAGCACTTAGGAGTCTGAGCTGGGGCCACCTGCAGGCTTGTCCACACTGGAGACAGCACAGCTCTGTGTCAGCTGCACAGGGGACACCATGCTGAGCCAAGGAAGCCAGTGCTCCTCTCCTGAGGAGGTGGGGCTGTGGGGAAAGCGGGGGCTGCAGGCCAAAAGCATCTGTGACATGGAGCACACAGCGGGTCAGGGTGTGGTCAAGTTATAGGGGTGGGGCCAAGATGGAGGGGCGTGGTCAAACTACAGGGGCGAGGTCAGGGTGGAGAGGCGTGGTCAAGGCATGGTCAAGTCATAGGGGTGGGGCCAGGATGGATGCACGGGGTCAAACCACAGGGGTGAGGTCAGGGTGGAGAGGCGTGGTCAAACCATAAGGGCAGGGCCAGGGTAGAGGTGAGGGATCAGAGAAGGAAATGGCTAGAAATAGGGGGTGGGGATAGGATGGACAGGGGTGGCCAAGCCATGGGTGTGGAGATAGGGGTGGGGCCAGGGTGAGGGGAGGAGCCAGACAGAAGGGTGGGGCCAGGGTGAAGGGCATGCTCTAACCATGGAGTGCTGTCAAGCACTGGGGGAAGCCAGGATGGAGGGGCAAGGTCAAACCACAGGGATGGGGCCAAGGTGGAGACGTGTGGTCGGGGTGTGGTCAGGCCATAGGGGCGGGGCCACATTGGAGGGGGCTGGGTCAGGCGTGGGCGGGGCCAGGCTGGAGGGGCAGAGCCAGGCAGGGGGTGTGGTCACACTGTCCTGTAACGGGAGGGAGGACACACACATCCTGACACCCAGCCTTTGAGGTCTCCACGGGTCTCACAGCCCGTACCTCACTGCGTCCATCTCTTCCCCCACTTCATGACTGGCCCTCAAGAGTCAGGAGTGAATGAACCCCACTGCACAGTGTGTGACACATCACATCTCATCTCTCTGCGCGTGGATTCCCTCAGGCTTCAGGCTTTATGGTGTATTTTCGTTCCTTCCCATTCCTCCTCCCATTCCCCTCCCTGCCGTTAGGAAATCACTGAGCCGTGTGTAATGACGATCTTTTTATTGGGACGTGTTCTTGGAGAGTGCCCATTGCTGTTTCCGGGCATGAACGTCAATGGTCTCATGTGATTAATTTCATTCTGTGTATTTGTAAACTTTTACAAATAATCATGTTTTAAAGATGCTCTCATATCGCTCCGTGTGCACCAGCTCATGCTGTCTCATTGCTGCATGGTTCTCCGTGTGCGCCCACCCCATTTTCCTCTCTGTTCTCCCAGGGACACCCACCCAGGTCCTGTGCCCCTCCCGGCCCCCACAGACAGGCTCAGAGGTCATCTGTGGGCCTCAGAGGTCATCTGTGGGCCTGGGTCAGCACCTCCCTGGGTGTCTACTTGAGGTGGGACCGCTGGGTCCAGGGCCCTCCGTCCACCCCCACCTGCAGGACATCCCTGCGTCCCTGCCCAGGCTGGGAGCCGCCAGCTTCCTAATCACCGCCAGGAGTGACAGGAGACAGCCTGGGTGTGGCATCTTGGCCTGTTGGGATTTCCTCTCCTGGGTGTTGCCTGCTCACATCGCTCTGTCCATTCTTTGGGATTTCTCCTTGTTTCCTTGTTGATTTACAAAGTTACATTGTATATTTGACACACTGATCACGTTCCAGTTTTAAACTTTGCAAATCTCTTTTCCCATTTTGCCAGTCGTCTAATGATTTTGTTCATGGTCTTCTTCATTAAGCAGGCATCCTTTGTTTTGATGTGACAAAACTAATCATTTTTCTATGGTTTATGCTTTCCAAATGTGTTTAAAAAATTGTTCCCAGGCACAAGTTCCCAAAGACTCTATATGTTTTCATATTTTCTCTCTTTTCATATTCAGGTTTTTAATCCATCTAGACTCCATCTTTGTTTGCAGTATTGGTTAGCGATTCAGTCTTACTTTCCTCCACACAGACAACCCGTTTTCCCAGTACCGGTTTTACACAGCCCATCTTCTATCAACGGTTTGTGGAGCCGGTTTCATCACAGTTTTAATAAATATCATGTGAACATGTTACTTAGCTTGGTTGGTATTCCTGAAATGTTCTATTTTCTGTGGACTGTGCTCCTTGGGTAAAATAAACCCAAACCACACAGAATAATGAAAATGTCATGATCATCAACAGCCAAATGCCTCCTGCTTTTCCTCCAGTTGCGGTGCTGGTTAAGAGCAGAGCTTTGGAGCCTATCAGGCCTGGTCCCCGGAAGCAGATCCTGGGATGAGGACTTGGGAACAGGTGACGCGTGAAGGGAGGGCCGGGAGGGAGCGGGGAGAGGCACAGGGTCAGGATAAGCGAAGCTTTGAGCGCCAGGTCTCCTGACTGCAATGGCTTCCTTGTGGTCCTGCAGGGGCGCCCTGGAGCGTGAACCCAGCCTCAGCCGCCCTGTTGGAGGTTCCCACACCCCCGTCACTGGTCAAAGCCTCGCTAGGTGGGGAGGATGAGACAGGGCGAGCTGCTGAGTGTGGGACAACTCACTCCCAGGGGCAGCAGCAGCACAGCCCCTGCCAGGTTCCTGGGATGTGAATAATTTCACCATGACTGATGTTCAGCCTGTGTCATACCTGGTTTATATAATTCCTGAAAACTGTAAACACCAAAATCATATCCCACAAGCTGGGAGGAGGCAGCTTCAGCATGGCTGGCCCCCAGGCCACTTCGGCTCACTGCAGTGGGGCTGGTCGGGCTCAGTGGCCTAAGGACAGTTGTTTAAAGAGGAGTGTCAGGAGCCAGCCCTGGAGAGAGAAGAACACAGAAGCCCAAGAGGGGGTCCTGGGAATGGTGAGGGCCAGAGGATCTGAGTGGAGCCCCCCTGGTGTCCAGGCCCTTGGGGTCTGGATCCGTCTCCTCCCCAACTAGGGCAGGTCCTAGAAGGTTATCAGGGAGCTGGGGCTGTCCCACAGCAGCTTGTGGGAGCCGACTCTCACATTTTCAGGGGTTTTATGAGCCAGTTGTTAAACTGCTAGCACTTGAAATTGGATGTGCTGGGAATATTTGTGCCTGGGAACCTGGCAATCTCCACAAATCAGGGTGATTTATGTTTCTGGAGAGCTGGCTGTTAAATGTCGCCAGCACACTGATTACCTCTCAGTGCACCCCAGCCTCCTCTCTGTCAAATGGGAATGGGACTGTACCTCACCCAGGTCCCTGGGAGTATTAAGTGATATGATAACATTAAGCCCTGAGTTCAAGGCCAAAAAGCTGTGTGACAGTCCCATCAGCCTGCCATGGCTGTGAGATGCACTGGCCCTGCCCTTCCCCCTGTCAGGAGAGGAGTCCAAGCTCACAGAGACCCTCCTCGGTGCCAGGATCAAATCCAGACTTTTCTGGACCTGTGGCAAGAAGGCAAATCAGCGTCCTCAGGGCAGGGCTGTGAGGAAAGCAGGTGTCCCTGGAGCTCATGCCCCCACTGCCGTGGTGGGGTGGGGAGGGAGGCCTGTGCCCCATGGAGAGGCCAAGGCAAAAGGGCCCCTCTTTCTAGAGCTGGCATCGGGGTCTGAGGACAAGAGCAGAGCGAACTGAGCGACCCAGCTCTGGCCTCTACCTGGTAGCACCTGGCCTCCCTGCAGCCCCACCTGCAGTGGTCATCCTTGCTGGAGGAACAGAGAACAGCCTGCCCTGCAGACCACCCAGACCCTGGGCTGTGAGGAGACCCGACCCAGGGAGCAGGAGCACTGGTTAGGCCTCTTCTTGAAGGGGAACCCACCTCACAGGCACCCAGGGTGCAAAGTGCCTGTCCAAACACCACTGATCCTTCCCAGGGAGATGGGAAGGGCTGTCCCAAATCATTCCAGGTGGAGCTGCAGGTTAGTAAATGAATGTACCTGATGCCAGGCAGATTTGAATTTCAGATAAACAGGAATGATTGCTGCTCTAAGCATGAACCCCGCACCCCTGGGGAGTGCTTGTAGCAGATGGGGCTGCTCCATCAGGAGGAGGAGGGGCCTGTGGGTGGGGAGGCCCCCACTGGGCCTGCCCTCCCCTCTTCCCCATCTTTCCCTGGATGCAGACCATCCTGGATGGGCGGGCCACATGGTCACAGGAAACACTAGGATGAAAACGTTTCTGATAATCTGTTAAAAGCTTATCCTGTGCACTAATTTCCCTAGAAGATTCTCCGTGGGTGGGAAACAAGGTGTAGCCTGTAGCTTAGGGGTGAGGACAGCAGAGAAACAGCTCTTTTCAACACTGATGTGCCCCGGGCATGTTTAGCCTGGGAGAGGCAGCCCAAGGAGAGGAAACAGGTGGAGGGGGAGAAAGCCCAGGGACTCTGGAGACAGCAGGGGGAGCAGGTGAGGGCGGGGGGCCGGGCTGGCTGCAGCTGTGAGCAGCTTTCCTGAGCCGGGAGGGGAGAGGTGGCGGGAGGTGCTCAGACCTGTCCTGCCTTCCTATCTGTGCCCAGATGTCTTACGCATAATATGTAAGGACATTGAACACATTGATGTGTCACATATTTAATTCTTGGACAGAAAACATTTTTGTAAAATTTGTTATTTTGCTTTTCAGTATCCATTTCCCATCCTGTTGCTAAATGAACCCCAGTGTTCTTTTGGGTAGTCACTCGTACCCCACCTCAGTCCCTGTGGTTTAGGAGGAACCCAGCCCCTCCATTCCCCGAGTCCAGGTCTGACCCATCAGAACCAGTAAGTGACACGGAGCTTTCTCTTAACATTGGAATCCTGTTGCAAAATGTCAGAATCTGTGCTTGGAAGCATCAATGAAGAACACATTTTGCATTATTTTAAATGGGAAAAATTATAATGTATGATCTTAAAATCTCCAATCAATCCCTTAATACAGCCAAAGCCCAGTAAAATGCTTATGTATCGATATGGTTTGGCTGAGTCCCCACCCAAATCTCATCTTGAATTGTAGCTCCCATAATTCCCATGTGTTGTGGGAGGGACCTGGTGGGAAGTAATTGAATCATGGAGGCAGACATTTCCCATGCCGTTCTCGTGATAGTGAGTAAGTCTCATGAGATCTAATGGTTTTATAAATGGGAGTTCCCCTGCACAAGGCCTCTTGCTTGCTGCCATGTAAGATGCAACTTTGCTCCTCCTTTGCCATTCACCATGATTGTGAGGCCTCCCCAGCCATGCGGAACTGTGAGTCCATTAAACCTCTTTCCTTTATAAATTACCCAGTCTTGGGTATGTCTTTATTAGCAGCAGGAAAACCGACTAATACATGTATGAAGGTCCAAATATTGTGTTAGGGTGCACAGTACTGACAGAATTCCTTTTTGATCAGCAAATAAATGATCAACAAGATTGGCAGCCAACTGTCGCCTGTTTGCAAATGGAGCCCTCCACCCGACCACCAGCGCAGGTCAGCATGCGCTGACCTTGGCAAGGGGCCTAGGTCCCTTGGCCCCTACTGGCACCTGGTGCACTTTTCAACACAGTTTTCAACACACGTGATTACGACAAGCATATGTTTGATGTCACTTAGTTTCTACACGTAGCTTTGTTGGATGTATTATATTAAGATTTGTTAATGGGAATTGGATTCACTCTTATGTAATCATTGGCCATTTTTTCAAAGAGAGTTCTGCACAGCTATGAATTTTGGCTATTAGAGCCAAGAGGTGATTCGCTGCAATCCCAGCCAATCCCCGCAAGGCATTCTGCAGGCGATGCCACCTGAGTCTAACGTTCAATCCCAGCCAATCCCAGCAAGGCATTCTGCAGGTGATGCCACCTGAGTCTAACGTTCAATCCCGGCCAATCCCAGCAAGGCATTCTGCAGGCGATGCCACCTGAGTCTAACGTTCAATCCCGGCCAATCCCAGCAAGGCATTCTGCAGGCGATGCCACCTGAGTCTAACGTTCAATCCCAGCCAATCCCAGCAAAGCATTCTGCAGGCGATGCCACCTGAGTCTAACGTTCAATCCCGGCCAATCCCCTCAAGGCATTCTGCAGGCGATGCCACCTGAGTCTAACGTTCAATCCCAGCCAATCCCCGCAAGGCATTCTGCAGGCGATGCCACCTGAGTCTAACGTTCAATCCCAGCCAGTCCCAGCAAGGCATTCTGCAGGTGATGCCACCTGAGTCTAACGTTCAATCCCGGCCAATCCCAGCAAGGCATTCTGCAGGTGATGCCACCTGAGTCTAACGTTCAATCCCGGCCAATCCCAGCAAGGCATTCTGCAGGCGATGCCACCTGAGTCTAAAGTTCATATGGAAAGGCGAAAGTCCTCGGACAGCCAACACCATGAGGAAGAAAAAAGAACAGAGTTGGAGAACCCACATACCTGACTTCAAGCCCTGCCGTAATACCACAGTGATCCAGAAAGCATGGTTTTGTCACCAACACAGTCATTCCCCCAGAACAGAGGGTCTTTCGCTGTGGGGTGTCACGAAGCCAATACATGAAACCGAAAGTGAGTGTCCGCAGTGCAGGCTTCATTCCGTGGCCCTGGCATTGAGAAGTGGGAGTGCGGCTCACAAATCCACTCAGCCTGGGAGGGGTGGGGAGGCTGACACACACTGACTGTCTCATGAAAGGGTTGGACACACCAAGCAAGGGGAGGAATATTCATGTCTTTTCCGGGAGCGGGCAGTGAGCTTCCTGGAACCGGAGCGCGACCTTCCTTCCTCCAGTCATCGTCATGGTGATTTCCAACCATCATGGCACTGTGGGCGTGTCACTGAGCATGGAAATGAGATGATAATAAGGCTGAAGGTCTTTTTGAAGTTTCTCGGTCAGCTATCTTGGTTTCAACCAGTCTCAGCTGGTCTGGTTAGAAAGGGAACTTTTTATCCTGGGAGTCCTGTTTCCTAAAGATAAGCAGAGTTAGCGCAGGGTAGAAATTCAGCTATGTTCCATAGGCATTCATCCCAGGTAACAGTATCAATGAAAGAACAGATAAATGGATGACTGGGACGAAACGGGGAGCCCAGGAATAGACCCACAAAAGCCCAGCCAGCTGATCTGTGACGGGGAAAGCTGACTCTGGTGTGGCCTTTCCCTGGTGGCTGGTGTCCAGGAGCAAGGACACAGGGGATGCTGGGTCACAGGGGAGAGGACACAGAGAAAGCCAGGGACACAGGGGACAGGATGCGGGGGATGCCGGGACACAGGGGAGAGGATGCAGGGGACACAGGGGATGCCGGGACACAGGGGAGAGGACGCGGGGGATGCCGGGACACAGGGGAGAGGACGCGGGGGATGCCGGGACACAGGGGAGAGGACGCGGGGGATGCCGGGACACAGGGGAGAGGACGCGGGGGATGCCGGGACACAGGGGAGAGGACGCGGGGGATGCCGGGACACAGGGGAGAGGACGCGGGGGATGCCGGGACACAGGGGAGAGGACGCGGGGGATGCCGGGACACAGGGGAGAGGACGCGGGGGATGCCGGGACACAGGGGAGAGGACGCGGGGGATGCCGGGACACAGGGGAGAGGACGCGGGGGATGCCGGGACACAGGGGAGAGGATGCGGGGGACACAGGGGATGCCCGGACACAGGGGAGAGGACGCGGGGGATGCCGGGACACAGGGGAGAGGACGCGGGGGATGCCGGGACACAGGGGAGAGGACGCGGGGGATGCCGGGACACAGGGGAGAGGACGCGGGGGATGCCGGGACACAGGGGAGAGGACGCGGGGGATGCCGGGACACAGGGGAGAGGACGCGGGGGATGCCGGGACACAGGGGAGAGGACGCGGGGGATGCCGGGACACAGGGGAGAGGACGCGGGGGATGCCGGGACACAGGGGAGAGGACGCGGGGGATGCCGGGACACAGGGGAGAGGACGCGGGGGATGCCGGGACACAGGGGAGAGGACGCGGGGGATGCCGGGACACAGGGGAGAGGACGCGGGGGATGCCGGGACACAGGGGAGAGGACGCGGGGGATGCCGGGACACAGGGGAGAGGACGCGGGGGATGCCGGGACACAGGGGAGAGGACGCGGGGGATGCCGGGACACAGGGGAGAGGATGCGGGGGACACAGGGGATGCCCGGACACAGGGGAGAGGACGCGGGGGATGCCGGGACACAGGGGAGAGGACGCGGGGGATGCCGGGACACAGGGGAGAGGATGCGGGGGATGCCGGGACACAGGGGAGAGGACGCGGGGGATGCCGGGACACAGGGGAGAGGACGCGGGGGATGCCGGGACACAGGGGAGAGGACGCGGGGGATGCCGGGACACAGGGGAGAGGACGCGGGGGATGCTGGGACACAGGGGAGAGGACGCGGGGGATGCCGGGACACAGGGGAGAGGATGCGGGGGACACAGGGCAGAGGATGCGGGGGACACAGGGCAGACGATGCCGGGACACAGGGGAGGTGATGCAGGGGACACATGCGGGGGATGCCGGGACACAGGGCAGAGGATGCGGGGGATGCCGGGACACAGGGCAGAGGATGCGGGGGATGCCGGGACACAGGGGAGAGGACGCAGGGGACGCAGGGGATGCCCGGACACAGAGGAGAGGACGCGGGGGATGCTGGGACATGGGGGAGGGGACCCAGGGGATGTTGGGGGGTACTACAGGGTAGAGTTGGGCCAGAAAACGTCTTCCATAAAGACCCAGATGGGAAATACCTTAATCTTCAAGGGCCATGGGGGCTCTCCCACAGCTACTGAAACCTGCTATTGTGTGAAAGCCGCCAGGCAGCGCAGAGACCAATGAGCCGTGACAGGCTCCCACCGGCCTTCCCCACAGAGGACGAAACTGGGCAATGAGAGCCCACAGATACCTCCTGCTCCCTTCCTCCTCTTCCTCCTACTTCCCTCCTCCTCCTCTTCCTCTTCTTCCTTCAGTTCCTTCTCCTCCTCTCTTCCTCCTCCTCCCCCCCTTCCTCCCCAACTCCTCCTCCTCATTCTCTTCCTCCTCCTTTTTGCCCTTCTCCTCCTCCTCCTCCTGTCCCTGGTGGGTGAGCCATCAGCAGTGACCAGCCACACACTGAGTCTGGGGGGAGCCACATGGATTCTGGTTTTCCCTCTGCCTTAGCCTCGCTGTGTGGCCCTGGGTGAGTCCTGTCCCTTCTCTGGGCCTCAGTTTCCCCACTTGTAAAATGAGGAAATTGGACTCATTCTTGGCTTCCCAGACTCCAGTCTTCACTTCCTACCTTCCATGTTCCATACACATTACTTATTCCATGTTTTTCTTTAAATCATCTCACTTTCAACTCCACTAAATTCCTCTAAAGATGAAACATCATTTCACTACCATAAGCAGAAAATCGTTCTCCCTTACCATAAACAGAAGGTGGCTTGAACGTGAAATGAAGGCAAAATGATGTTATTCACAACTAGCTAAGGCCTCATCTGCCCAAAGCTCTGAGTCTGATGCCCATTCACAGGGGTTGAAAAATCAAACACCATCAGGGGCCAGGAAGTGACCTGCATGCCGGATGGGGTTTTATTTGCATATTATATTCTTCAGGTGTACAGGCTCACTCAACCCTCGTAAGAGCCAGAAAAGGGGCCGGATGCAGTGGCTCACCCCTGTAATCCCAGCACTTTGGGAGGCCGAGGTGGGTGGATTGCTTGAGCCCAGGAGTTTGAGACCAGCCTGGGCAACATAGTGAGGCCCCATCTCTATTAAAATTGTTTTTAAAAAAGAGCCAGAAGTGGCAGGTGCTGTTCTCATCCCCACTCACAGACGAGGAACCTGAGGGTCTGAGACACAGGAAGCTGCTCGATCCTCCAGCCAGGATGAGGCTGAGGGAGAGCCCAGGCCAACTGGCTCTCAGAGTTTGGACTTTCAACCACGAATTTTCCACAACTGTGCGGAAATGTTCGTCCAGGGGTTCTGGAAACACTCAGTCCCCATGGTCTATCTTCTGTTTTCCTATTTTTGGTAAGCATAAAAACAAAACAAAACAAAACAAAAGCTCTTCCCTTTCCCTGTTGGTCCATTCTGAGGAAGCGTCACCCAATTGGTGACAAACAGCAAGTGGCATCAGCCCCAACGTGGGAGCGATAGGGCGTGGTGGGGACTGTGGCGCAGAGAGGGTGCAGTCCCAAGGGGAGCAGCGGCTTCACCCACAGATGCTGCAGCAAGGAGAGCCCCGTGCCAGCTGCCCAGGCTGTTGGATCCGTTCAGGGATCCGGCTTGCACGTGGGCCCACGAAGGGGGTCTGCACGCAGGCAGGGTCTCTGTTCCCCGAGCATCTATCCCCAGCACCCACAGCAGTGCCCAGCTCAGCTAGGGTACGGTAAATGATGTGTGAACTGGTGAATTCATGGAAATCTCCCACTTTTTACCTATTGGGGATTAATTCCATATTTTAAGTCTGGGCCGGCAGTGCCACGTGGTCCTCCAGGTGTGTCCTCTGTCAGGTGCTAGAGGACACCCCAAGGTCAGCAGGGGCTTCTGCTGGGTCTCTGAGCCATTATTCTCTCGCCTGCCTCACGTGAACACAGGTTTCCTGGGTGGAGTTTAGTTGAGAGATCGCAGTCATTCGCAGGAGGAAACCTGCTGCTCCCTCAGGGGCGCAGTGAGTTTCAGGCATTAGGACGGAGCCAACACCCACACTTCCTAAAGCCCTGAACATAAATTTCTCTCGACTCCCTTTTATTGGGAATTAGCAAATCAAACGCTGTATTTTTCAGTGTCTCAAATCTCCCTTCCTTCCAGCTGAGCCCAAGGAGAGTGAAGGGCAGAGGGTGGCACAAGGTAGAGATTTGAGAAGTTTAATTAAAGCCTCAGGTTCAGGCGTGGGGTGATCCTGATCCATCACCAAGTTGTGGCTGCTCCCACTTCATGAAGAGACAGCCCAGCCCTGAGGATCAGAGCCATCTCTCAGATGGAGGAGAAGTCAACGCCTGACAGCCTTCGCTCATTTGACAGATGCTTCCCCTGAATTCTCCTCTTGGTAATAAAGTGGTCTCCATGGTAACTGTTGAGGTCTTGATGATGGATTAGACGGGCTGTTTTTAATCATCCTGAAAACAATGCTGGCAGTCACATAAAATCCTTCTAGAACCTTCCAGCTCAGCCCAGCCACCAGCAAGATGCAACTGAGGAAGGGAACCCAGGCAACGCCACAGCAGAAGAGCCACCCGGCTGGGCCCTGCCAGAGATCCTGACCACAGAATTGTCAGAAATAATAAATTATTGATTTTGTTTGAAGTGACAGCATTTTTGGGTGGTTTGTTAAGCAGTGAGACACAAGTGAGGACAGGTGGCACAGACCGGGCATAGCTGGGACTTTAGTCAGCCAGGAGGAGCTGCCCCGCACAGCTGTCCACCAGTCTAGGACCCAGGCCACACCACCCTGCACCTGGTTACCTGCAGCTCATGTTAGTGCTGCCTGGCTGTGTGTGTACCCTCTTTCTCATTAGGTGCTTTAGTGCCCTCCTGGAATGTCAGGATTTAATTTCCATTCAGCTTTAATGAGTCCTCCTGATCGTGTGCTCACACACTGAAATTAATTTCTCCAGCCTGGCTTTGGCGATTTTCATCCTTAATTCCTCTGTGTCCCCAGGGCACCTCCAGGCATGTTGTCTTAATTCATCTTCTGTGATTCAACAAAGGGATTGTCCCAGCGTGGGGCACCCGCATGCCACGCACGTCTCACCGCAGCCACACCTGGGCCAGGTAGGATTAGTTCAGAGCTGCTTTTGAGGGGCTGTTGTCATGGACACCAAGGGGCAGGTCCATTTCTGGTCACAGACGTGCATCCAGCTTCTGTCTGCAGCCAAATGGAAGCAGCTGCATTTGCTGAAGCCACAGGGGCCTGTGGTCGCCGGTCCTGGGTCATTTTGCCTGCCTGGCATTTGTTCCCTCTCCTTCCAGTAACAAGCCCTGATGGGCTCTGCGCAGCCACACCGTCCCCCTCAGCTGTCACAGCCCCGTTGGAATTGCTTTCTCCTGGGCCAAGCATTTCACAGAGGCTGCACCACTCAGCCCCTCCTAGTCCGCTGGAGAAAGTGGCTGAGGGGGTGGTGGGGGATAATTGCATTTCCAAAGTCCGGGCAATCAGCCAATGTAAACAGGCACCTGCATCACTGTGTGGGCTCTCTAGGCAACAGGTAAAATACATCAAATACACACAATTTCCTGACATTCCAATGCATTTCTGCGTGAGCTGGGATGGGGGAGGCCGCTGTTCCTCTGGGCTGTTTCTCCTCTCAGCTCTGAGCCGAGCAGCAGGTGGGCTCCTGAATCCCCATCTCCAGGCTCAGGGCTGCTGGCCACCTGCCTGACAGCCCCTTTCTCACCCGAGCCAGGGGCTCTCTGCCCTGCTCTGCAGAAACCTCCCTGGCCTGGCCACCTGCCTGACAGCCCCTTTCTCACCCGAGCCAGGGGCTCTCTGCCCTGCTCTGCAGAAACCTCCCTGGCCTGGCCACCTGCCTGACAGCCCCTTTCTTTTTGTGTTTTCTTTTTTTTTTTTTTTTTTTTGAGATGGACTTTCACTCTTGTTGCCTAGGCTGGGGTGCAATGGCGTGATCTCGACTCACTGCAACTTTTGCCTCCCAGGTTCAAGCGATTCTTCTCCCTCAGCCTCCAGAGTAGCTGGGATTATAGGCATACACCACCACACCCGGCTAATTTTGTATTTTTAGTAGAGATGGGGGTTTCTCCATGTTGGTCAGGCTGGTCGCGAACTCCCAACCTCAGGTGATCCACCTGTCTTGGCTTCCCAAAGTGCTGGGATTACAGGTGTAAGCCACTGCGCCTGGCCTGACAGCCCCTTTCTCACCGGAGCCAGGCGCTCTCTGCCCTGCTCTGCAGAAACCTCCCTGTCCTGGCCAGCAGCCTCAGAGGCCTCAGAAAATGTCCTGGCTGCAGGTGAAAGAAGACGAGGGTGCAGCTTCCCCAGCGTGCTCTGAGCTCAACCCACCAGACACAACCCCTTCTCACGGTCATACGGGCCCCCGGGCTCCCCTGTGGGAAAGGCCAGTGGAAATGGCAGCATGGACGGAGGCATCCGTGGCCCTGTGATGCATGGCTGTGTCAATGGCTGATCTGAGAATTCACCCGGTCCTCAGTGCCCCATCCCTGCCGCCCCATCCTGCTGCTCTTCTCCTTCTCTCTCACAAACTTCTGCCCCTCTGGGCTCCTCACTGAGGACCACCAGGACTGTTCCTAACACCGATGCTGGCCGGAATGTCTGGGCATCCCTCCCACATGGTCTGTGCCTAGACAGGGATGGGCGCTGGTGTGAGGCCCACTGGAGGGGAGACCAAGGGTGGGTAGCTCACCCAGGTGCTGAGGGAATCCAGGCAGAGCACAGTGTCCTTTGCTGCAGGGTCTGAGGGTTCTCTGCCCATAGAGCCGCTGTGGCTATGCCGTGTTACACCTCCAGAAGATGTGCCTTGTTATGCCCTAGGCACTTATAAAGAAAGGAATTCTCTTGGGAGGCTGAGGCGGGTGGATTGCTTTAGGTCAGGAGTTCAAGATCAGCCTGGCCAGCCTGGCCAACATAGTGAAACCCTGTCTCTACTAAAAATACGAAAAATTAGCTGGGCATGGGGGTGTGTTGGTGGGTGCCCGTAATCCCAGCTACTCAGGAGGCTGAGGCAGGAGAATCACTTGAACCTGGGAGGTGGAGGTTTCAGTGAGCCAAGATCATGCCATTGCACTCCAGCCTGTCAAGAGGAAGACTCTGTCTCAAAAAAAAAAAAAAAAAAGGAATTCTGTGTCCACAATGTATTGCTGTGCTTTAAAAGTTTGAATTTATAGTGGAAAAGCAGCAAGAACACATGAGCTTCAAGGACAGCCCTGGAGATAGGTCTGATGATTGCACTTGGTCCACCAAAGCTTCCCATGAGAACAATAGGTTGCTTCTGCTGACACCCCCAGCCCCCAGCTCATCTCTCAGGAGGCTGAGGGGTCCCAGGTCCACAGTGTGCCCCAGGGCTCACCCTCTAGCAGGAGTCCTGCCTTCCTCAGTGAGAAATTCTCACCACGCAAGTAGGGTGTAGGGCACTATATGACACAAACCTAATGGGAGCTGATGAAAAGCAAAATGATTTCATCTGCATCTCTCAAGTTCTTAGCAAGCTTCCACTGGGCTCTGAGTTCCAGGCCTGTTTTGCATACACTCAGCGTCTGTTAGGCATTGGATTTAAATTACGACTTTTGAGGATTCTGAACGGTAACAGGCATCCATACCCTGTCTATGTGTATTCCTCAGCCTTATTGCTGCATCAGCTCCACCAAAGCTCATTTCTTGAGAAATGTCAAAATGCAACCTCCCCTTCAGTTTACTTTTTAACCCTCTTTTAACTATGTTTTCTAGACTGGAATTTCCTTTTTCAAGAAAGGTTGACATACAAAGACATGTCACCTTGACAGTGTTCTTTATCTTTGTCAAAATGGAAGGGCTTCCAGCACTTGTGTTGTAAAAAAGAAAAAGGAAACAAAACTGAAGGACATTTTCTTTCTCTTCCTTCTATTTCAGTCTACTGTAGGTCAAAAATTATTTACACATTTTTGGTTCTCCCATGTTGTTTGTGTACATTGTCAATGAAAAGAGCCAAACTCTGTAAAATATTTGAAGAGATTTATTCTGAGCCAAATATAAGTGAGCAATGTCCTGTGACACAGCCCTCAGGAGATCCTGAGAAAATGTGCCTAAGGTGGTTGGGCCACAACTTGTTTTTGTATATTTTAGGGAGACACAAGACATCAATGAATACACATAAGATGTACATTGGTTTGGTCCACAAAGGTGGGACAACTGGAAGTGGGGACTTCCAAGTCATGGGTGGATTCAAAGGTTTTCTGATTGGCAATTGGCTGAAAGAGTTATCATTGATAGACAGGAATATCCAGGCTAAGATAAAGGGTTGTGGAGAGGGAAGTTTTATTGTGCAGATGAAGCCTCCAGTTAGCAGGCTTTAGAGAGAATGGACTATAAATATATTTTTTTCTCTTTTTATTTTTATCACACTGAGTCTGTTCCAGTAGTTCCAGAAGGGAGGAGGGTATCATGAGGCATGCCTGGCTCCCCCTTCCCATCATGGCCTGAACTAGGTTTTCAGGTTAACTTTGGAATACCCTTGGCTGAGAGGAAGAGTCCATCCAGATAGTTGGTGAGGCCTTAGAATTTTATTTTTGGTTTACAATATGTACTTCAGGCTTCCTGGATGGTCCTTTTAAATAACCTTGTACTTCCCTGAGGGGGATGATCATGTTGTAGTTAGCATTGTGATACAGGTGCTAGAAAGAAATTGTTTAGGCAGTTAGTGAGGAGAAGAGAGTCCTTGGCAAGGTTTCCCTTTTAACAAAAAGCAGCCCCCAAATCATTTCTTTTCTAACAAAGAGCAGCCTGAAAAATCAAGCTGCAGACATAGAAAAGCAAGCTAGAAGCTTGCACTGGGGAATGCCAGCAGCTGGGCCAAAACGAAAAGCCTACCTGTGAGCCAGACATGTTCAACATGGAGGCTCCATCTTCCCTTTTCTTTGTCAACCACGTGTACAGTAAAGAAGCAGGCAACAAGCCACCATCCAGATAGAGATGCCATCTGCATAATAAAAGATTAGGGTGGGACGGCCAGCTTCTTCACGTGTTATGCAAATGGCCCACCTGGTCTGACCAATCTCTCGCCCCCTATGCAAATCAGACACTGCCTCCTCAAGCTTATCTGTAAAACCCCATGCATTTCACCACAGGACCAGAAGACCCACTTGGGAGCCCCTCTCTCTCTGCAGGACAGAGAGCTTTTCTCTTTCTTTCACCTATTAAACCTCCACTGTTAACCTCACTCTTTGTGTGTCCACGTTCTTGATTTCCTTGGCATGAGGCAACGAACCTTGGGTATTACCCCAGACGAATGACGCCACTTCCATTGCAGAGCCTGGAGTCAGATAGCTCAGGTATGGTCCTGTCTCTACCCTCACTGGGTGTGGCCTTGATGCAGTCATTTTGTCTCCCTTAGCTTTGGTTTTCACATCTACATTATAGGAAAAATCACACGAAGTAGATGGAATAAGTCAGAAAATACACAGAGTTTAGCCTGGCACATAGCAAGCACTCAATGAATGTCATTATGGTCATTATTATAATTGCTAAACTTTTCCCTTTATGCTAATTTGTTCCCTCAGGGTACATTGCTCTCCAAGAACATTTGTATAGTGGCTCCTGGTTATTTATAAAGATCCAAAATGACTCAGGCTTTATCAGACTGGAACCAAGGGAGGGACACAAGAGGAGTCCTTGCTGAAAAGAAAAAAAAACAAATCAAAACAAAACAAAACAAAACAAAACAGTAGTCCCCACATCTGAGACACATACTATGTGTCAAACACTGTGTTAGGTACAATTGTGTCTGTTTGTTAATTCCTGCAGCATTCCAGTCAGATATGTACTATGACTATCTCCATTTAACAGACAAAGAAAAGGAGACTCAGAGAGGCTCAGTAACTTGCCTCAGGCCCACAGCACAGACCTCATAGCTGACCCCGAAGTCCTTGCTCATTTTCCTCTCACTACTCTTCCTCTCTGTTCCATTCCTAGTCCTTTCAAGCTCAATTCCCAGATCTCTGTAGCACAGTATAAACAAGATAGCTGTAAACTTTTCACTTTAATTCATATTTTTCTGAGCCCTACTCTGAAACAAAGATTTTTTTACATCTTTTTTCTCTTTTTAATTGGGTTTGTTTAATGTCTACTGCTCTATCTTCTAGATTACTTATTCTTTCCTTAGCTGTGTCAAGTTCACTGACAAGTCTGTGGAAGGCATCTGCATTGCTGTCACTATGTTATTTTCTCTTATATTAGCATTTAATTCAGTACAGTTGCCATCTCTTCAGTAAAATTCCTGACCTGTTAATGTATGTTTTTCATATTTTTCATTAGATCCCTTAACATAGTATCATCATTATTTTAAATTCCCTGACTTATAGTTCCAACATCTGTGACATATTTGTCTAATTTTGTTGGTTGCTTTGTCTCTTGACAATGAACTCTTTTGTGCTTTTTTCTGTGTCTTGTAATTTTTGGTTGGAAATTGGACATCAGCATATATAATTCAAAATTAAGATAAACACTGGACAATACAAATTGAGATAAATAGTATTTATACCTGGAAATTGGCATGCCTCTTCCTTTAATAGGCCTTTTTTTGAGAGTTGAAGGATAAGTAAATCTTTTCCCTCTGCATGGAATGTAGCATTTGCTCTTCCCTCTGTCTAGAATGTTCTTCCTGATATATCCACATGTCTGATTCCTTCTCAGCTTTGAGTTCTCAGCACAAAACTTGCTTCAGTGAGAACTTCTTTGACCCTATGGAAGTGGCCTCCCCAAGTTTTTATCTATCTTTTCACTTTTTGGTTTCTTTTGTAGCAATTATCACTATCTAAAATTATATTGCTTTGCTACTCATTTTGTCATTTTACATCTGTTTTCTAAGAGAGAAGGGCCCTTATTAACTTTGATCTCCCTTGGTCAACAGTGCATGGACAGTGTCAGTGATGTAGTAGACAAAACTCTCCTGAAGCAATGAAGAAACCAGTGCACAAATGAATGAATTAAACAACTTTTTATGAGTCTAATGAAGAAACTCTGCTGGGTTTTCCTCCTTTGCTATGAAGCCTTCCTCCCTCCTCCCTGGACTGTAAGGAGGTAGTGCTCCCAAGTCATGAGGCTGAGGAAAGAATCAGATCTTCACCTGTGGCTTCCTCAATGCAGTGCTTCTTCTCCCAGTCCAGCCCTGTCTCTCTTCCTCTTTCCTACATTTGACTACTGCTTCTGCTATCTCCTCCTCAGCCCAGCGGCACCCAGAACTTGGTTGAGCAGTCCTTGTGCCCACCCTGAAGTCTGCTCACCCTGAGTGTCCACCCTAACCCCTACCACCCCAAATCCAGAGTGGTATCAGACTCACATCAGTTTTGTTGGCCCTGGGTCAATCTTACTTCCTGGTTAATAAAACAAATCTTTTTGTTTCTCTTTGGTCTTAAAAGAAATTTGACATTTGTTAACACTGAATTTAACCTTCTCTCCCAAAGCACTCTTGTAAATGCAGTGGGCATCTATTCCCAAGCCATCAACTCATGTGTGCAGAATCGCCTGGTTCCTTTATAACTGAGTATAGTCTTTCTCAACAGCCCACACATTGCCTAATGGCAGAAAAGAGTAGACTCAGTTCCAGGGGAACGGCGTCAATTTGGGGTGGTAGTGTCTTTTTAGACCATTGAGGATTTTCTCCCTTCCCTGCTCTGTTGCCTGTATGTTGCTGGTTCTCATGGGGCCAGGGTGAGATCCTCAGCCATCCCCTCTCATGCCAACACCTGCTGTTCGTGCATGTCCCATTCAGGATCTGGCTGTGCAGTACTCAGCGTGCCTGGTGTCACCTCCTCTAGCCCAGAGCAGCCATGCTGCCACATCCCTCCCTCCACTGCCTGACCTGGTCCTCTGGGGCCCAGGGTGCATCACTCCCTCGCTCACGTACTGGGAGATAAGATCCCAGTCTCTCCCGAGTCTCTGTGCCCTGAAGCCTCACCAGCCACATTTTCTCTGTGTACCCTCATCTGGCAGTGTGGGGCCCACTGTGACGTCACTGCTTACAGATTCCCAGGTAGGAAATGAACCCAAGTCCTCTTTGCTTTCAGTCACCAGATGTCTCGGGGTCATGCGTCATTTTCCATTTTAGGACTAAGAGAGAGATGGCGTTTGGTGCAGGGCCCCTTCTCGCAGACCCTCCCCGGGGTCTCTATTTCTTCTCTGATTCTTTTCTCTTCCCCCACCCAGAAATAATTTCTACCTATTTTAGGACTAGGAAAAAAAAACTGGCTTAGAAAACATTTTCCAAGAGTCTCTGCATTGCAGCATGTACTTGAAACACACGCATTCTAAGAGCAGTAATTTATTGCTTTGTTCTCTATTTTGGCTGAAGGGCTTCCTCTTGGGAGCTAAAGCCTCAACAGTGAGGACCCTAGTGGGGAAGGGTCAGGGAATAAAAGAGACAACCCAAGGCAAACATACATCAGTCAAATCTTCACAGTATTATCCTGCTGCGTGGGCATTGCTGGCCTTTTCTGGAGGGGAATCACCAGCCTTGGAGACTCTGCTCTTGAATGGCCCAGCAGCGGGCATGGGGAGCTGCCGCTCGTATCTCCAGGCCCCACTCAGAGGGACCCCGATTCACTGTCCCTATGTCAGCCTGCCACAGGGGTTTTCCTCAAATCTCCTGAGCCAGCAGGGAGGGGAGACCCCAGGAGGCTCAGTGGCAGCACAGCCTGAGCCCCCTACTGCCCACCATCAGCACACTCCCCCTTCTCCCTGTCCTCTGCCCATGAGGGATGCATGCAAGGGCACCATGAACATGCTGCACCCACAGACCACTCTGCAGGTGGCTCAGAGGGGACAGGTGGAGGAGGAGGGAGGAGGGAGATAGAGAGGAGGAGGAGAAGGAGAAGCGGGGGAGGACAGGCAGGAGAAAAAGGAGGAGGGAGAAGGAGGAGGACGTGGGAGAGGAGGGTAAGGGGAAGAGGAGAAAGCCACAGAGACCTGAGCAGGCCAGACTCCTCTGAGGGACTCATAGGAGTGAGGATGTCCCAGTGAGGCCACAAGAACAGCCATGCCTGGGCCAGGTGCCCTCCCAGACAATGTCACGGCATCATACGGCCCCCACGCATGTGTCAAAGCCCTTACCTTAAGAACAAACGATGACATTGGCTGATTAGGTCAACATGAGCTCCTGTAAAGGGTCTCAGGGAGTGTGCAGAACTGTCCTCGGGAGGGCTGGGGACCAGGGCTGGGAGGATGCACAGAGCCAGCCGGTGAGGAATCAGCCCTCGCTGCAGCTGCCGCCAGCTCCACACACACCTGGGTGCAAGGGGAGGAGGTGGGATTTCTGATCCAGCTCACATTCATATGTCTGCAAATTTGCCAAACATATGTATTTTAAAAATGCTCACTTTACCCTTGCAGAACTTAGAACACCAGGGAAAAGACTGACCTTTTCCAGGAGACCCTGACCTGGCTGGGATGACCTCTCCACCAAGGACGCAGATGGGAGAAAGAAACGGAAGTGCATTTCCATTATAGAAAGACGATTTCAAAGTCACTTTCTTGCACACGGGGTTGCAGACTGAGCTTCTTAGTTAATGTGTCTTTTACTCCGAATCAGCCATGGTGATGGAACGTGTTTTCCCAGAATTCCAGCTCTCTCTGCACAAGCTCCTGCCCAGCCTTCTGACTGGGAAGGCCCCGTGCAAATGCCTGGGAGGGAAGCAGACTGTCCTGCAGTGAATTCTGTTTAGCAGCTGCTGTTCCTGGCTGTTGAAAGGCGGTGGGATTTCCTGCTCCATGGAGGATAATTAATCTGAATAAAAAGAACGAAGGCAGGAAAGGTTACTCCAGCCCACCGTGGAGGGCCAAGGGCAGGGTTTGTCTGCACACTGCGGGGATACGTCCTCCTTTACTTAGCAGCTGCCACCAGGTCCCTGGTCACCCTTACCCTGGAGGAAATGTCCTGTAGCCCTCAGGGACACAACACGTGTGCCACCCGTGATTAAGCTTTGGCCTTTATGTCCTGTGAATTCATGCCATGTCTTGTTGTAATTAACTTTGCACAAATCTATTGATCTGAACCGTCAGTGAGTGGACAACTGCTGCATGACAGTCACTCATGTCCATTTCCCTCCTTCAACCACAACATCCCATTTCCTGCTGGGAAGAGACCTCGCAGACACTGTTCAATCCAGGTGAAAATGCCCCTCTTAACCCAAGCAGCCCCCCTCACTCGGGTCCTAAGTGAGACCCGCGTGGGCAGAGTGAGTCAGTGGGGCCCATGCACTCCAGGGAGACCCCGAACAGGCTCCGTGAGCCGCTCCTGCTTGTGGACCCCGAGCTGTCCTTTCCCAGCCAGGTGTTCCACCCTCCCCTTCGGTTTCCATTGCTTGTCACCCCAAAAGTCCTGACTGCTTTGGTCAGCCACCCCAAGAGCACCTGGATACTGGGGTCATGTTAGCGCTGCGCCAGTGAGCCATGGGGCCTGGATGGGGAATCTGGCTGCCTGAGGCTTGAGCAGAGCCCCTGGACGGGATAAACTCGCTCATCCAAGAACCATTCACTGAGCACCCATGCTGTGCCAAGCAAGCACCTGTTAAACGTGCACGTGATAATCAGAGAAAAAGCTCAATGTTAATAGTGAACTGGTGAGCGCAGAGGGCTGGTGTGGAGGGCAGTGGTGTTAGTTCACTTCTGGGTTGACCAAGGAGTTGTCCCTCATCTATCCCAAGACTTAACCCTGGAGATAATTAAACTACATGCTTAACACCTTCAGTACTGAAAGGGGTTTATTGACTTTGGGTTTATGTAAGTCACAGCTATCGATAGCAGCTGGATATCTTCATGTGTCTTATTTTATCTGATGTGGGATTTTCAGTTGGGATTGTTAAAAAAAAAAAAAAAAAGACCTGTAATCCCAGCACTTTGGGAGGCTGAGGCAGGCAGATCACAAGGTCAAGAGATCGAGACCATCCTGGCCAACATGGTGAAACCCCATCTCTACTAAAAATACAAAAATCAGCTGGGCATAGTGGCGGGCACCTGTAATCCCAGCTACTCGGGAGGCTGAGGCAGGAGAATTGCTTAAACCAAGGAGGCAGAAGTTGCAGTGAGCCAAGATTGCACCACTGCACTCCAGCCTGGTGACAGAGCGAGACTCTGTCTAAAAAAAAAAAAAAAAAAAAAAAAAACCTCAAATGAAAATGAATAAATGTCTCATTAACAATTTAATTTGAGCCTGGAGTTTCAGGACAAATTTTGTGATTGTCAGAATTTTAGATCACTCTGATGGGGAGACATTTCTGCACTGTTGATCCATACATGTGGCCTAATCTAAGTTCTCATTAACTCCTGGCTAGAAGTCTGGATGGAAGGTGTAGTGGGTTGAATCGTGGTCCCCAAAAAGATATGTCTATGTCCTAATACTGGAAGCTGTGAACGTAGTCTTATTTGGAAACAGGGTCTTTGTAGATGTAATTTAAGGATCTCAAGAAGAGATCATCCTGGATTAAGGGTGTAAATTCAGTGACTAGTGTCCTTACAAGAGAAAATCACAGGAATATTTGAAACCTGAAGACACAAGAAAGCCATGTGAAGACGTAGGCTGACATTGAAATGATGCATGTACAAGCCAAGGAACGCCAAAGGTTTCCAGCAGCCACCAGACGCTGTAGAGAGACGTGAGATGGAGGGTGCCTCAGAGCCCCTGGAAAGAACCATCCCTGCACAATCCTTGGTTTTGCACTTCTGACCTTCAGAGCTGTGAGAGAATAAATACCCACTGTTATGAGCCACTCTTTGCCCCCTAAGGAAGAGCAGCAGAGTGGGGTGTCAGGGGCTGGAGAGAAAGAGCAGGTGGAGCTGCCTGGGCCCCAGCTGGATGCTGCTAATCTCCACCTCCTACCCAGGATGTGGCTGCCCAGAGGTGCACAGACACTGACCACCCCACGGGAGCTCACTGTAGCCCCATGTCCATGGCTGTAGCCTCAGTGCCAAGACCAACACCTCCTACATAGTACCTGCTCAGAACAGGCATTAGAATGAATGCACGGATGGATGTTATCAGAGGATAGGAATCCAATATATCTTCTTTTCTAATTGTAGTAAGAACACTTAACTAGAGATCTACCCTCTTGTCACACTTTTAAGTGTGCATTACAGCATTGTAAACTATAGGCACAGTGTTGTACAACAGATCCCCAGAACTTACTCATCTTGGAGAACTGAAACTCATACCAGCTGAACGGCAACTCCCCACATCCCCTTCCCCAGTCCCAGGCCACCCCCATTCTACGGTGTTTCTATGAGTTTGACTATTTTAGAGGCCTCCTACAAATGGAATCGAAGGCAAAAGACCTGAATACACATTTCTCCAAAGAAGACATACAAATGACCAACAGGTGTATGAAAAAGATGCTCAACATCATGAATCAGGGGGGAAATGCAAATCCAAACCACACCTGTTGGGAGACCATTATCAAAAATACAAGAGGTAAGTGCTGGTGAGGAGATGGAGAAGTTGGAACCACCGTATACCCCAGAAAGGAATGTAAAATGATGTAGTTGCTATGGAAAACAATATGGAAGCTTCTCAAAAAATTAAAACTAGCACAGCTGTATGATTCAGCCATCCCACTTCTGGGCAGTTATCCAGATGAACTGAGCTTAGGATCTGGAAGAGATATCGGCAATCCTCGTTGCAGCACTGTCACAGCAGCAAAGATATGCGAACAACCTAAATTCCCACCGACAGCTGAATGGATGAGGACAATGTGAAGGTACACACACAATGGAACACGAGCCAGCCAACCAACAGGGAAATCCTACCATTCGCAATAACACGGATGAACCTGGAGGGCATCATTCTAAGTAAAAGAAGCCAGAAACAGAAGAACTCACTGGGTCTTGAGCTCAGAAGTTGTTCAGCAAACTCTTCTCTGCAGAAGCAAGTTTGAGAGGGGAATGCAGGGAGCTCCTTACCTAGGAGATACTGACATGGCTGTGGGCAGTGATGTGGGAGAGGCTTGCCCACCCAGCCTCAAAGTGAGGTCCAAGCCTCGGGTGGACATAGAGGCTGTTGGGTTACACCATGGAGAGGTGCAGACAGAGACCCCCTACAGGCTGCCGTGTCCACTCCAGGGCGAGCCCTAGACACACCCTCCAGGCTCTTGATGACCATTCTTGGACCTTGGCCCAGTAGGACCATGGCAGGCCCAAGCTGGTCAAGGCCCTGTGGCCAACCTCCCATACATTTCCAAAGGGCTGTGGGGCCTTCACAGTCTTGGCCACACAGGCCATGCCCTCAGAGAACATCTATTTCTCCTACACCCTGCACAGATGGGGCAGTCAGGAGAAGCCACCTGAAGTATTGGCTGAGAGCACCACTTGGGGGGACCAATGGCTTGTTCCATGGGGACATATTATGAAAGTAACAAATCCTGAACAGAGGCTAGGCTCTTCTGCTTGACAAGAGGCAGTGACAGGATCTCCCTGTGCAGTAAGGTCAGAGGGCTCTGGAGCTGGACTGCCCTGTCCACACCCTGCCCACTTGCCAGCTATGTGCTGGTACTCAGGACCTGAGCCTCAGTTTCCACAGCTGTAGAATGGGGAGGCAAACATGGCCTCACCCATAGGCCTGCCATGAGTATCAGTGAGATCATTCACACATGTTAGCACAGTGCCTGGTGAAGGGTGTGCTCTATAAATGGCCAGTGTCATTACCTGATACTTTCACTGTGCAAGGAAAAAAGAAAGAGAGAAGGCGGATGTATTAGTTTGTTCTCATACTGCTATAAGAAATGCCTGAGACTGGGTAATTTACAAAGGAGAGAGGTTTAATTGACTCACAGTTCCGTATGACTGGGGAGGCCTCAGGAGACTTACAGTCATGGCAGAAGGTGAGGAGGAGGCAGGCACCTTCTTCACAAGGTGGCAGGTGAGAGAATGAATGAAGGCGGAACTTGCAAACTTATAAAACCATCAAATCTCATGAGAACTCACTCACTATCACAAGGACAGCATGAGGGAAACTGCCCCCATGATCCAATCACTTCCCACTGTGTCCCTCCAATGACAGCTGGGGATTGTGGGGATTACAATTCAAGATGAGATTTGGGTGGGGACACAGCCTAACCACACCAGTGGAAAAGAGGAGGTGGAGGATGCATTTCTGTGAGTTGAATATACTTGAACTTCAGACAGCAGAGCCAGGCTTCATAGAGCATCCTTGGACCACCATGCCTGGGACCTTCCCCCCTCTACTGAGGCCCAAACAAACCTGCTTCTGGAACTGGCCCAATTTCCCCATAGAAACAAAGCTTGAGAAGATTATTATCTGAGTTCATGTCTCAGGAAACCAACCGTCAGGACTTCCAGATAGTATCAAGGAACTGAACTTTCCCAGATCACTGCATCCAACCAATGAGACTTGCTGTTTGTTGGCCAACTCCTCTTCCTTACTCCTAACTAGTGGGTTAGAGAGATTCATTTGGGACTGGTCTGCATTCAAGCCTTTCTTCTCTGGCAGTACTTGTCTCAGTGATTGGCTTTCTATGTGATGAGTAACTGGACCTAACCAAACCCCTGGTGCTTGGCAACACATCCCTGAGGATGCAGGAATCTGGGCTGAGGAACAAGGGGAAGGGAGTCCACGGCTCCAGCGTGGGAACAGGTGCATCTGTCAGGAGGGTTCAGCTGTGGGAACAGGGACACCCACATAAGAGTGGCTTCAATAAAATGGGGATTCTCCTGTTATAGACACTCCAAGAATAAGCTGTCCAGGGTCCTGTGGTGACCCCAGGGTGTCAAGGTCTCAATTTTTCTCCACCAGCCCTTGATGCCTCTTTACCCTACTGTGATTCAAGATGGCTCCAGGAATCCACTTCCCTTCAGGGGCAAGGGGAGAGGAAGAAGAGAGCAGGCTTTAGGGGCATGACCTGGAGGTGCTACACACAATTTTCTCTCTCATCCCATTGGCCAGAACATGGTCACGTGACCACACCTTGCCGCAAGGGAGCATGGGAATTGTAGTCTTTATTCCGGGAATTCATGTGTCCTGCTAAATCCTGGGGACTCTATTGCCACAGCACAAAAAGGAGGAAAGCACATTGGGGGGCTGTAGTTACTGCCCCAAGGTTGTGCCCAGGAGGAGTCTCAAAGACTTGAGGGCCCTTCCCATTTATAAACGTAAGTAATTAGAGATGAACAAGGCAGAACTCAAGAGAGAAATCTCAGCTGGGTCGGGTGATCACCCACAAGGATAGGGAAAGAAAAAGAGGAGATATCAAGCAAGCTAGAATTTTAAGTTCATGAGGCTTGTTTTCCTAGAAGTAATTAGATAATACAAATTTAAAACTTAAAAAGAAAAAGACAACAGCCAGCTCCACGTGGGAAGGATGTGGAAACTGCTTCTTAAAACATTTATGCTACCTCAGCCAGAAGAGCCCGCCGTGAATGCCTAATGATATTTTTAAGTTGCTTTTGTGCTATTGGACTCTCTTTAGCAGTTATCGCTCTTGTTATTTGTCATGACGACAAGTCATTTAATGCATTTCATAAGATCCATGTGTCAACTGTCTTCCCTTTGCAATGTGAATTCAAACACAGCAATCTCGCTAACAGCTATTTCCTTCCCTGGTCTCCAGTACCACCCAGGAAGCTCTCCTTGGGGCAGGCAGGGTGCCCTGTCCCTCTGCCCGTGGAGCTCCAGGCAGCAGGCATGGGCAGTACCGCTGCTCCATGTGCACACAAGGCCCAGACTCCACACAGGAAAACTGCCATCTGAAAGGAGAATTGGAACGCACAGCCCATCTGACTCTTGTCTTACTGAGACGTTAAACAGGAACACTCCCCATATCTGTATGCACAGAAGACAATACCGCCAGCTGTGTGAGGACCAATCTTTCTCTCTCTTTTGGTGCACAATTTTCCTGCACAATAACCACTGACTTGTCTTTCATTTCTGAAGACAATTGTCCACCCGAGTGTCAGATGAAGGGTGAATGATTTCCGAGATACAGCGCGGGAGCACGACCATGTTTCCAGTGCTGAGGCTTTCTCTGCAGCTCTCTGAACCTGTGTTGGTGCGTCTGCAGGCAGACGCCCCAGTCTGTGCTCGGGAGGCAGCCCTTGAAAGGGAGCCAGGAGGCCCAGACACACACAGGCACCTGTGCCCAAATCCGGGCGATGATCCAGAAATTAAGCGCCCAGGTCTGTCTCTAATTGCACGTTTCAGCAGCGCCGCCCACCTAATACATCACTCTCTGATGTGAAGGGAGGGGGAAATTGCAGCCAGCCAGTCTGGTCTTTCCTCTGGAAAGGTTGGGAGATGTCAGAGGAGTGGCAGTAGCAAGTCGTCTCACGTGAACCCGGAGGTGCTCTGTGGTCCCCAAGGGGCGGAGCCTGCAGCTGCTGGGGTCTGGGATGGAGGGGCTTTGCACTGGACCACCTGAGCTATCCAGGGTGTGGGGCTCCATAGAGGCCCAGATAGGGGCTCAGGGACCTCCAGCCAGGGCAGAAGAGCTCAGGGGTGGTTTCCTGGCTCTCTGCAGTGAGTAGGGTGTTAGAAGGCACCAAAACAAGGCCCCTCCCCCTTGGATCTGCAGGGCATGGGCTGGTCGTATGTCAGCTGTTGCTGCCACAGAAGTCAGGCTTCCAGGGGTGGAGTGAGCCCTGGGGTGACCTGGTGATTCTGCAGCCACTGTGACAAGGCATGGAGTGTCTTACGGGTCCCCTGCGGTCCAGTGTTAGAGCACCAAGTTACGTAACCCATGTGACCCTGGGCTTCCCAACACGGCGCAGGCTTTCCCGTAGACCCTCCTTCACACTGGAGCCCCTTTGACAGGAAGGGTGAGATCAAAGGAATCCTTCTCTCCATGAGGAATGCCGGCGCTTGCAGCAGCTGCTCTGCGAGGGCCCGCATGTTTGCAGACCCGGACCTCAGGAAGGGAATGCAGGTGACCACAGCAGCGCATTCGGGAAGGTTCGGGGCCAGCTGGCGGCCACATGAGGAGCCTGCCCTCCCAGGTCAGTTGGTTTCCTGGCTCTGGTGCTCTAGCCCAGCGTGGCACAGCTGCCTGTGCCCTGCTCAGAGGACTCCAGGTCTCTTCTAGGACTGCCCATCTCTCTCCCTGCAGGTTCCTCGGTCAGGGATGGAGGCTGCAGAGTCATCCCCGCTCCATGGTCCGGGCCCTGCCCTCAGGGGGCAGGACAGGAACCTCCCATGTCCATCACAGGACCCTCCCTTCCCAGGAGGAGGCCCAAGTGTGGCTGAGGGTACCTTCAGAAAGCGGCAGCCGCTGCCCGCATGGGACTCCGGGAGGCTGGGGACAGGTGCTCCAGGGCCTCCTTCCATTGCCAGCGCCTGCCCTCTGTGCTCTGGTCCCCGGAGCTGCAGGAGCCCAGGGTGAGGGATCCGCACATGCCTCCCCAGTGCAGGCAGACAAATCACAGTGTCCACGGGGCAGAGATTACAGCATGGCAGGGACTGGTGAAGAGCGGCCCATACCAGGTGCAAGCAATGAGGGGGCCCAGAAAGACTGGGATACAAGCATGGGCTGTGATTCTCAAGCACATCAGGTTGCCACTCAGGGCAGTTGCCTCCCATCCTGGGCTCATCACCTGGCACGGCTGAGTCTGGCTGCATGCCCGCCTCTTAAATCACTCAGAATCTATTCAGTAATGAGATCCTGTGGCAGCTCCATGAGGCGGGCACTGTCATTCTCCCTTTTGTGCAGAGGAGGAAACAGAGGCACAGGGCGCTTAAGTCTCCTGCCCCAGGTCTTATTCCTAAGAAATATCTGGGGCTGGGTGGACGTCCAAGCAGCCTCACCTCAAGTCTCTGCTCTCAGCCTCAGTGCTGGGAAGATGCCGCCCTGACCATGTCACGAAATTGTCTGAGGCCCATTGCTCTAGCCTAGGAAACAAGGCCCGGCTGCACATCTCCTCTGGAATCCACCCCCAGACTCTGGCTCCTGCAGAAGCCCTGGAGATCCTCATCCTCCCTCCTCACAGGAAAGTCCTCCCTCATCCTGCCCCCAACACACGGCAGCTGCGTCCTCCCCAGCTTCGCTTTCTATCTTTGCCATATCGGCCTTTTATTATCCAGCAAAACAGCTACATCTGTTTTCCTCTGGGTCTTCCTCTGTTCTCCACTGTTCTGTTCCCTCTTCCTGAAGCTGTTCGTGCTTCTGTTCTCCCACTTGAGAACGGCAGCTCCAGCGTTGCTCTGACCCGGGCTGAGGCTACATCCCAGGGACATTTGCAGCCCTTCTCCTGGCTCTGTGTGCTCTTCTAGGCTGATCCTCACCTGAGCGTCTTTCCTGACCCAACCCTCTGGGTCTCCAGACTTTACACAGCCTGTGTCACTGGCATTAGTCAGTCAGGTTCATCCCTCCTACCGACAGGGCTGAGTCTCCAACCAGTAATTGGGCTGCGTCTCCCGAGGTTGGTCAAGTGGCTTCTCCAAAATCACCCTGCAGGGTCCCAGCCTCAGCTATCTCCTGGACTGGGTCACCTGTACCCAAGGCTTCCAGCATCAGCCAGACTCAGGCCTCTGATATTCCTCAGCTCGCCCTGGTCATTAACCAGACTTTCTCTCTACTCATGAGCCAGCCTCAGGCATCTAAATGTGAGTCCTCTCCACTTCTGTGCTCACAGAAGTTGAAACGGGGCGTTGCGGGGAACCAATCTCTTGTTTTTGATGAGATATTTTCCCTGTGAAATGGCCTGCACATTGCCTTCCATTTCCAGGAGCAACGGTCCATCTGCCTGTCAGATAAAAGACTCAGACGCAGTCCCGGATGCAACCATGACTCTCAGCACCAAGGCGTCCCCCCTTCAGCGTTCAGAATGTGAGTCCATGCTTTTCAGACACTGACATCTGAGTCTGTCCATCAGCAGCAAAGCAGCCTCCTTAAGTAGCTCCCACAGGACCCGGACACACACACACACACACACACACAGACACACACACACACACACGTGTCCAACCCCATGGCAGTGATTTAGAAGCCAAACCCCAGGTACCTCTCAGTCAGATATTTCAGGAGTGCTGTCAACCCAGTAATCACCCTAGATTCAAACTGAGGAGAGAAACTGCAGCTTCCAACCTCTTTAAAATTGCCAGAGGATGTCAAAGGCACAGAGTGGGGTGGGCGGTCTCAGTTCTCAGTTACCGACGCTGTGAGTGACCCGTGTCCCTCATGGGAGCCGAGCCTGGGACTGCTGTGCATGCAGGGTGGGAAATCCAGACTGATGGCCTGAGTCCTCCAGCAGCGCGTGGGGTGCAGAGCCCCAGGGGACAAGGGCAGGGCTTCGGGATTATTGATCTTTGAGGACAGATCCAAGGCTGGGTCACCCTCTCAGGGGGTGGCTGTCCTGGGTTTACCTGCAGTGCCTGGGGGTCTGAAAGCCCTAAAACAAGTCCCCTCTACCTCTTAGATCTGGGCTCAGGGCACCTTTCAGTACTGGGGCTGTTGCTGCCATGGGCATCTGGGCTCCTGGGTTAAAAACGGAATGGGCAGTTTTTCAAATTTTGATAAGTGCTGTCGGTTTGATGACATATCACAGTGGCCACAGGTAATGGAATCCACATAGGGGCTTCACTTCTCATCATTCCAGCACCCCCCACCGTGTGTGGAAATGCACCTTCTCTTCTCCTGGGAGATGTTCCTCCCATCCAACCGTCTGGTTCCAGGAAGATACTGTGCTCATACATGACTCCGCCCCCATAGCCACCACTGATTGGTCTATGGGTGGTCACCTCACCCCATATTGGCCTTCCTGGGATTTTTCAAACTGGAACTGACATGAAGCCAAGAGGAGGAAGAGACTGCATGTTTTCTGGCATATGGGGAAAGCTGATCTACCATGACAAAGAGTTAAGACAATCTCATTAGAAGACAGAGGAGGTGGGGCTGGACCATCCAGGGCTGGCTGCTCTGATGCTCACCTGCACATCTGACCTGCTCTTTGGCTGCACAACCTGAGTCCAAGAGCAGACCCACAGGGCTCCCTGCAGAGAGTTCAATGCAGAGGCTATTTACAGAGGTCTAGGTAGGGGTGGGGAACCTGTACCCCATGAACTGGAACAGCAGGGAAGCTGTTATCCACTGTAAGCCCCAGGGCACAGGTGTGGGGCTTTGTTGCTGGAATGCAGGGAGGGTTGTAATTCTGGGAGAGGAGTTATCTGGCAGGATCGGAGATCTTATTTGAAGGAAAACCTCCACTGCCAAATGTCAGTCAAGCAGGCTCCAACTTCTGTCTCCTCCCACCCTCAGGCTTCTCCTGTTGACTCTCATCAGCCAAATCCAACAGAATCCAGAGGGCAGGGAGCCCCACTGTTGCCATTTATAGAGGTCAGCCTGCTGGTCACAGTGAGGTCAGAGAAGTTCACAAAGTGATGCAGAGGGGCAGTCAGAGAATAACTTGTGCAAAACGACCCTTCTTTGATTCCTTGAGTCAGTAAATGTTCCCATTGGTCTTAGCATTTCTGAGTTGCATTTCTCTTATTTGACTCCAAAAATCCTGTTCCTGTGACCAACTCCCCCAAAGAGACTAAGTTTCTTAAGCCATTTACTAAATCAAGTATATGGGCTGGTGAAGCTCAGTAATGTTTGTTGGATGGCTGGATGAGGAGGCAAGAAAGCACTGCAGAGGCCCCACCACTGCTAGATAGATGCTGCACTGGGTCATCAAAATGCTACCCAACCTTAGGCGGCATCTTTGTCAAAGCATCTTACGATCTTGCCCAAGATTACTTTTGATGGAGCATAGAGGCTCTTGGCAGCAGAATGTCTCTTTTCATGGTCTTTTATAAAACCAGCTGCCCAGCAGTGCCTGAGACTGAGCAGACATTTGATTCATGTTTGAATGAAGGGGTGGATGAGTGGATGATAGATGATGGATGGGTGGAGAGATGAAGAAGTAAATGGGTAGATGGATGGATGGATAAACCAGTAAATGGGTAAATGGGTGGATGGATGAATAAGCAAATGAGTAGATAGGCAGATGGGTGGTGGATAAGTCATAAATGGATGGATGGGTGAATGAGTAGACGTGTGGATAGATGGTTGGATGATGAATGGATGAGTGTGTGGATAGGTGAATGAATAAGTAAATGGGTAGATGGGTGAATGGATGGATGGATGATGGATGGATAGTGAATGGATGGATGGATAAGTGAATGGCTATATAGGTAGTTGGGTGGATGGATGGATAAGTGAATGGATGGGTGAATAGGCAAATGGGTATATGGGTATATGAGTAGATGGGTGGATAGATGGATGATGGATGGGTGGATGGATGGATGGATATGTGAATGTGTATAGGGGTTGACGGATGGAGGAATAGATGAATGATGGATGGATAAATGTGTGGATGGGTGGATAAGTGGGTGGATGATGAATAGATGCTAGTGACTGTTTCCACACCATCAGGAAGCCACGTGCCCCCTAAGAGAATTAGCACTGGGGCTGAGACTTCAGAAAGGCAGTGTCCCAACTCATCCCTGTAACCCTTACAGCTCCACTCCCACACTCCAGCAACTTCCCCCTGGGAGGACCTTGACCATGAGGAGTCCTTATTTCATGATCTCACCAGGATGAGCAGCTGACCATCCCTGGAGGGCTTCATGTTGAGTAATTGCATTTATAGTTCCAAAACATCCTCTTGAACTGAGCTTCACCAAGGGCTGTTTCTAATTCCAGTTCATATTTTATTGCATAAGTTTAACAAGTGCTGGTCTCTCCCAGCTCTAGTATGGAAGTCTGTGGATCTCAGAGCAGCTCAATGGGCAATTAAAATCCAGGAAGATGTGAGGCATCAAGTGTGTGCTGAGGTGGGGAATGAATGGACCCAGGAGCAGGAAGGTGAAGGGTCCTTCACAGTGGACCTGAACCAAGGTGCCTATTCAAGCTCAGATTCTCACTCACTGTAGGGGCTTTTAGAGCAGGCATTTAACAATCACCTTTTTACCTTTTAAGAACAGACTAGAGTATTTGCTTTCCCTTCTCCCTCTGGGACACAAGAACTTGAGTCTCTCAACGTTAATCAGGCTGAGCCACCTGGTGTGAAGAGTTATTCCTCTTCACGGACCACACTGATTCTCCAACCATTAACCAGGCTGACTCCAGACTACCCAGGCTGAAGCTCCTGGAAATATCCAGGGAAGTCCCCGGATGTTAATTATCTCTGTTGCCCAGTCATTTGCAAGACTGAGTCTCCAACCATGAGCCCATGCCAGGCCCCACACTTCTTAGAATCATTCCCCAGGAGGTGGGCCAGGAACTGTGGCATCAACCAGGCCCACATGCTGGACGCTGCCTTGCTTGACTTCCCGTCATTCACCATGGTGGATCTCTAGATATGAGGCCACCCCAGGCTCTGCACGTGGGTCAGCTGATGGGACAGCATTTCAGTCCTAGTCCTTTGAGGATGAACCAGCCTGGATGAACCAGGCCATGAGGCTCCTGAAGCCACAGGGCTTGGTGCCTGAGCCTCTGGAGAAGTGCTGCTGCAAGTTGGAGAGGAGACAGTGGAGGCAGCTTCCAGAGGAAAGCTGGAGAGATGCCAGGAGTGCACGGCACGGCAGGCAGCCCTGGTTCTCAGGGGAGGGTTGCAACTCTGTCCAGAAGGGATTATTAACCATTCTCAGGTGGCATCTCAGCCCATCAGGGTGTCTGGGCATCCTGGCGCAGTCCTCCCAGCAGTTCCTCTAAGAGACTGGTCATGTTCTCTGTGGAAACCTCCCAGCCTCAGACAGCCCGGGATTCAGTCCCACAGTCCCGTGCAGGGTTGGCAGTGCTGCCCAGGCTCCGGTTCCCTCTTACCTGAGATCTCTGTGTGAGGACAGACAGTTCTTCTGCAGAGGAGTAAGGATGGCTCAGCCCTTGCACGTGTCAGTGGGCACCTGCCTGGCACACTCGGCCTTCTGTACATCAGGTGGGATGATCTGAGCTCATCAGAGAACCCAAAGCTGAACCGTGCTCAGGACTGACGTGAGAGCTGCACACACTGGCATCTCACTGTAAGGACACGAAGCCAACGAGGCCATGCCCCCAGAGTCTCAAATCTCGGACCGTGTCCCCACCACACGTTCCTCTGACTGAGAGTTGGCCCAGGCTCGAGTGGTGGGTAAAACACAGGGAGAGAGAAGCAGGGCCAGGTGACCCTGGAATGTGTCTGTCAGGATCTCTCCAGGGCCAAGAGAGGGAAAACCCATTGAACCTGGATTAGAGCCCAGTGCCTGTAAGTGTTTATTTCATTTCTGTCCCTGTAGTAGTTTATCTAAGTTGGGTCCTCCCGCAGATGGCCGCCCAATCTCTAGCCCACACTCCCACCCACATGACTCTGGTGAGGCAGAATACAAATCAGCTTTATCACTCCCAGATAGACAGCAGGGGACTGCAGAATCCTTGGATCCATGGCACATCAGTCTCACGAGCTCAGGCGAGCTGAGCTGCCCAGGGTTCAGGGAGTCTCACCTGTGTGTCTCCCTTGTGTGGCACTGCAGCTGAGAACTTGGAAAAGCGCCTGCCCTGGGTCTACCCTGGGGACACATGATTGATGGGCTGACTTGAGGTAGGACATCCTGTTCTAGGAGGGGCAGGAACGGAGGCTGGGTTGCTCTAGTCCCTCCTTATCTGGGGATGCTGCATTCTCAGCAGATTCTTCAGTTGTTTGAAAACCACAACTGAGAAGGGGAAGGCTGGGTCAGCCACACACATGTGGGGACCATCCTATACCAGCGAGGATCTAGGATCAGTTCCCTCCTTTCCCTTCCCTGCCTGTTGTCCTTTGAGGGGAAACACAGCACTCTGTTGGATTGTACAATGAGGCACAGCCCTTCTGAGGTATAGACAGAGACCACCCACTGTCGGATGACAGGGCTTCCCGGTTCCTTTCTCCTGGTTTCCCTAAATCAGTGATTCCGAAGCTCTGCCACAAATTGGGGTCACTCAGCAGCTCTAACTGCTCCCCTACCGCATGCCAACTAGCTCTCAGAAATTTTGGGGGTGCAAAGCAGGCATCAGAACCTTTTAAAGTCCTCAGAGGGCTGCACTGTGCAGCAGGTGTGAGAACTGATTTATCAAAGTAGCAATTCTCAAGCTTGATGAGCACAGGGACTCCTGGGGGTCTTGTTAAAATGTTTTTTTCTGATTGGATAGGTGAGGGGGAGGGCCCAAGAATTCAAATCTTTAATGAGTTCCAGGTGGTGCTGATGCTGCAGGTGGAGACAGGGGGCCCCAGAGTGTCCTGAAGCCCATTCTTGATGCACCATTTATTTTGGAAGGATTTTGGAGGGAGCACTTGGAATTTAAACCACCTTAGTTTAAACAGCAGCAACAAACCACCCTCAAAATCACACTACTGATGGGTAAATGCTGCTCCTGCTTTTCAGGGGATGAGCGAAGGTGAAGCCACCTGTGGTCTCAAAGCACAGACACACGATGAACAAGAGGCACGTGGCAGAGAAATTCCTGCATCTTAGTGCATCTCAGCGCTCCCAGGTGGAAAACTCAGCCAAAAGATCAGGCAACCTTACGCTTATTCTACCCTCAGAGTCTCTGGGTGATCTCAGGGAAGAATCCTTGCTAGGAGCCCATGAGGAATGGGGAGCAGACCTTAATATTCGTAAAACCCAGGCTCTTTTCTGGAGAGAAAACAAGACCCAGGGCTTCTCAGAGCTGCTCCTTATTGGGCGGTTCTTGTTCCTGAAAAAGGATCCTGCAGACACTGCACAGCTCTGAGCACCTCTGAGAAGTTTGCAGCAGTCAGCAGTAGTTTGGTATGGCGCATGACTCAGACCTAAAAGCCATCCATAGTGAGTGTCCAGAACTAACAAATGGAAAGAAACCAGTGGCTGGGGCAGTGCAGGTGGTGACCTGGGGAGGTAGGTAGGGTCGGCTCATGGGGAGAGGGCTCCTCAGCCTTGATAGAAATTTTATTCCAGGGACTGTGGAAGAATCAGAAGTGTCCCACTGTGGGAGGGACACCATCTGGCTACATCTGGGGAAGTTTTGTCTGGAGGATGGTAAGATGGGGAGTAGGGGAGCAGAAGAGAGAGACGGATTACTTCATCTCAGTGGGAGAAGCAGGGTGACTTGGGCATCTCCATACCCACTTCCCCATTTATGTTTCTCCACAATACGTCACCTGACATGGTACGTATTTTACCAACGTATTAATTTATTGCCTGTTTCTCCCCATTAAAATGCAGTGCTCCGGAGGGGCCATGTTGCTTTGTTCACTTTTGTCCATGGTACCTGCAACAGTCACTGGCACACAACAGACACTCGTCAAACATTCGCTGAATAAATGGATAAATTAATGAATGGATGATAGATGGATGGATGGGTGAGTGGATGGCTGGATTGGTATGTGGGTGGATGGGTGGGCAGGGTGGGTGGATAGATGTATGGATGATGGATGAATGGGTGGATGGATGGATGGATGATGGATGAATGGGTGAATGGGTGGATGGATGGGTGGATGGATGATGGATGGATGATGGATGGATGGGTGGAAGGGTGGATGGATAGATGGGTGGATGGGTGGATGGGTGGATAATGGATGGATGGATGATGGATGGGTGGGTGGGTGGGTGGATGGATGGGTAGATGGGGGGATGGATGGGTAGATGGGTGGATGGATGGATGATGGATGGATGGGTGGATGGGTAGATGGTGGGTAGATGGGTGGATGGATGGATGGATGATGGATGGATGGATGATGGATGGATGGGTGAATGGATGGATGGGTGGGTGGATGGATGATGGATGGATGGGTAGATGGGTGGATGGATGGGTAGATGGGTGGATGGATGGATGATGGATGGATGGGTGGATGGGTAGATGGGTAGTTGGGTGGATGGATGGATGATGGATGGATGGATGATGGATGGATGGATGGGTGAATGGATGGATGGGTGGATGGATGGATGATGGATGGATGGGTAGATGGGTGGATGGATGGATGAATGATGGATGGGTGGGTGGATGGATGGATGGATGACGGATAGGTAGGGGGGTTGATGGATGGATGGATGACGGATGGGTGGGGAGGTTGATGGATGGATGGATGAGGGATGGGTGAGGGGTGGATGGATGGATGAGCAGCTGGATGATGTATGGATGGATGCATGGGTGGATGGATGGATGATGGATGGATGGGTGGGTGGGTGAATGAATGGATGGATGATAAATGGGTGGGTACGTGGGTGGGTGGATGGATGATGGGTGGATGGATGGATGGATGGATGATGGATGGATGGATGGGTAGATGGGTGGATGGATGGATGAATGATGTATGGGTGGGTGGATGGATGGATGGATGGATGATGGATGGGTGAGGGGGTTGATAGATAAATGGGTGATGGATGGGTTGGGGGGGGTGGATGACCTAATGAGTGACAGACCAATTACTGGACCTTCTGGACAGAGGCAGTCGGGAAATTTATGACTTGGCCTTTCATTCTTGATTTTCTCCTTCTGGATATTTCTTGCTTCTAAACCCCTGCTCAGGGGTCTCCAGGCTCAGAAAGTCCCTCACTTTGTCCCCACTATTGCCACCTGCCCTGGCAGAAGGTCCTTCACAAGGTCCTCTTGCCTAGGCTCTTAGAATGGAGGGGAACTTGGGCTCCATTCACACTTCTCTTTGTGCAGATGGAGAAACTGAGGCACATGGGGGTGATAACTTTCTCAAGGCCTCTTGGCTGAGTGCTGGTGACCAGCAGAACAGACTGTCAGCCAACTCCTGCCTAGTAGTGTCCTGTCCCCTTCATCACATGCCCCACCTGTGTCCTGGCTGGGGCTTTGCATCTGCCTCTGACCAGTGGAGCTTCTCCCGTGTCACACGGCTGCCTCTCAGTTATCCCTCTGTCTTCTTCAGAAAGCTATGTCCTGTCTGCATCTCATCGGTCCTGCATCCCCAAGGATGATGAGCACAGTCTCCAGGAGGATTCATGGCCTGGCGTGGCCTCCCTGGTAGGGGTCTGATGATGGCTGAGCGGCTGTGATGGGGCTGGGAGGGGCAGGAGGGATGGCTTCTGGGCGCCCGGATCCAGCTCTGATCCAGGAGCCCAGAGACTCAGGTGTCTGCACCAAGGCAGGGACAGGCACAGGGGCATGTCCCAGGGAACCCAGGTGTGGTGACCATCAGGGAACACACCCACCCTGAGGGCACAACCCGCCACTGGAAACAGCTGTTTTCCTGTGGGCACCAGCCCTCCCTCCATAGAATCACTGATGGGTAATTTCCTAATGTCCATTATATTTACTTCTGTTCCCTGTTTCCCTTGATAGTTTCTGCTACACTGCATGACCCCTGACACAGAGATTTGGGCTCTTCAATTCCCCGTGGGAGTCCCAGTCCCTGGAACCTGGCTGGCACTCAGCGAGCACTCATTGATGAAGGAATGAGTGAGAAGTGAGTGAGTGAGTTGGGGGGTGGGGCTTTGAGGTCAGGGACATTCTCCCTGGCTGGGTGTCTGTGACCTCATGTCAGCCCCTCTGCTGTGGTCAGTCCAGTGTGCTGCTGTCCTGGGAGGCTCCACCACTCTGTCCACCAAGGCCTGGCCACTGACACACTCTCCAGCAGACCTTGGTCTTCCCACGCCCTGTGGACTCTGCAGCTCCTCTGTGGCTGTGTAAATGGGGCTGCCTCTAGATGGCTCTGGCCCGGGGCTTCCCCAATAGACCCTTGGCCTTCAGGACTCATGTGTCCAGCTCCAAACATGAGCTGTCATGGCAGACTGCCCAGTGGCTATCCTCTCCATTGCCCGTGCCACGGGGGGGCCTGGCCACGGGCTGCCTTCGGGATTCTGCACGTGGGATGTGCCACTGGCCTCGCCAGGCATCATCCCCAGACTCCTGGATGTGCACCCAGCCCCCCACACACCTCCAGGCCTCCCAGACATGGCTTTCAGTGCTCTAGCTGCTCCCAGGAAGACACTCCTCCAGGCACCGAATCTCAACCAGGACGTCTCAGGCCCCCTCACGTGGCCGGGACACACACCCTGACTTTACTGTGGTTGCTCTGCTATCTGCTCCCGACACCCTGCAGCTCTGTGAGCCTTGCCCTATGAGTCTCCTTTGGCCATCAGGCCCATCTGACCCCCATCATGGACAGGACATTTGACTCTGAAGTAGCAGGGGTGGCGGCTCCCACAGCATCACCCCCTCACTGAGTCCCATCCCTGGTGGTGGAACGTTGGGCTGAGTCTTTTCCTGGAGTGCTGGGTGGTGATGATGGGCATCTTTCGGCCTCTCTGAGAACCAGTGTCATCGATGGCACCATTTAGACCTGATCCATGCCCCTGACCCCTGTGAATGATCCTGAACTCCAGGACACCCCCACGGAGTAAGCCCAGAATAGCACGCATGGTTAATGAGCCTGTGAATGAGAGTTTACCTTTGCAGGAAAGAAATGGCAAATCAACAGCAGAGATTAACAGGTCCATTAGGAAGACATGAAAAGAAGAAAATAAAGTCAACATTACCTTCCCTGCTAAATTTCCTGGAACACCCCTGGGTGTATGTCCCTGAGGGCGCCCAAATGAGGAGCAGAGGGCTCCTGCCAGATCCTCCACTGGCGTCAGCAGTGATGACTCAGCTGGGCAGGACTGGAGAGGCTCTCGCTCCAGCGACAGCATGGAATCCAGCAAGTGAAAGGGCAAATGTTCCTGGGTTTTGCGAAGCATTTGCTGCTTCCAGCTTCTCTTCTTAAACTACATTTGTCAGTGCCCTTTTTGTGGCAAGTGACAAACCCAACTGAAGCTGGCTTAGGTGAAAAAACAAATAAAACTCATGCGCCCTTTCGTGTAACGGGAGCCTCTGTCCAGACCTCAAGGGCAGTCGTTTCCATCCTCTCTCAGGCTCTCTCCAGCTTTAACTTGCTTTCATCTGTTGCCTTTACTTGCAGGGTTTTCTCTGTGTGATGCTCTCAGCCATCCCAGGCTGACACCGCACCAGCCTCCCAACTGCAGTGGAGAGAGAGCTCCCTGCTTCTGCCAGTTCCCACAAAGTTCTGGAATTCAGCCTCCTGGCCTGGCAGGGAACGTGAGACCATCTCTAACCCATCACTGAGTCCAGGGCCAAGGCTGCTGCTGACCAGGCCTGGGCTACAGGAGCTGGGATGGAGGATGGATCAGCCTCCTTCAAATCACAGGTGACGGAGGCAAGGTGGGGGAAGGGAAAGGTAAGAACTGTCTCAAAGGGATGGAGAACAGACGTTTGGCAGGATCAAACCAAGTGTCCACAAACGAAGTTAATTCCTGTGCACTGCGGGGCGAGATCCTCAAGTTAGGAGGAAAGAGGACACGGGTCATTCCAGCCGGAATTAACTTCGGGCCTTTCTCCTGCAAGGAGGCCAGACTTCTCTCCTTTGTCCCCATATTGGAATCCCCCGGAGCATGTCCACTGGAACAGGGGAGCTGATACATTCAGACCACAGTGAGAGGAACTGAGTCTGGACTCATGGCTGTTTGGTCAGGGTGGGCGACAGACCCTGACAGCAGACCCCACTCCTGCAGGGACTTCAACCAGTATGAGTCGAAAGTTCATTCGGGACATTCCAAAGTGGGGCACAGGATCACCCCTCCCCCCACGGTCAATCAGGGCCCGGGCTCCTGCGTCGACTCCCTCCACTGTCCTCTGAGCCCCTGGGGTCCTCTCTGTCTAACTGGCTCATAAGGAAGAGAAAATGCGAGAATTGCAGGGCCTTCTCCATAGGCCTGCCTGGAAGTGCTGCCCTCTGGGCAGAGCTTGGTCGTCTGACCCCACCTGACACAGGGAGGCTGGGAATGGGCTCTAAGTGTACCCAGGAGGGAGGTGGCATGGGCCCTGTGGCACTGCAGGCTCTGTCCCCGTGAGGACCTCTCTCTGCAGGCACCCACTGTTTACCTGGGGACACAGCACTGGGCAAAGGACAAAGCTGTCCTGGAATAATTCCAAGCATTCCCCAATGAGGCCTGTGAGGGGCAGAAGAGGATGAAGGGGGCGGGGTGTGGGCTGGTGCATGCTGGTGTCTTCCTCTCTACAATGGCAGCCCTATCCATGATCTGAGTGTCAGAGCACCCATCCCCCAGGACTCAGCCAGGCTGTCATAGGGGATGATGACAGTCAGAGCTCAAAGAACTCACCCTGAGGATCTGAGATTAGGTTGGCTCAGTGCCAGGGACATCTCATTAAGACAGTCACACACCTCCTCATGAGAGCACAGCCTCCTGGGATGGCACAGTTCATGTGCAAAGCTCAGCAGCATCATCAGATGAAGGCAGGGCCCTGAGGAGTCTGGGCACCCCACCAGCTGCATTTCTGATCATTGGTTTTCCTGCAGGCAGTCCCGGAGCTGGAGCCAGGGCAATGAGATGTTTAATTGCAGCCTTGCCCCTGACAACAAAGCTGCCCACTCCCTGCCTGGTGGTCCTGCCTGCAGAGATGTGGCCCACTCAGGCCTCCAAGATGTCTAGGATAACTTCATAAGGGCTCAGCTGCCTCTACTTATAAATTCACCCCAAAGTCTCCTGATGACCTGGGAAGGGACCAGAGCTCCCATGGTGCTGTTGACTTGTATAGAGACAGAACTTCTCACAGAAGCACAACCTGGATCTAATTCCCAACGCTGGGCCCCACCCTGGCTGCTGCAATCCACTCAAATGAACACACGTCCCTTGATTTGCACAGTGGTGTCCTAGGCCAGGTCAAGACATTCTAGCTCCTGGAAATGCAGTGTGTTAGGAGGGCCTTTCCCAAACATGATTACCTCAGAGAGGGCTCTTGCCGTCTTGCTCGTGATGTGTTTATAATTGCTGGGAGCAGATTCCTCCCATTGTCCCCAGGACACAGCAGAGGCCCCAACCTGCCCCATAGCCCAGAATCAGCACCACACACTCAGGCATCATGGAGTGACTGAGGTGATTCCCTGCAGGGGCTCCGGGGGCTTCCACCCACTCACAATAAACCCACACCATGTCCCATGGACTGTGAGGCCCCCATGGCCCAGGCTCCATCTCCCCCTCTGTTTATTTTGCTTCAGCCTCTTTGGCCTTCTTGCTGTTCCTTGAATGCTCCAAGCTCACTCCACCCCAGGGCCTTTGCACTTGCTGTGACACTTGGCTGAACACTTCTCACAACCTCATCCTTCCTATCTCCAACCAGTGTTTACTCAGAGAGGCCTTCCTTGACCTCTCATTGAATGCAGCCTCCTCACCCCAAGGCATACTCACATCACCCTCTTAATGGTCTTCATGACACTTGTTACTGTCACTGAAAGCATTTACCTATTAGCTCAGGGCATTGTTTCTGAGTCCACTGATTCTGGGATGAGGTGCCTGCTCTGAATCCCAGCACTGCCACATCCTGTGTGCCCTTAGGGAGGTGACTTGACTTCTCTGTGCCTCAGCTTCTCATTTATCAAATGGAGATCAGGAGCACTTACCTCAGGTGTTGTGGTGTCAATTGAGTGACCTGACATATGTGAGGTGTCTAGAATAGTGTCTGGTAAAAATAACCCATGCAATGTTTATTTGGGTTGCTACTACAGTGCCTGCTTCCCTTGCTGATACTGTCATGATCATCATCATCAACATAATTATCACCACCATCAATATAATCATCACCACTATCATCACCATCATCATAATCATCACCATTACCTCCACATTACCATGATCATCATCACCACTATCATCACCATCACCATCATTATCACCATCACCATAATCATCACCATCATCACCTCCACATTACCATTATCATCATCACCATCATTACCAAAATCATCACCATCACCATCATTACCATTATCACCAACACCATCATCATCACCATCAAAATCACCATTATCACCATCAATATCACCATCACCAGTATCATCACCATCATTACCACCATCATCACCATCACCATCATCATCACCATCACCATTGATATGATTTGGCTCTGTGTCACCATTCAAATCTTATTTCAAACTGCAATCCCCATGTGTTGAGGGAGGAACCTGGTGGGAAGTGATTGGATCATGGCGGGGGTGTTTGTTTTCCCCATGCTGTTCTAGTGATAATGAGTGTGTTCTCATGAAAGCTGATGGTTTTAAAGTGTGGCATTTCCTCACTGTCTCTCACTTGCCAGCATGTAAGATGTGGTTTGCTTCCCCTTCACCTTCTGCCATGATTATAAGTTCTCTGAGACCTCCCCAGCCATATGGAACTGTGAGCCAATTAGATCTTTCTTTATAAATTACCCAGTCTCAGGTACTGTCTTTATAGCAGTGTGAAAACAGACTAATACACAGAATTGGTACCAAGGTAGTGGGACATTGCTAAAAGATATCTGAGAATGTGGAAGCAACTTTGGAACTGGATAACCGGCAGAGGTTGGAATAGCTTGGAGGGCTCAGAAGAAGATAGAAAGATGTGGAAAAGTTTAGAACTTCCTAGAGACTTGTTGAATGGTTTTGGCTAAAATGCTGATAGTGATATAGACAATGAAGTCCAGGCTGAAGTGATTTCAGATGGAGATGAGGAGCTTATTGGGAACTGGAGCAAAGGCCACTCTTGCTATGCTTTAGCAAAGAGACTGGAGGCATTTTTCCCCTGCCCTAGAGATCTGTGGAACTTTAAACTTGAGAGAGATGATTTAGGGAATCTAGCAGAAGAAATTTCTAAGCAGCAAAGCATTTAAGAAGTGACCTGATTTTTCCTGAAAGCATACAGTTATATGAGCTCACAGAGATGGTTTGAAATTGGAACGTATGTTTAAAAGAAAAGCAGAGCATAAAAGTTTGGAAAATTTACAGCCTGACCGTGTGATATAAAAGAAAAACCCATTTCTGGGGGAGAAATTCCAACTGGTTGCAGAAATTTGCATAAGTAAGGAGAAGCCGAATGTCTTAGAATCACTAAGGCAATGGGGAAAATGTCTCCAGAGAATGTCAGAGATCTTCAAGACAGCCCCTCCCATCATGGGCCCAGAGGCCTAGGAGGGTAAAATGTTTTTTTGGGCTGGGCCCAGGGCCCCATTGCCGTGTGCAGCCTCAGGACATGGTGTCCTCTGTCCCAGACACTCCAGCTCCAGCTGTGCCTAAAAGAGGCCAAGGTACAGCTCAGACTATTCCTTCAGAGAGTGCAAGCCCCAACCAAGCCTTGGCAATTTCCACATGATGTTGGGCCGATGGGTGCACAGAAGACAAGAGCTGAGCTTTGGGAACCTCCATCTAGATTTCAGAGTATGTATGGAAATGCCTGGATGTCCAGGCAGAAGTCTGCTGCATGGGTGGAGCCCTCATAGAGAATCTCTGCTATGGCAGTGCAGAAGGGAAATGTGGAGTTGGAGCCGCCACACAGAGTCCCCACTGGGGCATTGCCTAGTGGAGCTGTGAGAAGAGGGTTACCATCCTCCAGATCCCAGAATGGTAGATCCACTGACAGCTTGCACTGTGCACTTGGAAAAGCCACAGGCACTCAATGCCAGCTTGTGAAAGCAGCTGTGGGGGCTTTACCCTGCAGAGCCACAGGGACAGAGCTGCCCAAGGCTGTGGGAGCCCACCACTTGCATCAGTGTGCCCTGGATGTGAGACATGGAGCCAAAGGAGATTTTGGAGCTTCAAGATTTCAGGCAGGCTTCCAACTTGCATGGGCCTGTGGCCCCTTTGTTTTGGCCAATTTCTCCCATATGGAATGGGAACATTTACCCTATGCCTGTACCTGCATTGTATCTTGGAAGTAACTAACTTGCTTTTGATTTTACAGGCTCATAGGTGAAAGGGACTTGCCTTGTCTCAGATGAGACTTTGGACTTGGACTTTTGAGTTAATGCTGCAATGAGTTAAGATTTTGGGGAACTGCTGAGAAGGCGTAATTGGTTTTGAAATGTGAAAGGAGGTTGGGCGTGGTGGCTCATGCCTGTAATCCCAGCACTTTCAGAGACTGAGGCAGGTGGGTCATTTGAAGTCAGGAGTTTGAGATCAGCCTGGCCAACATGGTGAAACCCTGTCTCTACTAAAAATACAAAAATTAGCTGGGCATGGTGGTGGGCACATGTAATCCCAGATACTTGGGAGGCTGAGGCAAGAGAATTGCTTGAGCCTGGGAGGCGGAGGTTGCAGTGAGCAGAGATCATGGCATTGTGCTCCAGCCTGGGTGACAGAGTGAGACTCTGTCTCAAATTTTAAAAAATGATAGGGTTTGGCTGTGTCCCCACCCAAATCTCATCTCAAATTGTAATCCCCATGTATCGAAGGAGGTACCTGGTGGGAGGTGATTGGATCATGGGGATGGTTTCCCCCACGCTGTTCTTGTGATAGTGAGTGAGTTCTCACAGGAGCTGATGGTTTTAAAGTGTGGCACTTCCTCACTGTCTCTTGCCTGATGCCATGTAGGACATGCCTTGCTTCCCCTTTACCTTCTGCCATGATTGTAAATTTCCTGAGGCCTCCCAAGTCATGCAGAACTGTGAGTCAAACCACCTGTCTTTATAAATTACCCAATCTGAGGCAGTATCTTTATAGCAGTGTGAAAACAGGCTAACAAAATCATCACCATCATCCCATCACCATTACCATCATCAGCATCATTATCACCACCAACATCATTATCATCACCATCATCCCATCATCATCATCACCATTATCATTATAACCATCACCATCACCAACATCCTCCCGTCATCACATTACCATCATCATCACCATCATTGCCACCATCATCCCATCACCATGAGCATAATCATCACCACCACCACCATCATCACCATCATTCCATCATCATCATAATCCCATCATCATCCTATTATCATCACCACCACCACCATTGCCACCATCATCACCATGATCATGATCATACCATCATTGTCATCATCATCACCACCACCACCATCATTATCATCAACATCATCACCATCACCATTATCATCACCACCACCACCATCATCACCATCACCATCATCACATCACCATCATTATCACCATCACCATCATCATCATCATCACCATCATCACATCACCATCATCATCACCATCATCATCATCACCATCATCATCATCATCACCATCATCATCATCATCACATCACAATCATCATCATGATCACCATCATCACCATCATCATCATGATCAGCATCATATCACCATCACCATCACCATCATCATCACCATCACCATCATCACATCACCATCATCACCATCACCATCACCATCATCATCACCATCATCATCATCACCATCATCACCATCACCATCACCATCATCACCATCACCATCATCATCACCATCATCATCTTCACCATCATCACCATCACCATCATCACCATCACCATCACCATCATCATCACCATCATCACCATCATCATCACCATCATCATCACCATCATCATCATCACCATCATCACATCACCATCACCATCATCATCATCATCATCATCACATCACCATCATCATCACCATCATCGCCGTCATCATCACCATCATCACATTATCATCACGATCACCATCACCATCGTGATCACCATCATCACCGTCATCATCACCATCATCACATCATCATCACAATCACCATCATCATCATCATCACCATCATCACATCACCATCACCATCACCATCATCACCATCATCATCACCATCCCTCCATCACAGGACCATAAGCTCAGTGTGACCTGTGAGCTGTTAGTTGACTCTTCTCAGCATCTGGATCTGTGTCTGGCACATAGGATACAGGTAGGGTATTTATTGAATGAACATGGGAGTTATAAAATGAGTACCTGGGCAAATATCCAGGTTGCGGTGGAATTCTGCTGCAGTGCCAGCATTACAGGGAATAGACAACTAATTGCTGGAGCCTGACATTACAGGATCAAAAATAAAAACCACCCTTCTGCCCACTCTGGATGCTCTTCTTGCCTGGCCTTCACTCCCGGCACCCTCTGAGTCACGCGGGGCTCCCTGCAGCCTCATTGATTAAATGCCCAGACACATCTCCTGATGGATTTTGTATCAATACATCCTGCCCTGGAAGCAGGCTTGGGCAGGAAAGCTCACTAAATAAAGACATCCAGTGACGGGTTTGTGAGCCTGGGCGCAGGGAGGCAGCGGAGGGAGCTTCCAACTCATCAACCGAGGCCAGAGGAGGCCAAGCAGGAGGTGTGGGGGGCTGAAGCGTGCGCTGGTTCTGAGTTAGAGAAGCCTAGCTCAGAAAGCTGCCTGAAGGGTCTGCTGGGCACGAACGTGAGAGCTGATTCTGGTGAGGAGACCTGAGGCCTCTCAGAACTTCAAAGGAGGCTGGAAAGGTCAGTCAAGCACTGAGTTTCCATCCTGTCTGCCTGGAGAGGGCCAGGAAGAAGAGGTGGGGAGGACTTTGGGGTGGCTGTCCACAGTGCCTGGCAACCAGGACATCAGACAACATTGTTCATACAATTTAGTCCTCTGGGTTACAGTAGGAATTTGCTTATCTAATATCAGTAATATTTTACTAAACCAGATCAAGAAAAATGTCTATATCTCATTCATGCTTCCAATAAAAAATTATCACTAAAAAACGCTACTTATGCCTTTCTTTGATGTGTGTTTGTTAAATTGTTAATATCCTTGCACATCGTGCACCCTGGCAAATGATACAGATCTTTCCTCAGGATTCTCTTCTTTGGATTTTGAAAGTTCAGTGTGGGGGTTTCACGTATTCCCAGGGGCTGGTCTCCTCCGGCACTCAGTTCCCAATCTTTCATTCATTTCTTCAACTCACACGGCTGGCTTTCATTCTGCTCAGGGAACACCAGGAGTTGGGAGGGAGCTTTGCTCTTGATTTTCAAAAGGAAGGTGGGGAGAGAGGGAGACAGAGAGAGAGAAGGAGACAGAAAGGAAACTGGGTTTTCCTTGGGGGAACATAGGTACTGTGGGAAAAGTGCAGCTGAATATTCTGCTCTTGGCCTTGAGAGATTCATAATGCTGAACTGGGAGCTATAAGATTCGTGCCAGGCAGGTTCCCCATCTGCAAATCAGATGAATTGGCCAAGACGGACAGGGAACTGCAGGTTGCAGAGAAAGCCAGAGAGAAGGGACTTATACTGCGATCCTGAGCTGGGTGAAAAGGTGGGGTGATCTGATGAGACAGGGGCCGTGGCTCTTCCCAGGTGGAGCTCCATATCACACCCACACCAACCCTCCACATCACACCACACCCACCCTCCACATCACACCACACCCACCCTCCACATCACACCAACCCACCCTCCATATCACACCACACCCACCCTCCACATCACACCACACCCACCCTCCACATCACACCAACCCACCCTCCATATCACACCCACACCCACCCTCCACATCACACCCACCCACCCTCCACATCACACCAACCCACCCTCCACATCACAAAACACCCAACCTCCACATCACACCACACCCACCCTCCACATCAAACCCACCCACCCACCACATCACACCACACCCACCCTCCACATCACACCACACCCACCCTCCACATCACACCACACCCACCCTCCACATCACACCACACGCACCCTCCACATCACACCACACCCACCCTCCACATCACACCCACCCTCCATATCAAACGACACCCACCCTCCATATCACACCACACCCACCCTCCACATCACACCACACCCACCCTCCATATCACACCACACCCACCCTCCACATCACACCACACCCACCCTCCACATCACACCACACCCACCCTCCACATCACACCACACCCACCCTCCACATCACACCAACCCACCCTCCACATCACACCCACACCCACCCTCCACATCACACCCACACCCACCCTCCACATCACACCACACCCACCCTCCACATCACACCACACCCACCCTCCACATCGCACCACACCCACCCTCCATATGACACCACACCCACCCTCCACATCACACCACACCCACCCTCCACATCACACCACACCCACCCCCCATATCACACAAACCCACCCTCCACATCACACCACACCCACCCTCCACATCACACCACACCCACCCTCCATATCACACCCACACCCACCCTCCACATCACACCACACCCACCCTCCACATCACACCAACCCACCCTCCACATCACACCACACCCACCCTCCACATCACACCCACACCCACCCTCCACATCACACCACACCCACCCTCCACATCACACCACACCCACCCTCCACATCACACCAACCCACCCTCCACATCACACCACACCCACCCTCCACATCACACCACACCCACCCTCCATATCACACCCACACCCACCCTCCACATCACACCCACACCCACCCTGCACATCACACCACACCCACCCTCCACATCACACCCACACCCACCCTGCACATCACACCACACCCACCCTCCACATCACACCACACCCACCCTCCACATCACACCACACCCACCCTCCACATCACACCACACCCACCCTCCACATCACACCCACACCCACCCTCCACATCACACCCACACCCACCCTCCATATCACACCACGTCCACCCCCCATGCCCTGGCACCTGAGACAGCGGGTGGGCTGGGCAGTGTGACTCTGACTGATGGATGCTGCTGGTCGTTCTCCACGTGCTGCCTCTTAGTCCTGGTCTCTGACCTGGAGACAGAACATATAGGGGCTGCGGCCCAGAGATGCCTCTAATCGTTTCTGTTGAGTTTGGCCAAGGGAGGCCCTAGTTGGAGATTGGGAGAGGAGGAGGTGGAAGCTGGTGGCTGTCCCCAGCCCTTCCTGCTGTATCTGTGGTTCCAGCAGCATCCATCCCTTCATGGCCAGGACACCCCCTCCTTCCCTGTCCTGGAGCCTAAAGGAGGGGCGCCTCCTGCCCTTGCTAGTCCTGTGGATACCCACATCCTTTTAGGATCTCTGTTCCCTGGCCACTGTTCTGAGAGCAACCTCATTACACCATTCCTTGTGAAACACTTGGGCCATTTCTGCTTCCTGCAGGGTTCTGCCTGCTGCCTGGAGGAAACTGCACCGACGGAGACACGAGGAATTGACTGTTGAGGGATCCACCCCTGGGGAGAGGGAGACTCATGGCAGATCGCACTGACTCCCAGACCCAGGGAGCCTCCCTCTGCACACCTGGGCGTGTGGTCTGGGGTCACCCTTGCCCCTGGTTCCCAATGCCTCCTCTGCCCAATGCCATTCCCTCTTCTCCCCTAGAAATGGACTCAGAACTGCCTGAAACTGCAAACAGAGCTCCCAGAGCACCAGACAGGCACTCACAGTAGCAAGGGCACAGCTCAGGGAGCAATGCACCATTGTGGGGAAGACTCTGCAGGGACAGGGCAGACCCGAGTCCCGTTGGGTCCCAGCCCTGGCCGCCTGCCCTGCATTGGAGGTTCCCAAAGCGGCAAGACACGGACACCCCCGGGAATGTGGGAAAGGCAGCCTCCATCTCAGCGTCCGGCTCTGGACAGGGATGAACAAACATGTGCATCCAAAGCCCTCCCCTCCCCCGCCAAGCTGTTTCTAAGGCAGGTGGTCTGCAAGCCACCCCTGGGGAACATGTCCCCGGCCACACCAGGGCCACACCTCAATACCTCCTTCCTGGGACAGAGCTGGGAAGATCTCCAGGGCTGGTAGGGAAGAGCGTGGGCCCAGGAGCCGTTTGTCACCTGGGTCATTACGAGGAGGTGGCGGCATTCCTTGGTAATATATGGTGAATGCCCCAGGAATTTATAGGTGGCAAGGACAGCTATCAGCACAGGTAATTTTCCTCTTGCCATCATATTAACTGGGAGCGCTTAATATTAACTGGGGCCATTAAATGGCCATGTAAAAGTCACAGCCGTCGCTGGGAAGGACAGTGTCCTCACCCGCCCGTGTGCTCTGGAAGGCAAAGCAGAACATGATCTATGGTGGAAGGCAGGCTGAGCTCCCCACTGTTACTAAATTATCGGCTTGACGGTGAGCGCAAGCATTGAATTATTAAACACAGAAATGCTGGCCCCATTTAAGCAGACTTCCTGTAAACTCGGTGCCGGGGAAAAAGGTCACAGCAGAAACTTTGTGTATAGATGAAAAGAAACCTACACAGAGACCTGGCCCAGTGGTCAGATGCCGCAGCCGGAGGCATAGGGGGAGGGAGCCTGTCTGTCCCTGGTGCCGGGAAGGGCACGAGGTGGTGCAGAGCCAAGAATACCAGCTGCCCAGACTTCCCAGTGGAGCTTTTTCCCGGGTCAGCCTTTGTTCTTCCTATGAGGTTTGAAGACATTAAGGAGCAGCTGTCCAAAGCAGAAGGCAAAAACAGACGTTCATTCCAGAGCTGCCCATAGAAATCCTCTGTTTGCCCATTTCTGCCCTGAAGAAAGTGACCTCCAGCCTCCCACACCTGCGTGGACCTCTCCAGGGTCCTGAAAACATCCAGGGCTAGAGCTGCAGACAGCTCCCCATGCTCAGGGAATCCAGCTGTGTTACTAAGCTCCTAGGGTGTGTAAGGCCACCTGCAGACACCTGCAGATAAATGAGACAGAGCTGCCTCTGCTCTCAAGAGGGAGCTCATGAGTGAAGGAGGTAGAAACAGAATTACGAAAGTCCCGAGTAATCATCTCTGAATCCCATATAGAGGTTCACGATGCACACGTGTTTACACACCTGATGCAGGATTCATCCAAGGCAGGGACTTGAACCGGGCCCTGAAAGGTAGGCATGAGTCACAATCCAAGCAGGACATAGATGGCACACGAAGCCAGGAGGCCGAGGAGCATTAATAAGACGTTTGTCAAGGAGGGCACAGACAGGAGGCAGGGGTACAGGAGGAGGAGCTGGAAACAGCAGGCCTGCCCTGCAACCCCCAGGCCAGAGGGAATGACGGTGGAGTGTGTGGGTTGGAACCAGGAGGAGAAGGAAAGAGACAGACAGGGAAATAGAAGATCAAAGTCTGCAGCAGCCACCATGACCCCACTGGTAGCCAGGGACATAAATACTCCGACCTCATGCTTCCCCCTCCCTCTGATCTTACCAGGGCTCCCATGGACTAAACCCAACCAGAGGTCCAAGGGCAAAGGCACTGAAGAGATGGAACCTGCACAGGTGGGTGTCTCTGTGGAGAGAGGAGCCTTCGGGGCAAGCGGGAGAACCAGGCACAGAGGTGCAGAATTGCAGCCAGCAGAGGAGGGCGGGTCTTCCATGGGAAGCAGAGCCAGGGGAGGACACAGGGTGGCTGGGGAGTCAGGGTGCATGTGGGGTGGAGTGTGGGGGCAAGTGGAGCCCTGGGAGGTGGGACAAAGGAACCAGAGGGGGACACATTGTGAGGACCTGGACACCAGAATGTCCCTCAGGCCAAGCACGCACTGACCATCAGCGTCTCACTCTCTCTCTACCTGTGCCAACTCCAGGTGTTTCTACACCAACCTGGATGTCTTCCTAACCCCCAGGTGTGTCTACACTGACCTGAGTGTCTCCCTAACCCCTCAGGTGTGTCTACACTGGCCTGCATGTCTCCCTAGCCCCTCAGGTGGGTCTACACTGGCCTGTATGCCTCCCTAACCCCCCAGGTGTGTCTACACTGACCTGGTTGCCTCCCTAGTCCCCAGGTGTGTCTACACTGTCCTGTATGCCTTCCTCACCCCCATGTGTGTCTACACTGGCCTGTATGCCTCCCTAACCCCCCAGGTGTGTCTACACTGACCTGGATGTCTCTCTAGCCCCACTTAGGTCCTGGAGGGTTTCCAGGATCAGGGTCACCTCCAGCTCAGCCCGGGGCCTCAGGACACCAGTGTTATCTCTGCTTTGCTGTGGGGCCACCTCCAGCCCAGCCCGGGGACTCCAGGACACCAGTGTAGCCTCTGCTCTGCTGCGGGGTCACCTCCAGCTCAGCCTGGGGACTCAGGACACCAGTGTAGCCTCTGCTGTGCTGTGGGGTCAACTCCGGCTCAGCCCAGGACTCGGGACACCAGTCCTGAGTCACGCAGGGCTTGTTGCCTGTGCTCTGCTGCTGTAACTTCCAGCTTCAGCTGCAGGAGGAGGAGGAGTTGGGACATCAGGAAAAAGGAATTGAGCTCCTTTGTAGAAAAGCTCAGAGGTTTCCAGAACGCAAAGCAGGCCTCCTGCCTCAGAGCACACCCTGCAGTTGGAATAGCAAAGCACTGGCTTCCTGAACCCCAGCCCCAGTGGGCGCTCTGCCTTGGGGAGCAGCAGACTCCAGGCTTCAGGGTGAGAACTCTCTTCTCTGCTTGCATTATAAATGTGGATCTAACAATTACAGCTGATTAGCATGCAAAAGACAAACAACATTTGGCAGAGCCTCCTTTCACCTCTAATTGTTCCCATCTGAGCTGCCCAAATCGTTGCCTGGCACCTGATTTGAGTGGGCCCACGGGGTTTGCTCAGCCCTGAGGCTGCAGCAGGGAGGCAGGGGAGGCAGCAGCTGGAGCTGCTGGCACTCCCTGGGCACTTGCTCTGGCCAGAGGGGACTTCAGAGGCAGGAACAGCCTGGTGGTGAGGTGTCAGCTGGAGAAGAGATTCAGGGAAAGTTTGCCCTGGGCAGGGGGAGCGGAGGAGTGGGTAGTGTGGTCTGCAGGGCTGGGCTGACCTGTGGCAGGGGAAGGAAGGGGTTTCTCCCTGTCCCCTGGAGGGTGGTGAGCTCCCTGTCACTGGGAAGTTTCAACCAGAGGCGAGATGACTGATCCACGGCCAGGAAGCTCTGCCCTCCAGGAGAGGGTGGTCCCAACTGGAAATCCCCAAAGCTGCCTGATAGAAAACAGCATCCAGGTCCAGGACGCTGCAATGCTTCGCCTCCCAGGTCCCCCTGGTGAGTCTGAGTCTGCTGGGCCCGAGGACCCCCTTTTCTCTGCTGTCCCTCTCAGGCCTGAGGGCCCTGATTCTGGGCGTCTGTGAGCCCTAGGCCTGAGGCTGGCCCTGGATCCTCTCAGTGCAGGAAGGGGCTCTGGGAGGGCAGGGGTCTCGGAGCCTCAATTCTCCACCAGGGCCCCAGAACCCAGAACTGCTCCAGGCATGTGACGAGCTCTCACCTGGCCTTTGTGGAAACACTGAATATGAGGGAGAGGACACTGCCCCCCTTCTCCTCTCCCAATCCCAGGCTAGGAGACAAGGAGCCCCATCCTGGGGCCTGGGCCACGCAGCCTGAGAAAACGAGCACTGCACCGTGGCGGCACCGGGGAGGACACAGCGCTAAGACTCCCGTGGTCCCCCAGCCCACGGCGTCACGGGTCACGAGGGGTCTTCCCGCTAAGGACTAAGCTGGCCTATTCCCTCCCCTGCCTGAGCAGCTGGCGGAGAACGTGTTTCAAAGCCTAACTCAGTTTAGGAGCGGCCTCAGGTGTGTGCTAATGGGCGGACGTCAGGCCCACACTGCTGCTTCCCACTCAGGAGCCCCATGTCAACCGCTCTGCAGGTGCGCCTTCACTGGGCCAATAAGCATTCACATCCACCCAAACACGCGGGTCCTCCCGGCCTCTTAGAGCAGTGGGAGTGGGGGAGGGGAGCCAGCAGGAGCAGCTTCACACAGGACTTCCGCTGCGGGGGAGCCTCACAGGAGGGGGTCCCTCAGAGGCCACATCCCAGGGGGTAACAGGAAGACACGGGCGGGCGCTGCAGCCGGTGGGGTGTGGGCGACACCCCAAGGCCTCCAGAAACGCATGAGTTGGCGGGAGGTGGTGTCTGGGCTCTGTGGGCCTGGCCAGGCTTTCCCCTGCTGGGGGTCAGTTTCATCAGGGTGGGGAGCGGGCTCTGTCTGACATGAGGCTCAGGACTCTTCAGGCGCCTGATCCTGGAAACCCTCCAGGGGCACGTGAGCTTGATGCCCAGGAATGAGCTCTCCCGGGGGTGAAAGCCATTTCCCACCCACCCCCACCTCCCGCCCAGTGCTGCCCTTTAGGAGCCTCTGCCTAAGGTTGGGGGCTTGGGGGCTGCACTTCCAATTTGCAGACAAGAGCCCCCTCCAGGGCGGCTGCTCTGACCCCACGGGAACCCAGGATTCAGCTCAGAACACGTCTTCCTGGTACTTCAGTGAAACTCCCCCGTGCTCCAAGGGTGCAAACCCGCAGTCACCCCCACTCAAGCTCTGACCTCATAGGGTCTCCATGGACTCCTTCGGCTGGGGGAGGGGCAGCGTTCTGCGCGGTCAGGTGTGCTCATTTATGTCAGAGCTTTGCGGAATCATTTGAAAGTTGCTTAAGAATGTTATTTGCCTTGAGTTTACTGAACTTTCAACAGAATATTAAACCCATGTGTTTTACATAAAAATTTAAACTAAAAAAGGATTCTGGAACTGTAGAAATTAAGCATATTTCCTAACAAGTGAGGCAAGTTCATTTAAATAAGCTTGGAAACCAAGCTGGAGACATTTCCGCCTAAGGACAACAAATTCAGAGACCTATGGGTTATTTATTCCTTTAATTTCCCCTCAAATGCAGTCATAAATCCATATTATATGATTTTAATGAATATTTATTTCTCAAATGAAATATGTGGCTGTTAGGACTTTCCAATGAAAGGCAGGGGAGGAGGGAGGCTCAGCCTTTTGCAGGCTTTACCGGCCCCGACGACCTCAGATGCTCCCAGAGCCCCCAGTGCAGGAGGTCCTGACCTATCAGGGTCTGCAGGAGGGTCTGGAGAAAGGAGCAGCCACCCCTCACCCCACAAGGAGCAGAAGCAGGTGAGGGTGTTAAAGGTGCTCCCACCACCTGCCAGGGTGCGCCGCACTTCACAGTTTGCAGAGTGCCTGCCCTCCCCTCCCTCTCCATGCACACTCACACCTGTGGGTGTCGCAGGGGCCACACCATACCTGGACCCGTGAGTTCTGGCGTTCTCTTGAGTTCCAGGCACCCAGGCCCAGCTGCCGGCCTCTGCAGGTCTCTTGGGCTGGGCCAGGTGCTGCCCCCAGAGCAAGAGCTGCAGCCTGCCCACTCCCGCTCTCCAGAAGCTTCTACCTGCGCCACCCCCGGGCTCTCCAGGCAGCCCCAGCTGAGGTCTGTGCCTCTTCTTGCCCACGCAGGTGACTTTGCCAGCAAGATGCAGAGGCTCCTGGGAGGGCTGGGGTCTCTCTCAACCCAGGGTCCTCAAGCTCCCTCGGGGAGGGGGCGGGGGTTGGGAGGTGTGGACCGTGTGAAGCAGTGGCGGAGGCCCCCGCGGGCCTGCGGGAAGACAGGAGTCCCTATCCCCACCTGCCCCCATTGCGCCTGTGGGGCTGCGTCTGTGCTCCCACTTTGCTGCCTGGCTCGATGTGGATACGGTGCTTGTGGAGGACATCTGGCTGCTCCTGGGGACACCATCACCTGAGGTGGGCCCAGCCGCTGGGCTCAGTAGGGGCGTGGAGGGAGCAGTACCCACTCAGCAGCTGCTGCCAGGTGAGGTCAGCCAACAACAGACACCAGGGCACAGGGACGGCTGCTCTCCATGGCAGGTTGGGGCTCCGAGGCTGCGGGCTGTGGAGTGTGGTGTAAGAGATGCCCTGTACGGACTTAGCTCAGGACCTGCTTGTAAGTAAAGCTCAGACACCGTCAGTGCCCCTAGCAGGTGTGTGCAGGTCAAGGATAACCACGCTCTGGGTTAAAGGGACGTGGAGCTGGCGAGGGGGCTGACGCCTATAATCCCAGCACTGTGGGAGGCTGAGGCAAGTGGATCACTTGAGCCCAGTTTAAGACCAGCCTGGACAACATGACAAAACCCATCTCTACAAAAAATACAAAAATTAACCAGGAATGGTGGCGCATGCCTGTGGTCCCAGCTATTCGGGAGGCTGAGAGATAGGAGGATCACCTGGGCCGGTGGCCAAGATCATGCCACTGCACTCCAGACTGGGTGGACAGAGCGATACCCTGTCTCTAAAGAATAAAAATAAATAAATAATAAATAAAGGGCTCTGGAGAGGCCCCCCAGGAAGGGAGCGCACCCACTTGTCAAATGCAATTTCATGGAGCAGTTTGCTCAGAGGCCCATGGAGCCAGGTAGGGGAATGGGGAGGGAGTCGGTGGCAGGCTGCATGCAGGATGAGGGAGGGGTGCAGAGTTCACCCCATCTCCTCCCCACATCTCTCATCTCTGCCCTGCTCTGTCCTAATCTCTACAGCCGACCTCCACACCCAGCATCCCTGGGCTCCCACAGCCTCTGGCTTCTGTTGGGCTTGGACGAGGAGGGAAGAGGGAGAGTGGGGGCTTTGCTTCCAGGCTTCTCGCTGCTCAGGGCTGTGGCTCCATGGGTGGGGGGAGGACTGGCAGGGAAGGGGCTGCTTTAGACAGAGGATGGGGGCCTCCCCAGGAGGGGATGTTTGTCTGGGTACCCAGTGACGGGCAACAGGCATCCACGCAGAGATCCAGAAATGCCGCAGGCAGGGTTGAGCCTGGGTTTCTGGGGGCAATGGGTCGGGGGCAGGAGCATGGTGGGAGCAGGGAGGGGGGCCGCAGGATCGGCAGAAACAACGTGTGCAGTGGCCCTGTGGCCCCTTGGCCCTGGATAACTGAAATGTAATCTCACTCTCATACATCACAAAGGTTATTGTCGGGCCCTAATCACGAGAATACCCTGGGCAACCTCTGTTCAATTCCTGTTCCCGAGCCCCAGCCCGGCTGTCTGAGCAGCAGAGTGGAAGTGAGTCCCGGAGTCCTGTCATCCCTTAATTATTAGCAGCCCAGAGAGGAGGACCCCGCGTTCACCGCAGGGCCCCTCCCTGTATGCCAGTCCCTTCCAGGCGCAGAGGATGTCCAGGAGTCCCTGCTGAGCCGGTGAGCCCAGTCAGCCTCCCACAGAGAAAAGGAGGGTGGGGGTCTTTCCCTGCAGCATCCACAGTGGTATAGGAGAGGGCGGCAGGGCTGGCAGAAAAGCCGAATTCTCTCTGGAGAAGTGGCCACCCTGGGACACACGGACCAAGCCCTGGGATCTAGGGTTCCAGGTGGCTCCAGGCACTAGGGTGGCTTGGGGCGGCCCAGGGAGGTGAGCAGGGTGGTCCCAGTGCAGGCGGGGTCTTCTGGCTGGGCAGGCAGCCTCAGGGGACAGGAAGGGCCACTGCGTGCTGTGGTCAGGGCCACGGGCTGGACCCCAGCACTGCTCTTTTCTGGAGAGGGGTTCTTGGATTTGAGGGGTTCTGAGGCCAGACACTTGGGGGGTTGGACCTCCACTTGGGGGTGAAAGGCTGAGGTTCAGAGCTCCCTCCCACTCCTGGGATGGGAAAATGACAGGACCAGAGCCTGCCCCACCCCTGGGTGCAGTTGGGTCCCCGAACCTTCCCGAGTCCTGTCTGGTCAGCGGCCGCCAAGCCAATGACTAGGACTGAAGCTTTCACTTCCTGTATATTGGAAGCCAGGTGTGGCCCATCCTGATCGGATATCTAGGCTGGAAGCTTCTAGTAGTGAGACAAGTTAGGGGATTTCCAGGCCAATCAAGGAAAAGACAGGACCCAGGGTGGTGGGTGGTGGCCCCCACAAAGAGCTTTACTGGCAGTGAGGAGAGGCTGCCTGTGGGTGAGGCCCTCCCGACCCTAGATGGGGCAGGCTCACCCCCAGGAGGGAGCAGGAATCAGAGGGCACCGTGCTCCGGGGAGGTGGCTCAGGAGTGCCAGGAGGGAACAGGAATCAGAGAGGGCACAGCGCCCCGGGGAGGTGGCTCAGCAGCCCCAGGAGGGAGCAGGAATCAGAGAGGGCACAGCGCCCCGGGGAGGTGGCTTAGCACCAGGAGGGAGCAGGAATCAGAGAGGGCATCGTGCTCCGGGGAGGTGGCTCAGCACCAGGAGGGAGCAGGAATCAGAGAGGGCACAGCGCCCCGGGGAGGTGGCTCAGCAGCCCCAGGAGGGAGCAGGAATCAGAGAGGGCACAGCGCCCCGGGGAGGTGGCTCAGCCCCCAGGAGGGAGCAGGAATCAGAGAGGGCACAGCGCCCCGGGGAGGTGGCTCAGCAGCCGCAGGAGGGAGCAGGAATCAGAGAGGGCACAGCGCCCCGGGGAGGTGGCTCAGCCCTCAGGAGGGAGCAGGAATCAGAGAGGGCACAGCGCCCCGGGGAGGTGGCTCAGCCCCAGGAGGGAGCAGGAATCAGAGAGGGCACAGCGCCCCGGGGAGGTGGCTCAGCCCCAGGAGGGAGCAGGAATCAGAGAGGGCATCGTGCTCTGGGGAGGTGGCTCAGCAGCACCAGGAGGGAGGGGGAATCAGAGAGGGCACAGCGCCCCGGGGAGGTGGCTCAGCACCAGGAGGGAGCGGGAATCAGAGAGGGCACAGCGCCCCGGGGAGGTGGCTCAGCAGCCCCAGGAGGGAGCAGGAATCAGAGGGCACAGCGCCCCGGGGAGGTGGCTCAGCCCCCAGGAGGGAGCAGGAATCAGAGAGGGCACAGCGCCCCGGGGAGGTGGCTCAGCAGCCCCAGGAGGGAGCAGGAATCAGAGAGGGCACAGCGCCCCGGGGAGGTGGCTCAGCCCCCAGGAGGGAGCAGGAATCAGAGAGGGCACAGCGCCCCGGGGAGGTGGCTCAGCCCCAGGAGGGAGCAGGAATCAGAGAGGGCACAGCGCCCCGGGGAGGTGGCTCAGCCCCAGGAGGGAGCAGGAATCAGAGAGGGCATCGTGCTCCGGGGAGGTGGCTCAGCAGCACCAGGAGGGAGGGGGAATCAGAGAGGGCACAGCGCCCCGGGGAGGTGGCTCAGCACCAGGAGGGAGCAGGAATCAGAGAGGGCACAGCGCCCCGGGGAGGTGGCTCAGCAGCACCAGGAGGGAGCGGGAATCAGAGAGGGCACAGCGCCCCGGGGAGGTGGCTCAGCAGCACCAGGAGGGAGTGGGAATCAGAGAGGGCACAGTGCCCCGGGGAGGTGGCTCGTCAGTACTGGGGTTTGCAGGGCTTGAGTTCCTTTATGGATCCAGGCTCTGCCTCCTCGGTGCTGGCAGAGGCTGGGGCAGTTTCCCTGGAGACGCCAAGCTCACAACCTGGAGATGGGAGAACCCCTGCCTGTTTGGGTTGTGCCTCAAGTAACCGAGGTGCAAGGTGTGGGCCTGCGCCAAGGGCCCTCCTGCCAGGAGGTGGGCACGGAGGCCGACGCCGGGCCAGCACCAGCCCACTCTCAGGACAGGCTGGCTGGGGGGGCCAGGCAGAACCCCCCAGCCTGGACCCAAGCAAATCGCCCTCAAACCTGCCATCCAGTGAGCCCTCCTTCAGGGGTCAGCCACACAGGCTGGCAGGGTCCTGCTTGAGGGTGGACACTGATTTTCCCTGGTCGCCGGCGACCACCCAATGACCTTTGCTCTACAGCCTTCCCTGGGCTGGGAACCTCTGGGCTGCTTGATCAAGGGAGCAGGGAGACCCCGAGCTCTTCCCCTGGGTCTTTCATGTCTGCGGGTGAAGCCCTCCAGGCCATTTATCTTTCAGGAGGGTGGATGGTGGAGTATAGGGAGGGGTCATAGCGGGGTCCAGCTTCAGTCAGGAAGAACACGAGATTCTGTCCGCTCCCTCCCCCTGAGCCCTGAAAACAACTCGGTTGCGCCTGCGGGGTTGAGGCCTCCGTTCAACTCTGTCCTGTGAGTCCCGCTCCTCCAGCCTCAGGGGTCTAGGCAGCCGGTGGGGAGGCTGCTTCCCAGCTGAGGCCAGGAGATTTGGGTCTCTTCTCTGTCACTCTTATGTGACTCCACCTTAGCCACCATGCTGGGACACTGGCCCCCCCGAAACAGGCAGACGGGGAACGGGACCCTCTCCCCACGGGGAGTCTCGCTCCCCATGGGTCTCGCTGCCCATTGGCCTAACTGCTAACAGCAGTGGTGACTCCGGAGAGCCCCAAGAACAGTTCTCTGCCCCTGAGCCAGGCCAGGTCTTCTCCCTTGCCCTGGAGCGCACAGACCTATTCAGGGGCCCGAGGCTCCCCTTTCGTAGCCTGCCCAGTCCCGCGGTGGAGGCTGCTGGGTGTGGACCAGGCTTTGGGAGCAGGGCCTGAGACGAGCACCGTCAGGCTCCAAGTCCCCTCATTTATTCCCCACGTGCTCAGTGACCCCTGCGGGGAGTGGCAGGGAGCCTGTGTCCTCCCCTGGGGCTCACCATGGCATGTGCCAGCGCTCAGGCCATGTCCCTCAGAAACGGAGGGAGAGGGAGAAGTGCAGGGGGAGAGGGAGGGTGAAGAGGGGAGGGAGAGTGAGACACAGAAATGAAGGGAGAGGGAGAAATGGAGATGGGGGAGAGAAAATAGAGGGAGGGAGAGGGAGAGGAGAGGAGCTCTTAGAACTGGCGGTAGCTCTGTCTCACGTTCGGAGGTCAGAGCAGCTCGCTGGGCCCTGGAGGCCCCGATTTGGACACACGGTCTGTCCGCGGTGAGCAGCTCATAAATGGCGCGTGGTCCATCATGGTCCCTCTCATAAATGAGAGCTTCCTTCTCAGCTCAGGGAGTGACCTACATTTTACCTTTTTATTGAAGTTCAATTTACCAGTTGTGAATGTGTGTCCGGGTAGATTTTCACAGTGAACACAGCTGGGCAGCCTGCACCCCACACAGGAAACAACTCCACGGGCACCATAGAAGGGCCTCCCGCCTCTCCCGCCCACCACTGCCCTTCCCTCAAGCCCAGCGGCAGCCGCAGTGAGCCCCGAAACTGAGGATGGCACGGGCTGGCAGGGGTGGTGAGGTCCAGGGCTAGGGACAGCTGGCTGGGGAGGCTGAGGCAGCTGCTGTGACGGGGGCGAGTTGGCAGCGGGCTCTCTTGCACCCAGGATGGGCCGGTGCTGATCACAGATACGCGAGGACTCTGCCTCCGTTTGCCCTGGCGTTGCTCCTGCTTTTGGCTTTGTTTACATTGCTTTGCGTTTCTCCCCTTTATTCACGGGGAATCAGTCCACTGGAAAAGCCAATTAAAAACAAAAAGATTAGAGGCATTTACTGTTACCCTATGAAAATTTCAAATAGCACTGGGAATACACCGCTAAAAATTGACTCCCATTAAAATTAAACAAATAGTTTACATTCAGCATTCATTTCCTCGGTCAGGTTTTGTGCTGTTTCCATGGGAACACGCAGCATTTGTGTGAATGCGGTGCCCTCCCTGGCTGAGGTCCTTTCATGCCTGGCTTTGGGTTCTTCCAACGACGCCCGAGCCCTTCTCCGGCAAAGTGAGTCTCTAGTGAGTGGACGAGTCGTCTGGTGCAGCATCTTTCAAGACCAGCTTCCTGGTGGGTCCACAGGAGTTTTGCCTCAGGAAGCTCCGCACTCAGCCTTTGGGGGAAATAGAACAGGACAAAATAGAACAGAGCAGAACAGTGTTTCCCGAGATGCAGTCTGGTGCGAGGCTTTATATATCTGCAGTGAATTGGAGCAGACTTTCCAATGAGCAGCCTCCAGGAGAATTCAGGGCTCTGTGTCCGTTCTCACTCAATCAGCAAGAAACACCCTGAGTTCTAATGAACAGAGCTCAGATCAGACGGGACACTGGAGAGAAAAATCCAAGAAATAAACCCCATCTGCGGCCATGTCGCACGCCTCACGGTTGCCTCTGAAATGGAATTTGTGCTCTGTTGTCTCAAAAAGCAAAGACTAGAATCAGGAATGGGGCAGTCGCGGCAGACCCTGAGAGACCAGGCGGCTGATGGGGGCATCCTGGTGGGGCAGCCCTGAGCCGCCCACAGCAGGGGAGGCCCCCCGGGGAGGCAGCTGGTCACCACCCTGGTGTCTGTGGTCACGACGGTCTCAGACGTGGGGCCCCCGGGGGAACTCTGGGGCTCGGTAGGTAGCAGAGTTAAGCACGTCATGGTGGCCTGAGCCGGAGTGCTATGTGAAGGCTCCATGTCCACGCTAGGCTGAGGCCGCCTGTCAGGCTATGTGTGTGGGTGGGGACGCTCTGCGACCCTGTCTGCAGCTGGGATCTGGAGTCTCCAATGGACAGTTGCATAGATGCCTGGCGTGCCTTGTGGAATCGCAGTGCCAAATGCACCTTCTCACTGCATCAGGCTCCCAGAATAAAGGGCTCCCACTGCCCAGTCTCGGGGGTAGCCACTGAAAGGGTGTCTTGAAGACGTGGGACTACAGACACCCGGGGTGGGCCGGCTGCCGAGTGCCTGCAGTGAGACCCTGCCCATCACGGACAGTTGACTAGGCCTTTACCAGCACCTGACAGGAGCCGGCCCAACCCCAGCCCTTTCCTGGGCATTTGGCCTTGGAGCCAGAAGATTCCAGGACACTCCAAGATGCTCAGACCGAACATCTCCTCTGAGGTAGAGGAGACGTCACCTTAAGGGCTGTGGGGTTCATCTGCCTCGAAGATTAGGTTGCAGAGAAATCTGGTCCTCAGGCGAAGAGCAAAGCAACCACAAGGATCGCGGCAGGGGCGGGCTGGCCCTTCTCTTATGGAAACCCTCCCTTTCCCTGACTTGTCTCCTCCATCTCTCGGGACACCCCTGGGGCCCTGCGCCGGCCCCTCCTCTCCTCCTGTAAGCAACATCTAAGCTGAAGCTCCTGAGGCCCCAGACCCCGCCCCTCCTCTATATGTGCTCCTGCTCGGGAATAGAATCCAGCTGTTGGCAAGGGCTTCCTGGGAAGGGATGGGCGGTAGGGATTGGAGCCTTTGTGGCCTCGCTATCTCTGTTGCAGTCACTCAACTTCACCGTGGTAGAGTGAGGACAGCCACGGGCGACACGCACACGGGCAGGTGTGGCATGGCTCCGGGGAGCCTTCATTACGGCAGCCAGCAGAGCCAGCCGGCAGGACAGCTTGCGGAGCCGATCCCTTCCCACCTCCACCGCGATCACCACGGAGATCACAAGCTTCTACGTCTCCACCCTGGAGCCTGTGGTCATGTCTCTGGTGGACACCTGAATGACCCTGGGACGTCTGACATTCATCATGATGGCATGACTGAGCGCTTGCTGTGTACTTAGTCCCTGCTGGGGTTGTCTCGTTTAATTCTCTGATACAGAGTCTGCAGCTTTGTCCACCACCCTGAACTGCCTCTCAAATTTACCCACAACGAACCCTACCTATATCCCCTCTACCACGCTCCTGCAGGCTCAGTGACGCTGAGTTTCTCGTGTCGGTAATGCAAGAGTTAGCGCTGGTTCTCCCCCTCTCACTCCCACACTGACACATGTCATCAGATCTCCTTCCAAATATTTTCCACATCTGCCCCCCGTTCCCATCTCTCCTGCTGTGGCAGTGAAACAGCAAAAGAATGGACATCACTCACTCCATCTTTGTTTAAGGGGCCCTTACCCCTTCCCGCACATAGGCCGGGATAATTTTACAGCACTGAGATGAAATGCAAAGATGGCAATCACTTAGTTTTAAAAACTAAGTCTGAGATTAAAGGAGAAGCATGTAAATCACTGACTGTGTTTTGTGAAAGATTTACAGGAGATTGTGACCTGACCAAGGACAAAAGAAGTGGCCAAACTATATTTTCGCTCAACAATTCTACCTCTATGTATTTACTAGAAAACTCCTCACCAGTAATAAAACTGTACTTAACACTTACCAAGAACTTATTGTGAGGTGAGCACTGCTCCAACATGCCTGAGTATGTTACCTTACTCTTCACACAAGCTCTCTTATGTAAGCACTCATGTAAGGACTGACAGTACAAATTTTCCACACTTAGCAGGTGAAAGTGAAGAGGAGTTGAGTAATGGGTCCATGGTTGCTATGGTTTGGATGTAGCTCTCTGGTCCCCACCAAAACTCAGGTTGACATGGGATCCCCAGTGTGGTGTTGAGAGGTGGGAGGTGTGTGGATCATGGGGATGGATCCCTCACAAATAGCTTGGTGCTGTTCTCTTGGTAGTGAGTGAGTGCTCGCTCTCCCAGGAATGGACTTGTTTCTGAGAGAGAGGATGCTTTAAAAGCCTGGATTCCTTCATCTCCCACTCTGGCTTCATCGGTCTCCCTCTCTTTCTTCCTTGGTCTCCCTCTCTGGCTTCCCCCCCAACACTGTGTGATCTGTTTGCACACACCTGATGCCCTTTCTCTTTTCTGCCATGAGTTGAAGTATTCTAGGACCCTCACCAAATGCAGCTGCCCAAACTTGGACTTTTCAGCCATCAGAATCGTGAGCCAAATAAACCTCTTTTCTTTATAAACTACGCAGCCTCAGGTATTCTCTCAGAGCAACACACAATGGACTAAGACAGTGCTCACATGGGTAGTAAGTCCTTGAGCCTGGATTTGTGCCTCTAACCCATGCATCCAACTCCCGAGTCTCCTCTCTCAACCATGGCAGGACAGAGCCACTTGTATAACTACACAAATGTGTATTTTTAGGATTATTCATGGCAAAATTATAGGAGCACAAAGTGAAACAAATTTGTAAGAGCGAAAATTCTACCAATAGAGAACGTAGTAAACAAATCACAGCATAATTATACCATGAAATATTGAGTAGCAGTTACTGAAGAAGTGACCATCCTGTGTGCCCTGGAAGACTATATGTGCACATGTATGTATGTGTGTGTACACCTATCACACACACACATTCACATGACTGTGTCTGATGGCTCTGAAAAACTAGCGCTGACCTGTTACGGGGCTCATCCCTGAGGCCTGGATGAAACGAGGCCTTTCATCTCTTTCAGTATTCCTCAATCTTCTGCAACTTTTACACAACTTGTTTCTTTGAAGAGGAGAAAAAAACCCCTAAAAATAGAATAGAAAGAAAAGTGAGACAGATGATCAATGCGGTCTGGCCGAGCTCATGCCCATAGGACTTTCATTGGGATGCTGATTTCAAGATGGAGAAAACAGCTGACAATGGCACTCAGCAGTGGCTGTGGATTGAGCTTCCCCAGGAAGGTCACCAATTTCAGTCAGGTGTGTCTCCGCTTCCTGCTGCCACTCGTCATTCTTAGTGACCGGGTGCCTGCCCACTCCCTGAGGGGGTTGGCAGGATGCAAAACACTTAGCAGGTCCCTCAAGGGCAGGCCGGTGGCACACAACAAAGGCTGGCCCCCTGACTTGGGCACTGCGAGTGCACGGCCTGGCTCTCCTCCCCCAGCTGTGATGCCATCACAGCCCCCGAAGCTGTTGGGGAGGGAGTCCCTGTGCGTGCCCATGCCCTAGAATGAGGGGGTTCCACACCATCTAAGGTGGGGGTCTCCTAAAGCAGCTTCCCAAGTTCTCTGCATGGTAAGAACCGGGGATGCAGACGTGTGCTTGAAATACAGGTTCCTGGGCCCCCAGAGCTCCCGAACTCGCATCTCCGTGGACGGGGCTCTAGGTCTGGGTGTGTAAGGATCATCCCAGTGCATCAGGCAGGTTGGGGAGTGCTGCTGTCAAGTGATTGCTCTCAAAGGCAGTGCCCCCCAGGGCTCCTTGAAACACAGACCCCAGATCCTGGGCCTCTATCTAGAGTATGACTCTGCAGAGATGGTGCCAGGGATCTGCATTTCAACAGTGTCAAGGTGACCCTGCATGAGGCAGAGGCCTGCAGATGTGCTTTGGGAAACGCCACTCCAGAGCAAAAGAATACTCCACTGTGTGGGGCAAGGGGTCGCCTGCTGTCAAGGCCTTGTTCCAGCTGGAAGACCTCAGAGAGGAAGACGACAGCAGCACAGGACGGGCCTGTGACCTGACCGCTGCCCAGAGACATTCTCATGCCAACTGTGGGCTGAGAAATGTGGTCTCACTGTGCCCAGAAGGAAGATGGGCCAAGCCTGCTGAACGGCTGGCAATCTCAGCCACATCTTCCCACCCCCATCTCTAGCCAGCAGCTTGTGTTCCTGGAGGCACAACCCTTAGCAGCTGTTTAGTGTCCTTTAAGAGATATCTTAAGATTAGGCGCATATATTTCCTACACACGCCACACATACGCACACACACATGCGCACACGCACCTATACACACATGCACACGCATCCACACGCACACAGAGGCAGCTCCTTTCTGGAAGGCACTGGGCCTGTGTTTCCCCATCTTCCCTCCATCCCTCTCTTTCCTGTTCTTTCCTTCCTCCCTGTCTCTTCTCTCCCTCTCTCCCTCCCTCCCTCCCTTCCTTCTATTTCTCTTTCTCCCTCTTTCTTTCTGTCTCATTCTCCTTTTTTCTTCACTTAACAATATATGGGTCCACAATTGTACATAGGGAATATGGACCAACCTCATTCTTCTTAACATTGCCACAGTATTCTGTGATATGGATGCACCATAGTTTATTTACCAAGTTCCTTATACACAGCATTTAGATTATTCCTCATCTTGTCAAACAAAGATACTATTAAGATCCAATTAAAATAGTTTGTCTTTGTGAATCTGAGTGAGTGTAACGCTAGGATAAATTTCTAGAAGTAGAATTGTTGGCTAACAGAGTAGTGCACTCGCTATTTTAATAGACATTGCCAAATTGCCTTTGAAAGAGGTTGTTTATAAGCAGTATTTAATGGGCTACCACCACCACAACAGATACATATACCCTCCCAAACCATCCTTAGCTTGAAAGGATCTTGTCCAGATGACATTCTCCTCAAATGTCTCTATGCGTTCAAGGCAAGCCTATTCAAAATCCTGGAAGATTGTTTTTGCAAAAATAAATGTGTTGATTCTAACGTGTGTGTAAACACGTAAGAAAAGAGGACATCCAAGATGAGCAGAACAGCAGCCACCGAGGTGCAGGACTGTGCCCTCAGACGTTACACTGGTGATGAAGCAACAATGTCAGAAAGACAACCGAAGTACTGGTCACCCAGAGGGCCTAGGAATCATCACACGTGTGCACCAAGACTTCATCTATGACAAAGGTGACCCTGCAGGGTGGCAGGAGTCTTTCCCATAATGCCACGCCAATTGGATATCCATACGCAAATAAATGGATCTTCCAATGTTCCTTATCCTCCCCCAAATCACTTCCAGCTAGACCATAGTCCAACTGTGAAACAACTTTTAGAAGATAACAGGGGAATAACTCTTGGCCTCGTGGCAGAGATGGACGTTTAATAGGAAACAAATTTAAGGGTTAAAATGTCTTGATTGCACTTAATTAAAATTAGGAATTAAAATAAAAAACATGTTTTATATTATCACAGTTGGGATTAAGTTAAAAAAATGTTTTACACTTTGGGAGGCTGAGGTGGGAGGATCGCTTGAGCCCAGGAGTTGGAGACCACCCGGGGCAACATAGACACACCCTGTCTCTACGAAAACGAAAATTTAAAAGTTAGCCAGATGTGGTGATGTGTGCCTGTAGTCTCAACTACTCCGGAGGCTGAGGTGGGAGGATGGCTTGAGCTCAGGAGATCAAGGCTGCAGTGAGCTATGATCTTGCCGCTGCACCCCAGTCTGAGTGACAGTGAAACCCTGTCTCAAAAAAAATTTGAAAGTAGAGATATAAACCACCTAGGAGGAGAAACTATTTAGGCACACGTAACTGGCAAAGGACTCATATCCAGAATATATTTGTAAAGTCTGTAAGTCAGTAAGAAATAGACAACCCAATTGAATAGTAAACAGGTACTGTATAAAAGTTGTCAGTAGTATTATAACTTTGTTTTGGGTTTCCACATTTTATTTTCTACATAGTTAAAGAGACAGATACATTTAAAAATTATTTGTTTCTGTTTTTGGACACATGACATATAAAGATATAATTCTGTGACATCAACAACTGAAGGAAGTGGGAATGGAGATGTGAAGGAGTGGAAGTTTTTGTGTTATTGACATTTAACCAGGATAAATTCATGTCAGAGTGTAGCAACTTTATTATATCAGCCACAAAGAGAATAGCTGCAGAGTAAACACAAAAGGAAATGAGAGAGGAATTTAAACATTTCACTACAGAAAATCGACTAAACACAAAAGAAGACAATGCAGTAAAGGAGGGACCAGAAAAATGATAAAGGACGTAGAAAACACATTCCAGAAGGACAGAGGTGAGCCCACCCCACCCCCATTATCAGTCACTTAAGAAGGGAGGAATTTCTAACACATGCCACAGTGTGATGCACCTGGGGGAGGTGATGCAGGTGCAGTGGGATCCCACTCACAGGATGGAGGGAGGGATTGATGGGTGGATGGAGGGAGGGATTGATGGGTGGATGGAGGGATGGAAGGATGGAAGGATGGATAAAGGGATGGATGGATGGATTGATGGAGGGATGGATGAACGGATGGAGGGATGGATGGAAGGATGGACAAAGGGATGGATGGATGGAGGGAGGGATGGGTGGATGGAGGGATGGATGGAAGGATGGATGGAGGGATGGATGGATTGATGGAGGGATGGACAGATGGATGGAGGGATGGACAGATGGATGGATGGATTGATGGAGGGATGGATTGATGGAGGGATGGATTGATGGAGGGATTGATGGATGGATGGATCGATGGAGGGATGGATTGATGGAGGGATGGATTGATGGAGGGATGGATGGAGGGAGGAATGGATTGATGGATGGAGGGATGGATGGATGGAGGGCTGGATGGTGGTGATGGTTGCACAGTAAAAGCAATGTACTTAGTATCATCAAACTGTACACTTAAAAATGGTTAAGATAGTCAATTTTATGTTATGTGTATTTTACCACGATAAAAAAAATTGGCCCCCAAGCCCCACAATATATTAAAAACAGCAAACATTTAAACTTACCTTCCAGGAACCTCAAAGATGCACAGACATGCGGGCCACTTGCTTTTGCCCTTGGACCCACTCGCTGACCTTGCTTTGCTCTTTGCTTCCCAAGGGTGCTGTACTCCCTGGCCTCCTTGTCCCCCATTTCTGGGCAGTTCTTAAGCAGGCAGTTACCGAGGCAACAGGCAAGATTACCTGCAGGCGGCTAAGAGCAAGCCAAATGGGGCCAACAGGTTAGCACAGGGGCCCCGGTCAGTAACGGACGCTCCAGAAAGTGGCTGGGACAGACATCTGTGGTCACCCGCAGTGGGCAACTTCCTTGCTGAAGGAGGAGTGACTGTTGGAGGAAAAGTCCCAAAGGCCGAGCCAAGAACCATGTCCTTATGTTGAACTTTGCTCACTGTAATAGTGAAAAACACATGCCTGGGCAGAGATTTAAAATGCTAATGAGACAGGCAATGTATGTGCCAGCATGTACAGTGACGGCCTCTGTAGGCCCAGGAACCCACCCACAACATGCTTAGTTCCTGCTCCTTCAGGAATAATCATGTGAGACTCCCATCAAAGGAACTTCCCAGTGCCAGTCTCACTGTCTTATTCCAGAGCAGCCCGCTCTGACCCAGCTAGTGGTGCACACTTTCGCTTTGCAATAAACTTCTTTGCCCACTCTTACTTTGGACTTGCTCCCAAATTATTTCGTGCACAGATGTCAAGAACCTGAACAGGCCCACCCACAGCATCCCTGGCCAATGGGAGGCCTCAGCAGGACATGGCAGGCGGGAGATGTGGGGAGGCCACAGCCTGGTGCTTTTCTGTCTCGCTCCCTCCGGTGTGTCTGGCTTGTCTGGGAGCGTCTGCTGTTACTGAAGTCCCAGCTTTGCCTCCGTCTTTCTCCCTCTAACCCAAGACAAAGAGCAGTGTGCTGGATTCCTGCTGTTGCTAAATTCTGGACTGCTCCACGCCCCTGGGTTTGGCTTCTGTGTTCTTCCACCCATTCTCTGCATTACATTTCCTCCCTGTGAAATGTCTTGAGTCAATTCTGTCTCTCGACTAGACCACGCCTGCAACACTAACTGTTCCGTTCGGACAGAAGGTTCCTGAGAACACACTGGCGCTGCTGCGCTCCACAGGACTGCTGCTCACAGGTAAGATGCAGAGGAGAACGGTCGCCACAGCCGTCTCAACGTCCAACAGAATTTTCACTGTGCAGGCGGTGATTTATTTTCTTTCTCCACCAACTTGGTTGGCCTTCATGCCACGGGGATGAGCAGCCTAGGACCCTGGTGAGGCCACGGCTCCAGTAGACCCTGACAGTGAAGCTGTGGTCCCTGGTTAGCGGTCACTGCCTGACACTTAGGGCCTCCCTTCATTCCTCCAGGGAGCCGAGGTGCATGTTCGTGCCATAGAGAGGCCCACGCTTTTCATGCAACACAGCCGGTAAATGCAGACTCACTCCCTGGCCTGGGGCTCTGATGGAGACACAGGAACCTGGTCCCTGGCTGCAGGAAGCAACACCCATGGGTCCAGGGAGGGGTGTTGTGTCCGTCACTGTATTTCAAGGGCTTACGAAGGTGTTGCCTTTGGTCATTCTGCTATTTGTGACTTCATCTTATGTACTAACGTTAGGATGCTACTTCTGAAAAGGATGTGACTCACTTACTCTATTAAAAAAAAGAGTAAAGTTTTTTCTTTAAGGAGCCTGCTGCCTGAGGGAACCCTGTACAGTTATGGGGTCAGGAGTGGAGCCTCAGGCCAAGTGATTAAGAACAGGAAGAGATTCTGGGCAGAAATGATCGATACATTTATAAAGGAGATTCTATTGGTTCCACGTCTGAAGGATGAAAATACAGAAGGTCAATTCACACAGAGCATACACTCTGTGCCTGCCCTGTTCAGGTTAAATCCACACCAAAGCTCATTCTGCAAAAAACGAAATGGAGACACAGAGTGAATAATCAGCTCCCTGCACCCCACGCTCTGTAAACCAGGACACTGGCCCTCTCGCTCCCGAGTCCATGCCGCGAGCACTGACTGACCCTGCCTGACCCTGCCATAGAAGCAGGGCTCTGGGCTGCTGATTTCCAGTAGGAAATTCAACAGCTCATCAAACCCATGGTTGCCATGGCCTGGCCGGAAGAGACTCTTCTCCCCTGAGGAGTAAGAGTGAAGGGTTATCAGATTCTAAGAGTCTTGGGAGGTTGCTTTGTTCAGGAAAGTCACCTCCTTCGTGGGGGTCCCTCCTCCCACATCTATTCCTGGAAACCCAGGTTGGCTAGGGACACGACGGGGCATCGCTTGAGGTAAGAAGACCCCCCAACACTGTTTTTTTGGGGTGGGCCACACCCTCCTGGGGTCACATTGGACACCGACGGTCTGCTTCCCCTCTGAAGGGCCCTGGTTCTCACTGCTTACCACAAAGGAGACCCCTGAGCCAAGGGAGGCTCCCCGCTGGCTCTTCCCTGCCTCATCCCAAGAAGCCCTGCCCATTGCCCCTGCCCTGCTCTGCCTGACATGCCGGAGGTGGAGGATTGTTCCATGAGCAGCTCCACATTGATTAGGTTTCCATGGCCAACAACCCAGGTCCTTGTCACGGATGCCGGCATTTTGTTGTCCTGCTGGTTTGATGCTGGCATCCACTGGACAAATCAATGGTCAAAGGGAGGCAGGGAGTAGAGAGAGGGCACTGTGCATTCTGCAAGTGACTCCAGAGCCCCAAAGACAGCCGGTTCCATTCAAACAAACAACGCACGTGCTGACGTCCCCGTGAGTTGTGTAGGCAGCGTTGCAAAAGTTCCCCAAACCCTTATGTATGTGCACATTTGGAGCCTGCGAATGGATCTGCTCCAACATTTGGCCAAGATGGGAGCATGGGGCTGAACATCCACTTCCCCTCCCAGCCAAGTTTTCAGCTTCCACATAGGTTCCCGGGCAGAGGGTCCAATTCTGCTGAAATCAGGCCTAGGAGAACTGCCTGGGGCATGTTGTTAGAACAGAAATCCTGCAGGTGCTGCCCCGACTCATTCTGTCCAGGCCCTCCAAGGTTAGTGCCCCGGAAAGAAGAGCTCAGCTCCAGGCCTGGCCCCGCTGGAGAGAGGCCAGGACACTCCCAGGACAGTGCTCGGAGGGCAGGAGCTGGGGATCCGGTGAGGTGGATTCCAGGCTGAAGGAAGGAGTCCTGAAGGGGATCAGGTGAGGAGAGGAGGAGACCATGAATGGAGAGCAAGTGTCTGCGGAGGACCTGGGGTCACCGGATGGCACTCACGGTGCTGGGACTCTGGAGCCTGGCAGGGCTGCCTCTGGGGTCTGGGGGAGCCTGACCCTTCCCACGATCTGGGCCATCCATGGGGAGGACAAGAACAGTGGCCTGCTGCTCACCTGGAGATCCTGGATTGAGGAGGGGGCTGTCAGCTCATGGACACCTCCCTGCTTCTCACGCTGGCTCCACTGAGCCCCCAGATCCTTCCTGCCCTGCCGTGGGACCTGCAGGCATCTTTCCTGGCCAGAAGACCCTCAGCAGTGAGTCCACTCCCCAGAGCAAATGTCCAGGTCCACCCTGTGTGGTGGCCGCTGGCCTCCCTGCCCCCTGAGCAGCCAGGTGGGTGTTCCGAGTCCAGAGCCTCCTCCATGCCCCTTCCTCTGTTCCCATCTGTCACCACCTGGGCCAGGGCCTTAGTGAGGGACCCTGCAGGCAGGCATGCCCTCAGGACACGCACCAGGAGTGAGGGTGGGTCCAGCTGCCATCAGTTGCGCCCCAGGGCTCCTGGCTGTGGTGAGGGTCTGGTCTAGCCACTACCAGCTCCCAGAGTGCCTGCTCTGACCCTGGCTGAGTTCAGGAAGGGGCCTCTTCCAGGTCCTCCCCTAGAAGGGGTGGGCACCTTCCCATTTCAACAGTCCTGAGAGGGCACCTTTTCCTTCTTTGCACACTTGCTGGTGGCAGCCCAGGCCCTGTGTGCCCGACAGGCCATGCTGTCACTCCAGGGCCTGTCCCCTCTGTGTCCAGTCAGTGGCTGTGTCTTGCTGTCCATGCTGCACACAGGACCCCAGGCTTTTGCTGCTCTGTGACTCTCCAGCCTCACCCCCAGCCCCAACCTCAAAGGCCTCATGCTTGGGGACCTTGAGGACTCAGCCTCCAGTGCTCTCTGGATCCTCTGCCTGACCGGGAGTCACCTCTGCCACAGGGACGCATCCCCCAGACCAGTCTCTCCCTGGTGGTCTGGCCTCCTCCCCCAGAAAGCAGGCCAGACCCATGGTTTGAGATAGGACACTTTCCAAAATTAAATTCCTCTGCCAGAGGCGTCTCGCTCAGACAGTGAGCTCTCATAATTGCTCGTTTTGGGATCCGATCAGATATTTCCTTGACAAGAGCCTGCGGATATAATGTTAATAGAAAAAAATTGTATTTGGCATTTTTGTGCTCTTCCCTGCCAAAGGCTCTGAGCCTCGGCGCTTATTGGTTTTCTGCGGCAGATTCATTTTGCATTTCCTCCTTATTACTGGGCTTAGTGGGACCAGAGCTGTTTGAGGAGGGAGAGATTATCATTTTCCACCTCCGCGCTGTACAGTTCATCAACAGCGTGCAAATGACAGAGGCTGGGTGGGGAGTGGCGGACTCGGAAGCAGAGGGCAGGCCGGAGACCAAGTGAGGGAGACCAGTGGCCATGAGAGCCAGCATGGACAGGAGCTGTGGGTCACATCTCTATGGTCCCAGCCTATTACCCCAAAGTCCAGAGTTGCCAAAACTTCCATTTGTTCAAGAGCATCCTGGCCCCGCATTCCCAGATGAGGCCCCTGATGTCTGCAGGTGGGCCTGGGTGGGACCCGCTGCCCTGCAGGCCCCATCCGGCTCCCCCGACCCCACTCCACCCGCCCTAAGATGACTGGGGCCCTCTGTCCATCCAGGCTCCCTTCCCTCCCTATTTTGAGTTGGGCTCCACTAATGGAGTCTCCCCTGGGGCACAGAGCAGGCTGGAGAGACAGGCTGAGGTCGCGGCATTTATTCCTCGTGCCCTCCCTGCATGGGGCTGTGCTGCTGGCAAGAGCTGGGACCCCCAGTCTCCAGGCCCAGCTTCTGTGGAGTGCCCCGCATGGCCTCACGGGGACCCTCATCTCCAGACCCAGCTTCTGTGGAGTGCCCCGCATGGCCTCACGGGGACCCCCAGTCTCCAGACCCAGCTTCTGTAGAGTGCCCCGCATGGCCTCACGGGGACCCCCAGTCTCCAGGCCCAGCTTCTGTGGAGTGCCCCGCATGGCCTCACGGGGACCCCCAGTCTCCAGACCCAGCTTCTGTGGAGTGCCCCGCATGGCCTCACGGGGACCCCCAGTCTCCAGGCCCAGCTTCTGTGGAGTGCCCCGCATGGCCTCACGGGGACCCCCAGTCTCCAGGCCCAGCTTCTGTGGAGTGCCCCGCATGGCCTCACGGGGACCCCCAGTCTCCAGGCCCAGCTTCTGTAGAGTGCCCCGCATGGCCTCACGGGGACCCCCAGTCTCCAGACCCAGCTTCTGTAGAGTGCCCCATATGGCCTCACGGGGACCCCCAGTCTCCAGACCCAGCTTCTGTAGAGTGCCCCGCATGGCCTCACGGGGACCCCCAGTCTCCAGGCCCAGCTTCTGTAGAGTGCCCCATATGGCCTCACGGGGACCCCCAGTCTCCAGACCCAGCTTCTGTGGAGTGCCCCGCATGGCCTCCCTGGGACCCAGCAGCATGGCTCCTGCCCTGCTCCTCAGGCCACAGGTGGCGACAACATCCACTGTGGCACCCCCCCTCGAGTTCCACGCCATCCTTGCTCACCCTGCCTGCGCCTCTGCAAGGCACCCTTCTGTGAACGGTTGAGTGAACTCTGGTTCCTGCCAGGGCCCCGGCTGATGGAGCCTTGAATGAAAACAAAGAGACCACAATCCTCTGAACCCTCCTCAGCCCGATGAGAAAGCAGCCTCCCACTCAATTCACTCAAACAAACAGGCTCTGTGCCTGGGCTGACCCTGCTTTTGAACCCAGCCCAAGGTCAGACAGTTCCCCGTTCCCCATTCATCATGGCTGGGAGGTGGCATGACAGCTGTGGCCTGTCCTGGGGCTGGCAGGGTTCAGCAGGGGCTGAAGGGTCACAAATGGTGAGGACTGGGGTACTGGGAGTAGGGACCCTGGGAGAGGCTGGTCCTGGGAACCATGTCAAGGAGCCTGGCGGTCATCAGGGAGCACGTGAGGGAGAAGAGGAGGTGCTTTCTCCAGAGGAGGGAAGCTTGGTGCAGGCAGCTGCTCCATTCCCTTGGAGCTTGGGCTGGGCTGTGACCCTCGGGGTGGGGAAGAAGCAGCCACCTGGGGAGACTCCAGCTCAGGGCAGGGGCATCCCCCCAGCCAGCCACTGCCTGTGGGCCTCGTTCATAGGGGACGTCACGGTGCAGCCAGCACATGCACTGGGCAGCTCTTCTCTGGGGGCCAGGAGAGCCCAGGTTGGATGTCATGGTCCCAGACACCTGCTCAGCCGAGAGGGACACCTGCCATCCAGAAGGAGGCGGTGGGGTTCTCTTCCTGGACACGGAACCTACACGTGACTTCGCTGGTTGTAAAAGTGACACAAGCCTCCTGTGAAAGAAAAGCAAGAAAGTAAGCAGCGCGAAGGCATTTCCATGAAGTGGGAGGCGTGTGCAGGTCAGCGTGCCCCTCCACGGCCCACGCTTCAGGCATTCTGTTCATGTTTTTACAGCTTTAACATTTTCTGCATAGTGATGTCATACATGTATTTTGAAACAAAATGGGTCCTAATATACAAAAGGTCCTTTTTTAAAATTACTCAACATTGTGGCGTGCACATTTTCGCAGTGACTGTGGACCTACTGTGTGGGTCTCCACCCCTGGCCCTGGTCTGTTGTCACTGCTCCTCCAGCATAAACCAAAAAACAATAAGTCCCTGATCGGGGAGTGGGGGAGAGGTGGAGGCAGGGACAGCTCCCACAGGGATGCGAGGGTAGGGGAAGGGCACAGAGGGAGTGACTCAGGGCTGGTGATCTTAGTGGGAGCAGCTAAGCCCTACATGCTTCGGGAGCTTGGCTCTAGTCACAGGTCCTGTGAGCCTGTCCTTGTAGGCATTTCTTCGTGGAGCAAACATCTCCAAATGTGAAAGCCTTTCGGCACATTTCACCAAACTGCCCCCAGAAGCTTCGAACAGGGGACACTTACCAGCCCCCAGAGGGTCCTGAGAATCCATCCCCCAGACCCTCATTGGCATCAGCTATTGCAGTGAGTTTCAGTCTTTTCTCACCCGATGAACTTGAAGTATTTTCGTTTCGTTTGCATGTCTTGGATAATTAGTGATGTTGCTTCCATTGCGGCTCCATTGTTTTTGTGTGTCTTCTTTCTTGAACTTTTTATTCATGCCAATCCTTTGTATACAGATATCTTTTTTCATATTGATTTGAATATGCTCTTTACATATTAAGGATACAAACTTGTTGTTTGTCATGTTGTCTTCAAATGCTTTCCTCCAGTTCACTTGCCTTACAAAGTCATGATGACACACTCTGCATTCAGAGACTTTAAAATCTGTGCAATTCCATAACCTATCCTTTGCTTATTGTCTATGGACATTTAAGTTCTTTCTTATCTTCAAGATTTTAGATTATTTTTCTACATTTTCCTCAAAGTCAAACAAAATTTACAACAAATTAAAACAATAACTTAAAATTATTTTAAGTGGCAGAAAAATGAATACATTCTAGTAGAAATTTCAAAGAATTTGACAAAGCCCACGTGTTTGAAGACCTGCCATTTGCCGGACACTGTGATCAAAGCTGGGAATATAATGAAAAATTCTGCTTCCTTAGAGCTCATAGCTAGGAGGCATCCACAAATTATCACATGGATCAGTATAAAACTAGCCCTGGGAACAGAAATTCCTGCGGAGAACAGTGGAGAATCTCCCCCTGAGAATTCTCAAATTTTCACAGAGATTAATGTAAATGACCACTGAGATAAATGTTGTGAAGATGAAGTGTGTGAGCAGCGGTGGCCTGTGCAGGAGGGCTGCCCACGGCACTCCCTGTTTAAGCGTCCCCGAGGGAGTGATATTGAGCTGTGATTTTACACGAGTGGAGGTTCACTCATTTAAATGAGTGATTTTAAATAAGTGGAAGCACTGAGATCATGAGGAGGGAGAGGTTATGAGGAGGAGGGGAGGAGAGTTCACATGCCAGCTCAAGGACACCCCCAGCTCACGGACACCTCCCAGCTTGAGGACACCTCCCAGCTCACAGACACCTCCCAGCTCGAGGACACCTCCCAGCTCAAGGACACCCCCCAGCTCACGGACACCTCCCAGCTCACAGACACCTCCCAGCTTGAGGACACCTCCCAGCTCGAGGACACCTCCCAGCGCGAGGACACCTCCCAGCTCACGGACACCTCCCAGCTTGAGGACACCTCCCAGCTTGAGGACACCTCCCAGCTCACGGACACCTCCCAGCTTGAGGACACCTCCCAGCTCACTCCGCTCTGCCCCCTCCTGCTCTGCTACCTCCTAGTCCCATCGTCTGGAGGTAGCTACAGTCGGAATATGGTGTGTATCCTTCTAAAACATCTCATGTGTACCTTTAAACATAAATTTATAATGTTAATAATGGAAAAATAGAGTGTTTGTGTATATTTATGTTTGTTTTCTGCTTATGAAAAATTTCAAAAACATACACAAAGGTAGAGGATACATAAAACTCTCACATACCCGTCGCCCGACATCAACAACCACAAACATGTTACCTCCCCCAGAGTCACAGTCCCACAGGTAACAAGTGACTCTAAATGGGACAGGGGAGAGGTGGATGCAGGGATGGCTCCCACAGGCGTGGGCGGGTGGAGGAAGTCTGCAGGGCCAGTGCCGCACTTCAGGGCTGGGATCTTAGCAGGGTCTCAGCGGTGCAGCTAAGACCACTGCATCTGCATGGGCAGGGAGGGTGGTTACTCACCCAGTGGGGCAGCAGCTGGCTCTGCATGAGGGGCTGCCAGACAAGAACTGCAGCCCAGCGAGCGGGGGTAGAGGAGCAGGTGCTCTGAGCACAGCCTCTCGCCTCTGGTTGAGCCAAAGGTCTCCAGAGGACACAGAGTCCCTTTACTACTGGATATTAGGGTCAGCCTCCAGGCACAGGACTGGATAGAGAGCACTGAGAGAGATGTACGTGAAGTGAAAGAGAGGCTTGCAGCACGGTTGAGTGCTTTAAAGCAAATTGCACACCCCATGTCCTCACATTCCTAAATCCTTCAATACGCATCCGAATAAGGAATCTCTTCTTGCATGACTACCGTTCTACACTCACGCTTTGCAAAACAAACAACTCCTTCATTTAATCAAACATTGCAGTGGGCTCAGGGTTTGTGTCCCCACAAAATGCATATGACGAAACCTAATCACCAACATAATGGATTAGGAGGGGAGGCCTTCGGGAGGTGATTAGGTCCTGAGGATGGAGCCCTCATGAATGGATTAGTGCCCTTATAAACGGGCTCCAGAGAGCTGCCTCGCCCCTTGCACCATGTGAGGATGCAACAAGAAGACCGCCATCTATGAACCAAGAAGTGGGCCTTGCCAGATGCTGAATCTGCAGGAGGCTTGATTTTGGACTCACCAGACTGTGAGAAATAAATGTCTGTTGTTTATAAGCCACGCTGTCTAAGGCATTTTGTTACAGCAGCCTGAACTGACTAAGACAAACACTTAGTCTATACTCAAATTCCCTTTGCCAGAGACGTTTGAACCAGAGTGACTCCATCTTGAACAAGGACTGAGTAAAATGAGGCCAAGACCCTCTGGGCCGCATTTCCAGGAAGCTAGGCACTCTTAGTCACAGGATGAGACAGGAGGTGGACAGAGCTGGTATCACAAGATACAGGTCAAAAAGGCCCTGCTGATAAAACAGGATGTGGTAAAGAAGCCAGCCCAAATTCACCAAATCCAAGACGGCAATGAAAGTGACCTCTGGTGGTCCTCACTGCTCGTTAAATGCTAATTATAATACAGCAGGTGCTAAAAGTCATTCCTACCAGCATCATGGCAGTTTACAAATGCAACGCTACCCTATATGGTCTAAAAGGGGGAGAAACCCTCAGTTCTGGGAAATCCCCATCCCTTTCCCAAAAAACTCATGAATAATCCATCCCTTGTTTAGCATATAATCAAGAAATAACCACAAAAGTAGCCAACTAGCAGCCCTTGGTGCTGCTCGGTCTATGGAGTAGCCATTCTTTTGTTTCTTTACTTCTCTCATAAACTTGCTTTCATTTTACTCTATGAACTTGCCTGGAATTCTTTCTTGTGTGAGGTCCAAGAACCCTCTCTTGGGGTCTGGATCAGGACCCCTTTCCGATAACATCTTGATTAGCGAGAAAACTGAATTTTAGTAGCTGATTTATTTTAATCCAGATCCAAGCAAAGTCTATATGTCATGTCAGAAAACTCTATCTGTTAAGTCTCTTTAAATCTAGAGTTGTCTCTTCTGCCTCCACCTCCCGCTCCATTTCACAGATCTCCTACCTCATGCTGGCTTTTTGAGGAAAGCAAGTCAAGTGTCCCATTAGATGGTCACGTTAGGATCTGCCCAGTGGCTTCCGGGGCTGTTTAACTTGTTCCCCTGCTCACACATTGCTGCAGGCTTGGAATTAAATGCCAGGGCTGATGAGATCCAGGTTTTCTCTGTGCATGGATACTTGGTAGCTGAAGCTGTATTCTTTGTACTGCAGCCTATCAGGAGACACATAATGATTAAACTTCACTTTTAATGATGCTGAGACTGATCAGCGAATTCAGATGGCAACAATGATCCATTCAATGTAAGTTTCTCTATCGATCTTCCACTGAAGAGTGTTACCATCGATTGATGACATTAACCTAGTCAATTTTTGATAAGGTGTTGGAACTTCTAACTCTCTTCCTCCTTCTGAAATTATTTGCTTGAGTGCTTCTGTTGAGAAAAGCCATCCCTCATCCACTAAGGCTATGATTTATCATGAAATACAATTAATACCAGGAAGGCAGGATAAATGCTTAGTTTTCCTCTTTATTTATCAATTTTCAGCATAATGGATTGGCATCCTAGCAACCTCCAGAAGTGTGCAATAAGTTTTGTGGTATATATCTTTTCTGTACCACCCCCTATACACATTCTTTTACTCATAGCTTGTTTTTAATTGAAGTGAGTCTCACATAACATAAAAATCCTTTTAACGTGTACAATCCAGTGCCATTCAGTACATTCACACTGTTGTGTGACAGTCACCTCCAGAACATTTTCATCCCTTTTGTCCTCCGTCCTCCACAGCCCATGACAGCCACTTATCTGCCGTCTCTGGATTTAACTATTCTGGATCTTTTTAACATAAATGAAATCGTGCAATATATGATCTTTTGTTCCCGGCTTCTTTCACTTAGGGATATTCTGAAGGCTCATCCATGCTGTCATATGTGTGAGTGCTTCATTCCTTGTTAAAGCTGAAAAATGTTCCGTTGCATGGACAGACCATATTTTATTTATTCATTAATTGGCCATTTGTGCTGTTTCCAACTTCTGGCTCTTGTGAATAGTGCTGTTAGGAACATTCATCTACAAGTATCTGTTTGAATTCTTAATTTCAGTTCTTTTGGTTATAGACTTAGGGGTAGAATTCCTGGCTCAGATGGTAATTCTACGTTTAACTTTTTAAGGAAGTGCTGAATCATTTTTCACAGGGCCATTTTACATTCACCTTTTACATACGGCGATGTGTGAGAGTTCCGCTTCCCCCACATCCTGACCCACTTCTTACCTTTGTCGCTATTATTATTACTGCTATGTTACCATCCTATGGGGTGTGATGTGCTTCCTCATTGAAGTTTTGATTTGCATTTCCCTAATGACCCCAAATGTTATAATCATCTTTTCATGTGCTTGGCAGCCATCTATATATCTTCTTTGGAGAAATATCCAAGTCGTTTGCCTGTTCTTAAATTTTATTTTAATTGGGTTGTCTTTTTATCATTAAGTTGTATCAGTTCTTTGTACATTTTGAATTCTAGGTCCTTAGCAGTTATATAAATTGGAAATATTTTCTCTTGTTCTATATGTTGTCTTTTCATTTTCTTGACAGTGTTCTTTGATACACAAAAGTTTAATTTTGCTAAAGTCAACTTTATCTATTTTTTTCTTTTGTTGCTTATGCTATTGGTGTCAAAGCTAAAAGTCCATTGCCAAATCCAAAGTCATGAATACTTACACCTTTCTTCTAAGAGTTTTATACTTTAGTTCTTACATTTAGGTCTTTGATCCACTTTGTGTTAATTTTTGTATATGGAGTGGGATAGGTCTAATCTCATTCTTTGCATGTGAATATCCTGTTTTCCCAGCAACATTTGTTGAAGAGATTATTCTCACCCTGTTGAATCCTCTTTGCACCCTTGTCAGACATTTGACTGTGGATGCACAGGACTATTTCTGGACTCTCTATTCCATTGGTCTATCTGTCTATCCTTATGCCAGAACCACACTGTTTTGATGACTGCAGCACTGTAATATGTTTTGAAATGAAAAAAAAAGTGAGTCCTCCAACCTGGTTAGTTTTAAGATTATTTTAGCTACTTGCCATAACTTGCAATTCACATGAATTCTAATATCTGATTTGCCATTTCTCCAAAAAAAAAAAAAAAAAAGGAAAAAGGAGAAAAAAAGAAAAAAATCCACTGAGATTGTGATTCAGAAATAGCTCTGAATCTGTAGATCCCTTTGGGAAGTTTTGAAGTCTAAACAATATTAAATCTTCCAAGAAATTAACACAGGGTGTGTTTCCATTTATTTAGGTCTTCTTTAATTTCTCTCATTAATATTTTGTTTTAGGTGTGCAAATCTTACACCTCCTCAAACTTATTCCTAGATATTTTATTATTTTTGGTGCCATTGTAAATGGAATTGTTTTCTTAATTTTGTTTTAGGATTGTTCGTTACTAGTGTGTAAGAATACAATGGATTTTTGTGTGTTGATTTTGTACCTTGCAACTTTATTAAATTCTATCATGTTTAGTAGTTTTTTGTGTGTGAATTCTTTAGGATTTTCTATGTACAAGATCAAGTCATATGTGTATATAGTTTTACATCTTCATTTCCAATTTGTACGTCTCTTATTTTGTTTTCTTGATTAATTGTTATGATTAGAAATTTCAGCACAATGTTGAATGGAGGTGGCAAAAGTGGGCATGTTTTGTTCTTGAATTTAGCTGGGAAGGTTTCAATCCTTCAACACTAAGTACAACATTAGCAATATGCTTTTCCTAAATGCTTTTTACCATGTTGAAGAAGTTGCCTTCCATTTCTAGTTTGTTGAGTTGGTTTTTTGTTTGGTTGGCTTTTGTTTTGCTTTTTAAATCATAAGAGGCTGTTGAGTTTTGTCAAATGCTTTTTCTACATTAATTGAGACTATTATAATCTTTTCTTTAATTCTACTAATTTTGTGTATTACATTAAATAATTGTTGTATGTTTAACCATCCTTGTGTTCCTGGGATAAATCCCACTTGGTTGGTTATGTTGTATAATTATTTTACCATGCTGCTGTATTACATTTTCTAGTTGAGGATTTAATATTCATAAGGGATACTAATCTGTAATTTTTTCTTGTGATGTCTGCCTTTGGAATCAGGATAATGCTGGAATCATAAAATGAGTTAGGAAGTATTTCTTCCACTCTATTTTTTTTTTGAAGAGTTTGATAATTTTGGCTGTTTGTTTAAATGTTTGTGCTGTTTACCAGTGAAGCCACCTTGTCCTCTAGTCTTCTTTGGTGGGAGGTTCTGATTAGAATTCAGTCTTTTTCCTTGTTATAAGTCTATTCAAATGTTCCATTTCTTCTTGCGTCAGTTATTGTAGTTTGTGTTTTACTAGGAATTTGTTTCATCTAAGCTTCTGAATTTATTGGCATACAATTGCTCATAGTATTGTCTTATAATCCTTTTATTTCTGCAAGGTAGGTAATAATGGCCACATGTTCATTTCTGACTGTTTCATGGCTTTTGATGTACCCTGAATCTTCTAATCCATTGCAGTCATTATTCTTGTTGATGTTGTATTAACACATCCCTGTTCAGCGAGAGCGTCAGGCTAGCTCCTGTGTCTGGGTGACACCACTTCATGAGCCCATGGCATCATCTTTGATCTGTGAGACACTGAGATGACCCAGTGTACTAGTCCATTATTACACTGCTATAAAGACATACCTGAGGCTCAGTAATTTATAAAGAAAAGAGGTTTAATTGGCTCATGGTTCTGCAGGCTATACAGGCTTCTGCTTCTAGGGAGGCCATAGGAAACTTACACTCATGGCAGAAGGCGAATGGGAAGCAGGCACGGTTTTCACATGGCCAGCAGGAGAGACAGAGAGCAAAGGGGGAAGTGCTACACCCTTTTCAAACAACCAGATCTCATGAGAACGTTATCACAAGACAGCACTAGGGAGAAGGTGCTAAACCTTTAGAAACCACCCCCATGATCCAATAACCTCCCACCAGGCCCCACCTCCAACACTGGGGATTAACAATTCAACATGAGATTTGGGAGGGGAAACAGGGTCAAACCATATCACCCAGGTACATCTTGAACATTTCCTACTAAGGACCTGGAATCAGTTATTCAAATGGTTCAGGATCATCCCAGACCTGTATCTTATGTGTCTATAATTCCCTTGACCTGGAGTGCTCTCCTGTGCCCATTTTTGGTGCAGTTCATATTTATTCTTGAGGTCTTCATTTAGATGTCCTTCTTGGTTGCCTCCCTTGTGCCCCACAGACTTATCCAGCCCCTCTTGACGGTATTTTGCCTTGGTGGTATTGCTTTCAGTGGTTGGCCGTTATTTGTTTAGAGTCTCGGCCTGCTAATATTAAGGGTAATTTGGTCCTGGGGCTTTCAGGGGATGCCCGTGGAGCCCAGCAATGACTGCAGCAGAGCAGAAGGCAGAGCCCCCAGGGCAGAGACTGAGGTCTTGATGACACGGCTGGGCCCTGGTGCTGGCTGTCAGCACTCCCGAGGCCTTCCCCGCAATGCTGGCAAACAAAGACAACAAAACAACTTTCGGTTTAAGCCATCAAGAACCAGGTTTCAGTCGCTTGCAACCAAAAGCTCTTAGTTATAAAATATCTTCTCCAAACTTTTTAGAATTGTCTCTCCACTGCCTGTCACCATGGCAACCCACAGTTATAATGAGATAGTTTCATGAATAATGGAGGTGAAGAGGTGGCCTATGGTGTTTGTCTCACCCAAGCTTTATCTCATTTAGTGCTTCAAGATTAGATTTTCCAGCTGTTATAGGCTTCCAGATGCTCAAAGAGTCTGGAATGATTGGATGTCACTCTGAAGCAGTAGACCTCATCGGGGCAATTTAAATTATATGTACAGGAGCAGTGCAGGAGGAAGCAGACACATTCCACAGCTGTAACCTGGGAATTTCGGCCCCGGCCCAGAGAGACTGTGGTGGAGAGGAGGGGTGAAAGGGAGCGAATGAATTATAATCTGCTCTTCCTCCAGTCACGTGGGCTGGTCGCCACAGTTCTCACTGACTGGTTCTTTTAATAATTTTGTTTCTACTTTTCAAAAAGAAATGGTATTTGCACCCAATTTAATGAGTTCCATAGATATGAAAATGATATTCTCCCTCTTTCCTCCACTGTCCCTCCCCAGAGATCACCTTTGATTCTTTTAGTCGTTTCTCGTGTTGTGTGTCTTCCCATCTCCAAATGAGACGCCTGTGTTTCCACTTCCTGATGCTTCCATGCGAGGCACCACCTTCGATAGGGAAGGTCGGGACCTGCTTCTCCTTGGCCTGCTCCACCCACAGGCACCCCCGTCCACCCCTGCCACTGGGATTCCCTCAGATCGAGACTGGCTGCTGATATCACCAAGCTCACCTGAGCCCCGTTCACCATGGAGCCGAGACAGAGACCACGGGCACTTTCCTCATCTGGATATTTCATTTTTCCCTCAAATCTGTAGCTTGAAAGAATTGCTTCGTTATCATTAATTCAACCCCAATTCTCCATAAATTGACCACATCAGTTTTCAAGACTTTCGCTGGGATCAGCAGTGCTGACTGTTTCCCCTTCCTGAGTTTTCTGCCCTGTGCCTGTCTGGGCCAGCTCCCCCCATGCCTGCAGCTCACTCTGCTCTGTGCTCCTCCACCATCCTGGGTGGCATTCGCTTCTTTCCCCAGATGGACCTCCTGCTTCCTGGAAATCTCCCTCCACCTTAGAATCAGCGTCTCTGATGGCAGCCCTGGGCCTGCTGGGTTTGGATTTCAGGGACAAGCTGGGCCTGCGTCCCTCCATGCGGAGCAGCTGTCCATGCTGCCACCAGCCTGAGTGAGGACATCACCCTCACAGCGTCGGGCCTCTCACCCAGGAGTGACTTGGTCTGGAGAGCTGTGTGTCCACTGCTGACGTTTGGGCCTCCCAGAAGAAGCTGCCCCATGCAGTCCTGAGGTCCATGCTGTTGCCTGGGCCTGCAAGTGGAGCCATCTGCACCAGAGATGGGAATGCCGCTGCTCTGTGATGGACGTGCAGCAGAGAGCTGCAGAGAAGGCCCCTCGGTGTCATGAGAGGGGGCTCCTGCAAAGCCAGCCCCGGGCTTCCCCAGACATCAGGCGAATGAAGCTCATAGCGGCCTTTACTCCAAAAGCTGTCCTCAGAGAGGGCGTCCGTGGCCTGCAGACCAGTGACAACCAAGGGAGGACACTGCGCTCCTGGCCACCTTCTCGACCCCTTCCAAAGCCTGCCTGGCCTCACTCTTGTATGTCAGCATCTCCCTTCCCAGCAAACGAGTGAAGACACTGATAGAAGAGTTTCATTAATAATTGTCCTTTTCCAGGCAGCTTTTAAAACATATTTTCCCTCCATGAAAGCCTTAAGATAAATGGCACGTCGGCAGTGCCAGCTCCCGCTCCAGGGCTCTTTGTAAGGAGTGGGGCTGTTTATCAACCGCCAGTCACCCCGGCCTGGCACAGCAGGGAACAGCGGCCTCTCCCCATGATGTGCTCTGTCCAGGCTGCCCCCCTTCAGCTCAGAACGATGGAACGTGTGTTTCGGCCGCGCGTCAGTGTGGGCTCCGTTCATTCCTACCAGCTTTGTTTCTCAGTAGCTGGGAAATACAATTTATTGTAAACCTTGCATTATTTTGTGGATGATTAACTGGAATCATGAGCAATTTATTTCCAGAGAATATGTAGGCCTTCCCAAGGCTTCCAAACGTGCATGAAAGCCAATACCAGTGCTTCTTCATCAGCCTACCTGCATCTCCCTGAAACCTGTTTCCTCCTCTTCAGACAAGATCAGAAGACCAATTCTTTTTTATTTTTATTTCTCTCTCTCTCTCTCTCTCTCTCTCTCTCTCTCTCTCTCTCTCTCTCTCGGTCTCTCCCCAGAGCCAATCCATTTGCAAATCTTGTCATCTCCAGCTCCAAGATAGATCTGGAAAAAATGTCCTCCCTCCATCTCCACTGCCACCGCTGTAGTCTGAGCAACACTTATTTCCTGCTTGGACCAGTGCAGTAGCCTGAAAACTCATTTCTTTCCATTCCCACCTCTCTCTGCAGTGCAGCCTGGGAGGCCCCTCGGGGGGCAGAGCATGTTGCACACTGTCTTGCCTCCCCATATTACCAGTGGCCAGGGCACTTAGCAAAAGCTAGACCCTTTCCCCTGCCTGTAAGGCACACGGGGCCTGACCCCTGCTGACCTGCTGCAGCTCTGGCCTCCTCTCCTTGCCCTCAGCCTCCTTTCTGCTCTTCACAGGGCCACACTGGTTTCTGCTGCATGACCTTTCCCTGGTGATGCCGCTGCCTGGTATGCACCTGCCCAGGTTTGCATGCTGTTGGCTCCTTGTTGGTGCCAATATCATACCCTCTAAGAGATCTTTCCTGGCTGCCCCAGCTCATAATGGCCTCTCCCCAGCCACATTGTTACATGGTCCATTCTGTTTCATCGACGGCCCTTTTGACAACTGAGGATTATCGTATTCATTTTCTCACATACTTGTATGTCTCTTCACTGGACCGGAACATAAGTTCCAGGAGAGCAGAGCCATGGCTCTCCTGGGGCTGTGTCCCCAGCGCCTGGGACAGAGCCTGGTACAGGGGGGTGCTTAATAACCAAATGTTGAATGAAGTCACCAGATCTCTCCCTTCAGTGGCTAGTGTGAGTTCAGACAAAGGAAGAAGACTTACATGAGGCTTACAGGGTTGAGGTCAGAAATAATTGAGATTCTGAACTTGCACGAATTCCAGCACTTCAGGAGCGTGAGAGCAGATCTGCACATATGCAGGGATGAACAGGGTGACCCCAAGGACTAAGCTCTCAGACTCCTCAGCAGAGGCAGGATGGGGACAGGGGTCGTGGTATGGGGGACTGCACATCGTGGTTGGAGGGCTGTCAGCTGATCACTCGTCCCACCTGGAACCCCCAGAACTTCTCTCTGCATTTCCCTTCCAGCTGCTCCCTCCCTGGGTGCACCCTTATTGCTTATGCAGCAGCATTTACAAGTGAGTCACCCCGAGTGGTTGCAGCAGGTGGCAGGGGCAGGTGAGTCAGCCCGAGTGGTTGCTGCAGGTGGCAGGGGCAAGTCAGTGACCCTGAGTTGCTGCTGCAAGGTGACGATGCTGCTGCAGGTGTAGATGATGGTCTTCAGTGATTGCTACAGAGGAGAGGGCACTTCACTATCTAGCTTTCAGAACATGAGCCTCAAGTTTCTTTTGCCTTGTTTCCTCTTCAGGGAAAACAGAGACAGAGATGGAGAAGGAGACTCCTGAGTTCATCAAGAAACACCTTGATCCAGCCTTGCTTGGAACGTTGGGGTAGATGAACAACAGGTATGTGGCCTTTTCTGTGTGGGCCACTGGGAACTGGGTTTCTGCCATTTGCAGAAAGAGGTTCCTGACTGGCATGCAGGCCCCAACCCAGGCTGAGCTTGAAGTGCAATGGCACACGTGGCCTCCCTTCCTGTCTGCCCACCTTCTTGGGGCCTATTGCTGTGGAGCTCCAGGGAGGCCCCTTCCCTGCTGGATGGAGCAGGGAGAAAGAATATCTTCATGGCTAATACTCCTTCATCATGTTGCTTTGAGGACACTCTAGCTGGCACTGAGAACCTGAGCTGTGGAGTCCCAATTCTATTCATTAGTAGGTGTGTGACCCAGGGCAAGCTTAACTTCTCTAAATCTAAATCTCTTCATCTCTAAAGTGGGAAAATAATGGTCTCCAGGCCTGCAGGTTGTTGTGAGGCTTAGGCAACGCTGTATATGCAAAGCATTTAGCACAATGTTCTGCACATATTAGATACTCAACACATGGTGTCTGTGTCAGTAAGCAAGTTTCTCTCTAAATAACTGCACACATTCATACAATACATGATGACTCAAATCCAATAGAAGCTTATGTCTTGCCTTTATGGCAGTCCAAGTGGTTATGAGACAGGTAACTCTCTTCCATGGTGTATTTCTGAGACTCAAACCCCTTCCATGATGTGAATCACCATCTCATTGATGTCTGTGTCCTTCCAGGAGAATGGACAAGACATCATAAAGGCGGTAATCATGCTTCCTTCGGCCAGAAACGGTCCCCATCCCATCTATTGATGAGAACGCAGCCATGTGACCACATCTCCTTGCCAGGCAGGCTGGGCAATGTGGCTTCACCACGTACCAAGGAAGGAGGAGCAGCAACTGGTGAGCATACAGCGCAGCACCCACTTGTGGTGCCAGACCATCAGGTAAGGCCAGACACAGCCGGGCAGCCTGGCAGCAAGGACAACGAAACCTGGAGCTGGTTTATCGGTGACGAGTGGAATCTGTTTCCTGAAGAGCCTGAGAAGGCAAAGAGCCTCCTCTGCGGGAAGACGGGAGTGAGGGGCTGACTGCCGGCATTCCAGGACAAGAAATTCTGCCCCTCCGGGGTGCATCCTCCTTCTTCCATTCTCATGGAAGTGGTCAGCGACGTCAGGAAGCTCACTCCGTGTTTTCCAAGGAAAGAACACTGGTCCTGGAATCGGCCTGCCTCTGGTTCCAGCAGGCCCGGCCAGGCCATCCCGGCACCTCCGCTGGCTTCTCCTCCAACCCATCAGGCTTGGTCAGTCCTTCTCTTCCAGCGACCTCAGAGTGGCAGAGCCATTGGTGCAGCTATAAATGACTGATGGCCCGGTTGTGTTGGAGGAATTGTAAACACCATTCATAATTCATCGGGCGGGCATGTGCTTTGCATTTAGAATGGCTGGTACCCGCAGCCTGCTGCGGAGCTGCAGGGAGACCTGGTGGACGACGTCCCCTGCACCCTCCAGGGCCAGTGGCTCAGCCAGGATTCAGGGAGGCTCTAGTGGCTGGATTAACTCAGGGCTTCAAGGCTGGCTTTTCACAGAGCTCCATGTTTGAGGTATTAGCTTATCACCTGTTACTTAATTTTTTCCTTTCCATCAACTACCTTATTTTACATAATTCAATTTTAAAAAGGAAAATTTGCATCATTTTCCAAAATGAAAATCAGTATCTACTGCCCTTAATATCCAGTCCCAGCGAGGAGGAGGAAGTGCATCTCTGATTGGCTTGATTTGGTTGTGTGCCCATCCCTTATCCAATCACTGTGATGAGAGTGTGTGTAACTCTGATTGGCTTGATCTGGTCATGTGGTTACATGTTATCCAATCACTGTGATGAGGATGTTTGGGACTATGATTGGCTTGATTTGGTCATGTGCCCACCTCTTATCCAATCACCATGATGAGGCTGGGCTGTGTATGACTCTGATTGGCCAGTAATAGGTCACATGCTCACTGGTGATGTGACGGGCTGGGTCAAAGTGCAGGTCACTTTCTTCAGGGAAATCCTGATGTTGTGACAGGAGGAAGAGGAAGAGGAGGGACATGTCAAATAATATCGCCCACGGTTCTGTTCTCTAAATGTTCCTCTTTCTCCCACACTGCTGAGCAGAGCTGTTGAGGTCTGCAAGGAACTGCTGGTGTAAAGTGTGGGATTGAGCCCCTGTGCTCCCCAGGTGGGCCTTGGTGAGCCCCTGAGTGTGAACACATGCCTGGGCTGAGCCCCTGAGAGTGAGGCCCTGTGTGTGAACACCTGCTTGGGGTGAGCCCCTGAGAGTGAGCCCCTGTGAACACATGCCTGGGCTGAGTCCCTGAGAGTGAGCCCCTGTGTGTGAACACATTCCCGGGGTGATCCCCTGAGAGTGAGCCCCTGAATGTGAACACCTTCCTGGGGTGAGCCTCTGAGAGTGAGCCCCTGTGAACACTTTCCTGGGTGAGCCCCTGAGAGTGAACCTCTGTGTGTGAACACCTGCCCGGGGTGAGCCCCTGAGAGTGAGCTCCTGTGTATGACACCTTCCTGGGGTGAGCCCCTGAGAGTGAGCCCCTGAGTGTGAACACCTGCCTGGGATGGGCACCTGTCCAGCATGGGCATCTGAATGTGGGCATGTGAACGTATGCACCTGAGTATGAACAGCATTACCATACCATGCTCTCTGAGGAATTCTCACTGTGAAGTTCCTGGTAATAAAAGTCAATCAAAACTCCATGTTCTATCGACCCAGCTCCCTCCACATTCCACATCTTCTTTCTGGTCTTAAAACAGGAATTAAAAGAAATTAAAGAATGTGTAAGCAGAAACTCAGTTGTATGTAAGAAAACCCAGGCCGGGCGCGGTGGCTCACGCTTGTAATCCCAGCACTTTGGGAGGCCGAGGCGGGTGGATCACGAGGTCAGGAAATCGAGACCACGGTGAAACCCCGTCTCTACTAAAAAAAATAAAAAAAAAAAAAAATTAGCCGGGCGTGGTGGCGGGCGCCTGTAGTCCCAGCTACTCGGAGAGGCTGAGGCAGGAGAATGGAGTGAACCCGGGAGGCGGAGCTTGCAGTGAGCCGAGACTGCGCCACTGCACTCCAGCCTGGGTGACAGAGCGAGACTCCGTCTCAAAAAAAAAAAAAAAAAAAAAAAAAAAAAAAAAAAAAAGAAAACCCAATTCCCCTTGAGAAAGAGAAAGAGCTGGAGTCCTTTAAAAATTAACTGCCTGTTTTTCTGTGGCTAGTGAGCCTTATCTCTCCTCCCTTCCCAGGCATTGTGAAGACCCTGTTTCCCTAGCTGTGCAGCTGCAAGGTCACCAGACAGATAAACTCAAGTCGCAAAACATGTTTTTCCTTGAAAAGTAAGAAATGATGTAATACATGTCTCAGTTGAATAACTGTCTTTGTTTCTCGCTTCTGTAATATGCTTCCCCCTGCACAGATCTCCCCCCCACAACACCCCACCCCATGAAATGCTTAAAAGGTAACTTAACTCTTTGTTCAGGGCTCAGTCATTGGAATGTTAGTCCTACTGGGCCGGTGTACCTAAATAATAAATATCCTCCTCAACCCCATCGGTCTCTGATTCCTTATCAATCCTGCTACAGTCTTAGGCAGAGTCATCAGTTGGATATAAAGTTTCTCGGTCTGTTTTTAGTGAACGTACATGGAAAACACGTACAGAACTGGAATCGTGGAATAACTCACATGTGGAATTGAATCCTAAGCACAAGTTTGGTACCAAGGTCCACACATGAGGTGGGAATCATGCAGCATGAAGTCCCCTGGGGAGTCCCACACGGACCTGCATGGTAGCCACTGCCACCTGCCCCACCAGCCCAGCACGGCCGGCTTCACCCTGATGCTTCTGCAGTTGAGCAGAAGATGATGGTGGGTATGAACTTGGAAGCTAAACGGTCTGGATTTGCATCGCTGCACTTCTATAAGCCCATCTGTAAAACAGGTTTATGTGGATTCAGTAGTTGAATATAGGAGAAGCCGTAAGAGGGATTCTCGGCACTTCATAAATTCTCGGACGATGTTGGAAATGACGGCAGCGAAGAGCACGATGATCACTGTTACAGACTACAGCTTCCCAGCTGGCAAGGTGCCCACACCCCAAGGGGCAGGAAGAAACAGAGACAGGTAGGGACAGTGTGCTCCTGCTCAGGCTCACCTTGCTGCTGCGACGCTGGTGGCCACAGTTGCTTGCAGGACCTAAGGCCACCCACAGCGTGGTGTCCAGCCTGGCTGACCTTACCCTTTTCCGAGGGACCTGAAGTAGTTGAGGGTGGTCCTGGGACATGCTTGTATATTTTAGAGGTGCAGAGTGTAGAATTTAGAAGTAAAAGGCCATCGTGATTGCAATGTACTTCGAATTAATTCCAAAAAATCTAGAGAAGAAGCAAATGCAGGAAGTTATCGGTAATTGTGACATCTGGCTGATGGTAAATGGGTGTTCTCCATACCCTTCTCCCTCCATTTCTGCATGTTTAAAATTGTCCACAATAAAAAGATGAAAACATGAATGAAAGTATCTTTTGCTAAAACAACAATATAGTGGAGATGAGGTATTATTGCATGAATACATCTACCTGCACAGATTTGAAGCAACCTCTGATTAGCCCCAAGCAGGCCCCACAGTAAATAGAGCAGGCATAATATCCTCCATTTAACAAGAGCCTCCCTGAGCCCGGGGGTCAGGTGCATCTTTGGTGAAGGTCTTTTTATGAAGCACTTGCCTGCAGCGCCTTTTTGTGAATGTCTAATCTGATGTCAGGTGGTCCCTCCAATGTCAGCCTCTGGTAGAAAAGTGCTACTCCCAGAGAAAAGCGTATTCAAAACTGCAAAATCATATCCTTTTCTGCCTCCTGCAGGGCTCTTGGCTCTTGAAAAACTGCTTAATATTTCCTAAAACCCAGGGGCTATTTTCCACTCTCCTCTCCTCTCTGCATTCCATTCAGCAATCCCGAGGGGATGTAGATGAGGATGCTGCCTGTTGTTTCCTTATTCAGGAAATTCTAAGGCATTTTCTCTACATGGAGGATTTTGAAGAGTGAATGAGAAAAGATAAACATCTTCAGAAAGAATCTCTGGGTGCTGGCAAGCAAGGAATGAGTTTTGCATTCGGGGAGGCCATTTGCCTTCAGTGTGGGGAGTCGGCAGTGTCAGAACTTGGCAGTGAACCTGAGGACGTGGACAGGAGCAGATGGGATGTTTGACTTCACCTCCCTTTTTCTCCCCGATGCATTTCAGTGCAGGTCTGCTGTGCTGCACCAGCTGCGTGGCTGAGGAGGAGACGAGGAGGAGGTTCTTGGGCACAGGAGGAACGGGGCTGGGGTGAAAGCAGCCAGCCAAGTGCGGGGGGTGCGCTCAGCGGGGGAAGCCAAAGTGCGTGGAAAAGAAGTGCTCTCCAGGACCAGCCCTGCCCACGGCCTCCTGGCCCTCAGGGGGACTCACAGACCTGACTCAACAGGCGCACACTCACACACAGGCACACATGCATGTACACAAGACACGTGTGCATATGAATGCACCCATGCACATGTGCATATGTACAGACGTGCATGGCACAGACACAGAAACATGAATCTGCACATGCACACACATGCATGCACACAGAGAGACACACGCATGCACACACATGCGTGCACAGAGAGACACACACAAGCACACGTATGCACACATGCGTATATACGTATGCATGTATACCACAAACACGCACATGCACAGATACACAAACACATTCACACACACACATGCACACATATGCATGCACACACAGAGACACACACAAGCACACATGTGCACACATGCATATATACGCATGCATGTATACCACAACCATGCACATGCACAGATACACAAACATTCACACAGACACACACATGCACACACACATGCACAGAGACAGAAGTACATGCACACACACACACATGCACAGAGGCATGCACACATGGAAGAAGCAGATACAAATGCACATATAGACACGTGTGCACACACATGCAAACACAGACTCAAAGTGTGGGAGACACCACCACCACTGCGCTGTCTGCTTACCTGTGTTTAGGGACTTTCGAGTTTTTCCACCTCTGCCACATTCTGCAAACCCCGAGAAGTGCAGCCCTTTTGGGTCATGATGGTGTCTGGTTCCCCTGCAGGAGAACATCTGGGCAGCTGTGGCGTTCGCCTTCCAGAGAGACTCCTGTCTCCTCCTACTGGGGAGGACTCACCGTGGACACCTGCAGATTGCTAAGTCATATCTCCAAGACGTTCTGGAGCCTGCTTTTCCACAACTCGAATAACTGTCGAATTTCCCACAATTCGAATAACAATAGAACGTGTCCCCATTCATTTCAGAAAGTGGAGGGCTCAGTGGAACAGCCCAGGACCTCATGTGAGGAGGAGATGGGGGCTGCTGAGGCCAGCATCAGAGCCTGGACAGGCACAATAGAATGTCCTAAAGAATTTCTGGAGACATGGCGAATTGTACTGCTGTCTAGATTTGCTCCTCCCCTGTGGCCCCAGCCCTGCTCATGCCGTTGGGTTAGGCCAGTCAGTGAGTCAATGGAACCAGTTGATTGGTTAGACGGTCCAGGTATTGGCTGCCGATGTGAGCGTGTGAGGATGGTAAAGGGCTGGCCCCCAGGTTAGGCTGGGCACACCTGATTTGAATAGATATTACACAAAATGTCCTCCAAACAGACTGCTCCTACACGCACTGCCACCAATGATATGAGGGGGACTGTCCCATCTCCCCCAGGCCCTTTTCCCTTCCCTAAAGACGGCAGAACAGGTTCTGTCTTTGCAATGATGAACCCAGACTCAGGCACCTCCAGTGGCTGAGCTCCCCAGAGAAGGCAGGGCCAGCCTCGTTCTGCACCTCCAGGCCATCCCACCATTGCAGGAGGCAGGGCAGGCATTTAGAGGAAGGGGAGGGGACACAGGGAGGACAGGAGCCGGGCCTTTCCCCCAGGGCTTCCTCCGTCCTGCTCCTGCAACAGCTTCTGGGCTCCGCTGGACCTCACCTGACCCTGCTCCCTGCACGGGGCAGCTCAGGGACCTTGACATCTGGGAAGAGAGGCTGCAGGGGAGGGGCTGGCGGGCGGCTGGGGGTCCCCGTAGTCCGGCTCTTTTCCCTCCTCACACACTGCTGTCTGCTCCCCGCTTGCCTGGCCCTGAGGCGAAGGGCCCAGGGGTCGCTGGTGAGGACGGGCTGCAGCTGGGCTGTCCTGGTGGAGGGAAGGAGATTATAAAAGGCCCTCAGAGAGCTACACAAGGTGGCCTTGTTTGGGGAACAGCCTCCCTCAAGCTCAGGGTTCCCTCCCATGTGAGCAGGAAGGGGTGGCCCAGGACCTGTGGTCAGGAGGCCTGCACTGTGTGGCTGGGGTGGGGGTCACTGCGGGTCTATTTCTAGCTCCGGCCTCTGCCCCACAGCCGGAGGCATTGGGTGAAGCCATTTGCAGCCTGAGGCATCCAGCGCCCTGGCCCTCCCTGCAGCTGTGACCTCACCAAAAACAGAGGCCACACTTCCCAGGGCGGGAGGGGCTGGAGGGCCCAGCTGTGAGGGTGAATGTGGCTGAGACCTTAGCTCCCTGGGGACCCAGGGCAGAATGAGCTTCCTCTACAACATACTGTGGCTCCCCATTGATGTGCAGAAGAGTCCATGCCCCTCCTCAGCTGGGGTTCACCAGTGTCACTACCACCCTTAGTCCTACTCCTCTACCAGCACCCCCTGCCACCTTGCCCTTCTTCTCTGGGCTGTGGCCTCATCCACCTCCATCTGTGTCCTGGTGGAGACCAGCACCCTCCTGGGGCAGGGCAGGAGGGCTTCCCTCTGTACCTCAGTGCCCAGAGTAGGACCCGGCAGGGCCCTCACCCTGCAAAGACGGGTACAGTGAGTGCAGAGGGTGAGGACGATGACACCCATCCTCGGGCACGCTGTAAGCAGCCATGCCTTCGAGCCTGAAAAGTGCTGGCCACAGTTCCCAGGTGGTCAGGATGCAGTGGAGCTGATGGCCCTGGGGAGTCAGCTCAGCCCAGCCCAGCCAGCAACAGGCTCTGCCCCGAGGCGCGAGTTCAAATCCCCTCCAGGCTCCAGCTGGGGAGGGCAGCCCACTCAGCCTCCCTGGACCTCAGGGTCCTCGTCTGTGAAATGGGAGTGAAAGTCACGGCGGGCGAGCCCGGGAGGGCTGCTGTGAGGATGAATGAGGGACCAGCTCCTGGCACGATGCACACCCCGTCCAGCCAGCACCGTCACAGGGGGTCAGCAACAAGGATGATTCCTCTTCCTCCCACCAAGGCGCAGAGGGCCTCTGAGTCACAAAGGAAAGGAACAGAGAAGACAGGCTGTGCTCCCGGTGACAAAGAGTCAGCTCTAAAGCCCAAATCCGCATTTACAGATGAGAAAACAACCACCACGGGCTGCAGGTGCTGATCCTCAAGCCTGTGATGGGCCGAGAAGCCCAGGGACTCTGCAGGGAAACGCCGAGCCCATGGCCCTGGCCTTGGCATTGAACCACGCACTTTTGCCCAGGTGGGTTAACACCCAGGGAGGCAGAGGGTTAGGACAGAGGGTCCCGGCACTCACTCCCGGGGCCTCGGGAGGTGACGGGGGCATCACCCCACTCTACTCCCTGTGTCCCTCCTGTGCCTGGGCTGAGAGGTGGGGACGACCGTGGGGCTCAGACCCCAGCATGGTGGCCAGGAGCTGAGTGACCAGCAGCAGGGCCAGCAGCAGTGCCAGATCAGATGGCAGGACTGATCTCATGTGTCAACAGCAGCACCCCAAAGACTCCAGAGACATTTTTGGGGATGAGGCCCCCACTGGGGAGCAGGGTCCTGACGTCACACAGGAGGCAAATTCAGCACCACGTCACTGTCCTTGGGTGGTCACAGGCGGCTGCACTGGGTGTGAGAGTGTCCACAACCCCTGAGGAACCTGCAGAACTGTCAGCTCGGGGGTCCCAAGATCAGCCAGATGAGTCTTGATACACCTGTGAACCGTTGGAGGACTTGCATCTCCTATTTCGGAAGGAAACATCCCAGACTAAAAAGGCTCCTACCACTGATCCTGAAGGAAAACCCTTTTCTCCTTAAAAAGATAAGTGAAGGCCTACGTAATCTTTATCTGTAACACCTCTCCTTCCCCCTTTAATGGAATCCTTTTACTATTTCATCATATTACTAAGCAGCGTATTAACCATACTCTTCAGGATAGGACTACATACTGTAGCTCCTACCGGGACGAAAATCCTAATCACATTAACCTTCTTTCTATCTTCCTTCCTTCTGACAGCAATTTATGCCTACCTTTAACTCAGCCTGGATAAAATGATCTTGTCTTCCAGAGCACCCTTTTACCTTCCTATTTACTCTGCCTGTCTATCCCTCCTACTTCCTTGGATACCTCATACAATCACCCCTCCCCTTCCTCTAGCTCCTAATTACCTCTACAAGACTCTCAACTTAACCCACTCAATGTTAAACCAGTCCAGTCCTTCCTGGGCAAATGACTGTTGGCTTTGTATCTCTCTATCAACCTCTGCTTACATTGCCACTCCCATTCCCACAAAAAATTGGGTCTTTACCAGCTTAACCTACCACCCTCATTATGAAGGAAAAGACCCTTTCCGACTTCTAAATATGCAACCATTAGCCGGCTTCCCCATCTCTGATAGGACCAAGAGTACCCTAACAGGACCCACAATCCAACTTTTATGTTCTTACATTTCCAACCTCACCTATTACACAAGCAATGAAAAGCCCATACACTGCCCTGTAACTACGAATACCATCTTAACTTTCTAAGCCCCTTTATGCATCCAGTGCAACCTGTTATCAGGCCTGCCCCTGGGGCACCTGCCACCCCATCAGTGTAATTACACCCTACATCTTCAAGCCCCAACTGATCATAGTAACTTCTGAGTCACCCAAACAGCTCCATTCAGACAGCTTGTCCACTTCTCAGGTCCCCCCAAAATCACCTCTTCCCTGCTTAACAAACAGTTCAGGTTTTGTGATGGCAAACATACTCCCTGCATGACTGTTCACCCCTGGAACCCCTGCAGCAGTGCCCCTACCACTAGTGAATGCCTTCTCATCCCCTCTTTCAGTCACTCTCTCGAATGGTTCCTAGTGGATACAAAACGGTTTTTCTCCAATGGGAAAATAGAATGCAGGCAGCCACTCAGTTTGCTCCCAACACCCCTTTCCAGCTGCTCACCGGAGCTACCTTGGCAAGTACTCTAGGAGTATGGGAAAATGAAAACAACAAACTCACACCTTTTTAACATACACAACCAGTTCTGTCTACCCAGCCAAGGTATATTCTTCTTACGTGGAACGTCGACCTATATCTGCCTCCCCACCACCTGGACAGGCACCTGCACCTTAGTCTTTCTAAGTCCCAACATTAACACTGCCCCAGGAAATCAGACCCTATCAGTACCCCTCAAAGTTCAAGTCTGTCAGCGCAGAGCCATACAACTAATACCCCTACTTACAGGGTTAGGAATGGCTACTGCTAAAGGAACCAGAATAGCCAGTTTATCTACTTCATTATCCGACTACCACACACTCTCAAAGGATTTCTCAGACAGTTTGCAAGAAATAACGACATCTATCCTTACTCTACAATCCCAAATAGACTCTTTGGCAGCAGTGACTCTCCAAAACTGCTGAGACCTAGACCTCCTCACTGCTGAGAAAGGAGGACTCTGCACCTTCTTAGGGGAAGAGTGTTGTTTTTACATTAACCAGTCAGGGATAGTACGAGATGCCACCCGGTGTTTACCGGAAAAGGCTTCTGAAATCAGACAATGCCTTTCAAACTCTTATACCACCCTCTGGAGTTGGGTGACATGGCTTCTCCCCTTTCTAGGTCCTGTGACAGCCATCTTGCTATTACTTGCCTTCAGGCCCTGTATTTTTAACCTCCTTGTCAAATTTGTTCCCTCTAGAATTGAGGCCATCAAGCTACAGATGGTCTTACAAATGAAACCCCAAATGAGCTCAACTAAGAACTTCTATTGAGGACACCTGGACCGACCGGCTGGCCTAAAGAGTTCCCCTCTGGAGGACACTACAACTGCAGGGCCCCTTCTTTGCCCCTATCCAGCAGGAAGTAGCTAGAGCTGTCATCGCCCAATTCCCAGCAGCAGTTGGGGTGTCCTGTTTAGAGGGGGGATTGAGAGGTGAAGCCAGCTGGGCTTCTGGGTCGGGTGGGGACTTGGAGAACTTTTCTGTCTAGCTAAAGTATTGTAAACACACCAATCAGAACTCTGTGTTTAGCTAAAGGTTTGTAAATGCACCAATCCGCACTCTGTAAAAACGGACCAGTCAGCACTCTGTAAAATGGATCAATCAGCACTCTGTAAAATGGACCAATCAGCAGGACGTGGGTGGGACCAAATAAGGGAATAAAAGCTGGCCACCCGAGCCTGCAGTGGCAACCCGCTTGGGTCCCCTTCCACGCTGTGGAAGCTTTGTTCTTTCACTCTTCACAATAAATCTTGCTGCTGTTCACTCTTTGGGTCTGTACTACCTTTATGAGCTGTAATACTCACTGAGAAGGTCTGTGGCTTCACTCCTGAAGTCAAGCAAGACCACAAACCCACTGGAAGGAAGAAACTCCGGACACATCTGAACATCTAAAGGAACAAACTCTGGACACACCATCTTTAAGAACTGTAACACTCACCGTGAGGATCCGTGGCTTCATTCTTGAAGTCAGCGAGACCAAGAACCTACTGGAAGGAACCAATTCCGGACACACAGCCAAGTGCCCACCCCGGAACCCATCACCCAGTCCATGGGAATGGAATGTTCTCCTCTCACAGGTCTGGGTCACAGGAGCACACCTGACCTGGGGGTGGAGTCAGCCCCACCCAGACCAGACCATGTGGACAGAGTGAGGGAGCAGGGGACTCCCAGATAAGCCAGGGGTGTGGCCTGCAGCAGAGACATCCCCTCAGCTGTCCCCTCCAGGACTCCCAGGCTGCTGTCACCCAGGGCTCATAAAAGCCTCTGGCAGACGGGAGGCCCCGCCCAGCACCCATGATGCCCACTGAGCTTCTCCTGGCAGCCGGCCAGGTTCCACAGGGAGGGTAGTGCCAGGAAACCCAGTGCACAGAGGGGCTTACAGATGCCCATGGGAAGACAGCTGGGTGTGCCTTGCTCCCACAGGATGTGGATGTGTCCCCTGTGTCCCAGGCTGTGGGCCCATTTGTGTCACTCATCACCCTGGCCTCATTTTCTGAGTGACTGTGCTTCTCCCTAGGAGCCCCGAGAAGAGACAGCCAGCGGGTGCTGCTAATTAATGAGGCTCAGCTGGAATCAGCTGTTTCAAACTTAAAAGGCTGTTAATGGGATTTCTAATTCCAGGGGTGGAAAGAGTTAAATTGTATTGCCAAAGACTCTTGCAATCCAAGATGTTTTCTGATTCTGGTTTTGTTCTGGTAATTAATTGGATAGAAGTTGTCCAACTTTGTGGAGACACCAGAGCTATTGCTGGTTTCACTGAGTCTCTGGAAGATTAAGTTACTTTGTCTCTCCCGGGAACTCCCAGAACCGGCCACATTGGTGCCATTTCAAAGACAAAGGGCTGAGCAGCTTTCACAGCGTGTGTCCATTGTTTTCTAACTCCAGAACCGTGGAAAAGCAGCAGGCTGTGTCTGCTCAGAGCAGGGCCCTGGGCTCGCCCGGCCCAGACCCCAGGACCCCAGGACCCAGGAGCCCCGCTGAGGTGCTGGCTGGGGCCTCGGGCAGGTCCAAGCCTTGGTTTTCTCATCTGGAGAAAGGGGCTGAGGACAGCACCTGCTGTCTAGGGTCTCTGTCGGCTGTAGGAGAGAGTGCAGCAGGCATTTGGCCCCAGGCCTGGCACATCCTGAGCCTCACAAATGTCCAAGAAATGACTCCGTGGGTGAATCACCACTCCTCTGTTACACAGCTTGCGATGTCTTCCCACTGTCCTGAAAGTCCCAAACCTTTAACATGCCGTGGAAAAGTCCCCAGAAGGCAGTCTAAGGACATGTTTCGGGGACTGAAAGTGGAAGAAGTTTTTAAAATAGGGAGAGAATTTGTGTTTGGGCTTTCTAAAGAGTGTGGTGCTCAGAGGAGATTCGAACTCCATTGGGCTCCCATACCTTCCTTGGGGAGGTAGAATCGTCTTTGGTTTCAGTAACACAGGGGGCCCCACAGCCTTGGCTGACTCAGCCCTGGCAGCTTGGGTCTGTCCAGTCCCGCAGGACCGGCCCCACCCCTCACATCTGCTGTCCTTCATCCTCCTGAGACCCTGGGTCTGAGCTAGGGTGGGCTCCCGCCCACCACAAGCTCCCCCACAATCAGCCGCCCCCCAACTTCACCCACAGCCCCCTTAACTGCTGCTCCTGTCTTGCGGGATCTGCCACCTGTGCTTGGAGGTGCCCCCACCACCTCCACGCTGGTGGGCTTTAAACCATTTCCACGAACTCTCCACCCCTTCACTCTTATCTCCTCACTTGTTCACATCAAGTATTTTCATTTAAAATGTAAAGACATGGTTGCAGAAATGTAATTCCCCATGTATTATGAACATTGATATTTTAGAAACTGCCTCATCCTTCCCAGTGTCTCTTTCCATACTGCAGCATGGGCATGTAGGATTAGATAAGTATACTTGCTATCTGTATACACATTTATTCTTTTTCCCTTTTCCAGTTCTAAGGCTCAGGTAAGTGCCACTAGTTCTGCTAACTGGGTGCTGGTCCCTGGGGGAAGAGGCTTACTTTCAAGTACTGTTACATCACTAACTATGGCATAACCTGCCCGTTGTATGCCATTCTCCACAAATGAGCTTCCATCCTATACAGGTTAAGGTCAGGATTAGCTAAAGGGACTTCTAGGAGATCCTCTTGGGTGGCATAAATCTGGACTATAATTTGTTGGCAGTCATGCTTGATTGGTTCCCCATCCTATGGGAGAAGAGTGGCAGGGTTGAGGGCCACACACATGTGTATTTGAAGCACTGGTCCCTCAAGGAGTAGCACCTGGTATCTAAGCAGGTGGTTATCTGATAGCCATAAACTTCCTTTGGCACCTAGTATGCCATTTACATCATGAGTAGTCCAGATAGTGAGATCCCTTCCTTGTATTATTTTGATAGCCTCTGATACTAAGATAGCCACCTTTGCAACCACCCATAAACAGTGAGGCCAGCCTTTTGCTACTACATCAGTTTCCTTACTTAGATATGCCACTGGTTGTGGGGTTGTCCCATAAGTCTGAGGAAGGACTCCAAGAGCTATTCCCACTCTCTCTCTGTGAAGTATAAAGAGAAGTTTTGTCCTATGGGAAGACTTTAGGCTGGAGCTTATACTAGGGCCTGCTTTAAGGTTTTGAAGGCTGTTTCTGCCTCTAGTTCCCATTCTACTAGATGAGTATTTGCCCTATGGGTCTCCTTGATTATAGAGTGGTCTGGCCATCTCACTGTATCCTGGGATCCACAGTTGGCAAAAGCTGGTGATTCCAAGGAAGCCCCACAACTGTTTTAATGTCTTAGGGTGAGGATAAGCCAGTATAGGCTGTATTCATTCCTTGCTGAGGGCCCTGGGTCCTCTGGCTAAGATTAGGCCTAAATATTTGACTTGTTGTAGGCAGAGCTGGGCCTTTGATTTAGACGCCTTGTAACCTTGATTAGCTAGAAATTTCAAGAGATCTAGAGTAGCCTGCTGGCATAAGGATTCTAAACTTGTAGCCAAAAGTAAATCATCCACATACTGAAGGACCAGAGTGCCTGGACTTGAGAAGTGGCCTAGATCTTGGGCCAGTGCCTGACCAAACAGATGAGGGCTATCCCTAAAACCTGGAGGCAAGACAGTCCATGTAAGTTGGGATGTGTGGTCTGTGGGATCCTCAAAGACAAAGAAAAACTGGGAGTCGGAGTGCAGGGGAATGCAGAAGACATCCTTGAGGTTCAGAACAGTGAACCATTCTACTTACTCTGGTATTTGAGAAAGCAGGGTATAGGGGTTAGGTACAACTGGATATAGAGGAATTACTGCTTCATTGATGAGTCTAAGATCTTGCACTAGTCTCCACGGACCATTTGGTTTTGTACTCCTAGAATTGGGGTGTTGCAGGGACTGCTGCATTTTCTTACTAAGCCTTGAGCTTTTAAATGTCTAACAATATCCTGTAATCCTTTATGAGCTTCGGGACTTACGGGATATTGCCTTTGATAAGGAAAAGTGGTGGGGTCTTTTAGCCTGATTTGGACTGGGCAGGCATGCATTTTTTGCTCTCCAAATTGTCCTTCAAATGTCCAGACTTTGGAGATGATTCCTTCCTCAAGTAGGGAACAACAAATGGGTAACTTTCCCCTATTCATGTAGATAATAGCTCCAGCTTTGGCTAATATGTCCCTCCCTAATAAGGGTGTGGTATTTTCAAGCATAACAAGAAAGACATGTGAAAAGAGCAAAGTCTCCCAACTACAACTGAGGAGGTGGGAGAAATACCTGGTTACAGGCTGTCTCAGGATTCCTCGGATGGTAACAGACCTTGGAGATGGCCATCAGGGGCAGGAGATTAACACTGAGAAAGCTGCACCAGTGTCCAGGAGGAAGTCAATTTCCTGGCCCTCAATGGTTAAACTTACCCGGGGCTCAATGAGGGTGATGACATGAGCTGGCACTTGCCCCACATACCCTCAGTCCTGTTGTTGGATCATCTGGTTGGGGGCCCAGAGAATCTTTGTCCCCTGGGGCAGTGCACCTTCCAGTGATTGCCTCGGCATTGTGGACATGGGTGAGAGGGTGGCTTGTTTCTTGTTGGGCAGTCTTTTTTAAAGTGTCCTTGCAAACCACACTGATAACAAGCCCTACTGGGTGATTGGCATGCTCCATTTTCTGTACTCTCTGAACCACCAAAGTTTGTTTGTCTGAGGGCCATGACTAAGGCTGCAGCCTTTCTCTGATCTCGCTTTTCTTTTTTGGCCTGTTCTTGGTCCCTATTATAGAACTCCGAGGTTGCCAGGTATAATAATGCCTCCAGATTTTGTTCAGGGCCCAGGGCTGCCTTTTGGAGCTTTCTCCTGATATCTGTGGCTGATTGGGTAATAAACTTATCTTTTAGGATCAATTGACCCTAGAGGGAGTCAGGTGACAGGGGGGTATATTTTCTTAAGGCCTTCTGTAACTGCTCAAGGAAGGCAGAAGGATTTTCTTCCTTTTCCTGAGTTATGGTGGACATCATTGAATAATTCATGAGCTTTTTCCTAATTCTCCTTAGTCCTTCTAGAACACAGGTCAACAGATGTTTGTGACTCCAGTCCCCATGATCTGAGTCTAGGTCCCAGTGGGGATCCATACTGGGGACAGCTTGCTGACCGGTAGGGAACTTGTCCCTTTCTTCGGCTGTCATTCTATCATTTACTTGACTAAGATACCAGGTATCTCCAAACTCTCGGGCTGCAGCTAAAGCCACATTCTTTTCATTAAAGGCCAGGGTTTGATCTAACAATAGCATGACATCTCTCCAAGTGAGGTTGAAGGTTTGCCCTAGACCCTGTAGGACATCTATATACCTATCAGGATCATCTGAAAACTTCCCCAGGTCTACCTTGATCTGCTTTAAATCAGAGAGGGAAAAGGGGACATGTACCCAGATTGGGCCAAATTCCCCTCCCCTTACAGCTTGAAGGGGACATAACCCATAGCCCGGGGGGCTTTATGGTCCCTTGGAGATTTGTTTGCTTGTTTCCTTCTGGGTGGGGGAGATTAGAGGAGGCTTATCATTAATAGGAAGGGGAGTTATAGGAAGGCTAGTATATGGAGGTCAGCTGAGAGGTCCTCCTGTGGGATGTAAATTGCAAGCTTTGCATAGTTGTGGATTATCCTTCAATAAAAAGAAAGCTTGGTCACAAGGTATTTAACTCCATTTGCCTTCCCTCTTACAGAAAAGTTTAAGCCACAGGATAGTATTGTAATTTATACTTTCCTCAGGTGGTCATTTTTCCCCATCAGAGAGAGAACACTGGGGTCAAGCCATAGTCCAGAAAAAAATAAGCCACTTCTTTTTCAGGGTTTGTGGGTCAAATTGGTCCCAATGGCTTAGGATGCATTTCAAAGGTGAGCCTGTTGATGCCTGAGTGTTTCCCATCTGAAAGAAAAAACTGCCCATGGTTTTGCTTTGTTTGTCCCACCCTCTCCCCCAAGAACCCACAACGGTCCCTGGACCCTGCTGATCGGAATAGTTGCACTCACTGAAGCAGCAGCGGAAACACTAGTTTTCCTCCTAGACCACAGAGAGGACCGAGGAAGGTTGGATTTAGTGGCCCTTACTGACACGTTCTCAAAAACCTGCACCTTTGCCTTTCCTCTTAGACCACAAAGAGGACTGAAAAAAACTGGATTTAGTGGCCCTTACCGACACATTCTCAAAAACTTGTTAGAGTCCTAAGAGTTTTCTTCTGTTAGTATTGGGACCTTACCCTTGTCCTATGAAGATGATATGCCCCAAAAGGGAGTGGAGGGCCATACCCTGAGGGAGGGAAGGGATCTCCAAGGTTGGAAGAGTGATGCATTTTGTCTTCACAATCATCTGAAGAGGAAGGATATCCTCCTAATTTTGGAGTCTATAATTTCTGAGGCTCCCCATCGGGAACAGCCTTTGCTAGGCCTGCTAGTCTGAGGAGGGATCCTAAAATTCCAGATAGCCCCCCCCACCCAACCCACTGGGCTTGGGGCAAAATTATGTCTTTCTCATTGGTGAGCCCAGGTCCCTAAAGAAAGGAACAGAGTCCCTAAACTTATATTAGAAATCATCCTTATAGGAGAAACTAGAAAAGCACCAGGGGGTGGTTTTGAAAGCAGGACTAGCCTTGGAGAAGAGAGGTAAGAGGAAGTTTGTCTGACAGGCATTAGGACCCAGGAGGCAAGGGTCAGGATAGATAGGATAGATGGGCAAGTCTCGTTTGGGTGATGTAACTTTGAGAGTTCTGCTCATGGCTGCAGGGTCAACCACCTTTTTGTCAGGACCCTGGAGCTGAATGGCTTTCCTCTCTGTCAACCTGCGGCTCAGCCAGGAAATGCAGGAAAAGTGGAAGCTGGTTCCAGGCAAACCAACCCTCCCAACTCCAAAGAGTTGGGGGTTGTTACAGAGGCCTTTCCCAGAAAGCCTGACACCTGTGTCTTTAGTCCCGTAGCCATGCTAGTTGCTTTTAACTGGCCAACAGGTGCCTGGTGTTTAGCCCCCGAATTCTAAGGAAAAATAGGTCAGAATAGCAAGTGAAAGGGGTCCAATAGTACTCACTACATGGCAATCTCCCAGGTGAGCCCCCACGATGTGTCTAGAATTGGTTCTTTCTGGTGGGTTCATGGTCTCGTTGACTTCAAGAATGGAGCTGCGGACCTTCGCAGTCAGTGATACAGCTCTTAAAGTTGGCATGAACCCAAAGAGTGAGCAGCAGCAAGATTTGTTGTGAAGAGTGAAAGAACAAAGCTTCCACAGCATGGAAGGGGACCCAAGTGGGTTGCGGCTGCTGGCTAGGGTCTCCAGGTTTTATTCCCTTATTTGTCTCTTCCCATGTTCCATTTCTGTCCTATCAGAGTGCCCTTTTTTCAATTCTCCTTGCAATTGATTATTTAGATTCCTGCTGATTGGTGCATTTTGCAGAGTGCTGATTGGTGTGTTTCACAGAGCACTGATTGGGGCATTTCGCAATCCCCTTGCTAGCTACAGAGTGCTGATTTGTGCATTTTACAATCCCAGCTACAGAGTGCTGATTGGTGTGTTTTACAATCTTCTTGTAAGACAGAAAAGTTCTCCAAGTCCCCACTCGACCCAGGAAGTGCAGATGTCTTCACCTCTCAGTAACGCCAAGACCCAGACACCCCCTTCTCACCATCCACATTTAAAAGCACAGTGGGAAAACCACAGCATCCTTTCTACTCCAATTCACAATTCACTGCATCCCGTTTCTCCATGGAGCACTTGATGCGTGAAGTATTTACTGATTGACAGATTATATTCCCCACAACAAAAATATGTTCAAAATTTAAATACAATGTAATTCTTGTGTCTATAGAGTTCCAAGTGTTAAAATACTTTTCTGGATCCAGTTATGGTCCCATTTTTAGTAACAGATAATTCTTCCAAACAACATGAAGAGATCAAATATTTATATTATGTCATGTGTATATTTCTGTTGCATATATATGCTTACATCTGTATAAATATATGGCATAAGTGTATTTACATAGTGTATGTGTAAATATTGACATATGGGATATGTAATATGGTGTATTATTTATGTAATTAATATTTCAAAAATTTTTAGAGGTTTTTCTAAAGGAAAGTGCACCTTGTAGAAATGGATTTGAAAATTTCATAAGTCTCATTTGGAGGGTGCCCTGGGGTCTCTGTGCATCCTCCCAGGACATGCCTCTGGAGGATGCGGGATGGCGGATTGTCCTTCCTGGGAAAAGCAAGAGCTGGGAAGTCATAATGGGGAAGGGGAGGCCAGGGAGCTGACCGCAGGCTCCTTCCAAGCAGGTATTTTTAGGACTTTAGGCGGCTGTGATGATGCCCTGGGTGGTCCCTGAGAGGGCACCCGCATTGGGGTCCTGCAGACTCAGGGATCCTGCCTGGGCCCTGCCTGGGATTTTCCTGCATCCATGGTCACCTTGGGCTCCTTCCTCGACTGTGCCCTGCGCTCGACCCACACCCAGCCTGGCCCTAAACACCATTGGGCTTTTGTTCAGGGGCCCTGCACACCAGGCCTCAGGATTCCATCCTCCCAGAATCATGGCCACAGAATAAGGTCCGCAGAGACAGGTACTGAACGCATCTCAAACACCCGTGGGGCGGAGGTGTGAGGAGCTGGCCTCTCTCCACCCTCAGCCACCCTCCAGGGGCCCAGCCCTGCCCTCCCACTTGGCCTCCCTCTACCCTGGATGGGCTCCACCCCTCCTCACTCTGCACCTGTGGGTCCTCGGCCCCTGGACCCTCCCCTTCCTGTGCCCTCCCAACTCCACATCAGCGGTGGGGAGCTGGGGTCTGCAGGACCACTCCACCCCCAACCTCATGCTGTGAGGGGCCGAGGGGTAGCTGGGTGCCTTGTGGCTGTGCCCCATATGTGGTCAGAGACCCCACATCATCCCTCACTGGGCACATGGGCTCTGTGGGGCATCTGAGTCCACTGAACTTGAACACCAGTTCCCAGGACTTAAAACTCAAGGACATCGGTGTCCCGTGTGATGCTGCCTGAGTGTCGGGAAGATGAATGGTGCCTGGGGCATCACTGAAACAGCTCCCCTGAAGGCCAGACTCAACAACACCTCCTAGGATGACCTGCTGATCCTGGGACCTTGCTCCCCGGGAAGCCCCCAATGTGGCCCCTGCCCCTCTGCTGACACCCCTTGATCTCCACCCTGGCCTTGGCCGTGGCCCTGCCTTGTCGACAGCTCCTGGGTCATCTCAGAGGACCTCAGCCTCTTCGAGTCCCAGCTGCACTGGTAGCCCTCCCAGAATGCTTTACTTTTCCAGTATCCTGCCTGCAGCCTCCCGACGCTGACACTAGAAACCTGGGACGTGCTGGACGCCCGTCTCCTCTCCCCATCCAACAGTCACCGAGCCGCAGATCCTGTGTCCTGAAGGCACCTGACACCATCCTCGTTCCCCCATCTTCACAGCTCCACCTCCTTCCTTATTCCCCCGTCTTCACAGCTCCACCTCCTTCCTGCAAGGCTTCCAGACCCACCCTCCCTCTGCCCCCTTCTCTAGCGCTCAGTCAGGGGCCTGTGCCGACCCATTCTGTGCGGCCACCTCTGTGTGCGGCCCTCACACGGCTTCTCCCCGCATTTAGAGACCCCATGAGCTCTATCATAAACCCCAGGGCCCTGCCACACCCCGACTCATGGGGCCTCCCTGCTCACCTCCTCTCTGTTCTCCCCACGCCACGCTCCTGCCAGGCCCAGGGACTGGGCATCTGCAGCTCCCTGGATTCAGAAGCTTCCTGAGCCGGCTCCTCCCCTCTCCCCAGGTTTCTCCACACATCACTTCCTCAGAGGAGCCTCCTGAGGTCAGCCCAGGATGGGTGTCCTGTACCGACCAAGGAACTTATCGGAATGGGGGCCTTGAAGTTAATTCTTATATCATATGGAAAGAGCCACAAACACACGAGGATGTCCTGACATGTGTGTTTGTGGCTGCACTGTGTATGGTGGCTGAGAACTGGGAATAGTGACCCAGATGTCACCCATGGGAGGGCAGCCGAGACGCGGTGGTCCATGGGCACTGTGGGATTTCTGCAGCTGCCGCGCAGGGTGAGTAGAATTCCCGGCCCTGGGAGCCTGTGCCGGACACACAAGGGGTGCAATGAGAAGTGAAAATGTCAACTACAGTCCAGATGCTCCTCGACTTACATTGGGGCAGGGCTGCAATGAGAAGTGAAAACGTAAACTGCAATCCAGATGCTCCTTGACTTACATCGGGGCAGGGCTGCAATGAGAAGTGAAAATGTCAACTACAATCCAGATGCTCCTCGACTTACAGTGGGGCTGTGTCACGAGGACGCCTCCTAAATTGAAAATGTCCTAAGTCAAAATGCATCAATGCACCAAACCTATGGAACAGCATAGCTTTGTCTGGCCTACTTTAAACATGCTCAGAACATGACGTTAGCCCACTGTTGGGCAAAATCATCTCACAGAAAGCGTATTTGATAATACAGTGTTGAGTATTTCCTGTGATTTATTCAACACTGCACTGAAAGTGAAAGAATGGCTATGCAGATAATCAAAGTACGGTTCCTACTGAAAGCAGATCATTTTCACACCATTGTTAAGTCAAAAAATCCTAAGTTGAACCATGGGAACATCTGTTTGTATTTATGGTAATGGTACAAATTAATTAAAAAGTAAGTGTATGGACAAATATTAATCATACAAAATAATATGGAAAAGTGAAATTACAAATGTGATCAGCCTATGGGAAATTTTAAAAATTTTAATGTGTGTTATTATTGCAATATGGTTTTCTCAGTGAGGATTTTTTTTTTAAGTAGAAGGACGAGTGTGTGGCTACTGTCTGTTTCCCTGACACAGCACTAAGTCTAGGAGGACAGGGATCTTGTTTTTCTTCCGAATGGCTCTATCCCAAGCTTTAGCAGACAGTCTAGCCCACAGCATGTGCTCAGTGAACTGGATGAACAAATGGATCCATGGGTGGATGGACTGAAGGATGGATAGATGGGTGGAGGGGTAGAAGGATGTATGGATGGGTGGATGGGTGAATGGTGGATATGTGGGTGGATGGGTGGAAGTATGGGTGGCTGGGGGGATGGGATGGATGGATAGATGAATGGGGGGATGAATGGTGGGTAGGTGGGTGGATGGGTGGCTGGCTGGCTGGATGGATGAATGTGTGGGTGGATGAAAGCATGGACAAATGGGTGGATGGATGGAAGGATGGATGAATGGATGAGTGGAAGGATGGATGAATGGTGGATGGGGGGTGGGTGGTGGGTGGGTGTATGGATGGATGAATGAATGAGTGGATATGTGGAAGGTTGGATGGATGGATGGATGGATGGGTGGGTGGATGGATGGATGCATGGATTAATGGGTGAATGGAAGGATGGGTGAATGGTGGATAGGTAGGTGGGTGGATGGATGGATGGATGCTGCTGGCCTGGTCAGGGGATCACTGACCCATGCTGGGAACCTACGTATTTCCTGTTCCTCCAGGTCGGCCCTGTGCTGACCTTTAGAGCGGAATAATCTTAACCTGCATGTGTGGAACTGGGATGGCTCCATGGTTGCCTGGGCTGAGGCTTCTTCCTATAAGGTTGGCAGGAGGATGGCAATTCTCCTTAGCTGCAGATCTACAGGCTGGAGCAACAACTATAAAATACATTTCCTTTTGAATAGACAAAGTGTCCTCCAACAGTTCAAAGGACACTCATTGACAAGCAGGTCTCCACAGTGTCCCTCGGCCTCCAGTTCCCTCCCCAGATGCAGCTGGTGTTATCATTTCTGTTCATCCCTCCAGCAAATACTGTGTCACCAACAAGGAAACACATGGCTATGTCTCTTCTTCTCATGCAAATGACAGGGTGGTTTGTGTGCGGCTCCACATCCCTTTCACACGGCGCTCATGGGAAAAGTCCCCATCAGTCAACAGTGATCTGCCACATTCTTTACCCACTGGATGGAGGATTCCAGGCCTGGAAGCTCCAGGCTCATTTAACCCACGCCTGCAGCGGGTCCCTCACAGGCTCCCCATCCTTTGCTAAGATGCTCATGTGGGTGCATTCATGGGAATCATTCCTGGAGGGCTGCTTGGTGGAAGAGGAAGTGCATTTTAAAGTTTGTCTTCTAATTTTCACACCCTTGTTGGTGTGCAGTTCTGCGGGTTTGGACCACTGCACAGACTCATGGAAGGGAGACGAATGGATAGTAAGCTGCGTATATGTTCAGATAAATGGATGGGCAGATGGGCAGATGGATGGATGGATGGATGGATGGATGGATGGATGGATGGATGGAAGAGAGAGAAAGATGCATAGTAACCTGGGTATATGTTCAGATAAGTGGAGGGACAGATGGATGGATGGATGGATGGATGGATGGATGGATGGATTAAAGAAGGCTGTATAGCAACCTGGGTATATGTTCAGATAAATGAATGGGGAGATGGATGGATGGATGAAAGAGAGAAGAATGGATAGTACCCTTGGCATATGTTCAGATAAGTGGATGAACAGATGGACAGATGGATGGATGGATGGATGGATGGATCGATGGATGCCTGGAAGAAAGAAGAATGGATAGTAAGCTGGGTATATGTTCAGATAAGTGGATGGACAGACAGATGAACAGCCCCATCACCCACACATCCCTCCACACTTCCTCTTGTACTCACCCCTCCCCTCCACCCTAACACCTGGAAACCGCAGGCCTCTTCTCTGACATCCAGAGCGTCCTATAAATGGGCTCATGCAGTGGGAGCCTTCTGGGTGGGCTCCCGGCCCTCAGCGCGGGTCATGGAGAGTCGCCCGGGCGGCTGTGCGCACCCACGGCCTGCCCTGCCCGTCTCCCTGCTGAGCGGCGTCCACTGCACCTATGCATGGCGACTCGTTCTGCGCTCACTGATGGGGGCGTTTGCGTTGTTTCTGGTTTCTGCAATTACAAATAAAGCCACTAGGAACTTTAACCTACATTTTTTTGTGTGGAGGTAGGCTTTCACTCCACGTGAGTGGGTCCCTGGGGTGGGGCTGCGGACTCACATGCTGAGTGTGTGGAGTGTTTGGCTGGAGCAGCAGCCACCCTGTTTCCATAATGAAGTGGCTGCACCGTCCACTGTGAGCGCAGCTTGCTCGGCAGCCTCAGCAGCACCTGCTATCATTTCCTTCTTTCTTTGCTTTCCTTTTTTTGTTAATTTTAGCATCCTAATAGGTGTGTGCTGTGACCTCATGATGACTCTAATTTGCATTTTCTTAATAATTCGTGACATTGTCCATTGTTTTATGGGCTTATTTGCCACTTGTATATTTTATTTGGGAAAACGTCTGTGTACATTTTTCCTCATTTAAAAAATATTGTATCCTTTGCTTTGTTACGGTTGAGCTTTCAGAGTTATTTACATATTCCAGATACAGGACTTTGGTCAGATATATGAATTGCAAATATTCCTTGCCAGCCGGTGGCTGGTCTGATCATTATCTAAACTCTGTCTTCTGCAGAGCAAAAGGGTTTAATTTTGATGAAGTCAAGTTTATAGATTTTTTTTTTTTAAGAATTGTGCTTTTGTCATTGCCTAACTCAAAGTCACAAAGCTTCCTCCAATGTTGCTTCTAAAATGTTTGTAATTTTACGTTTTACACGTAGGTCCCCCATACATGCTGAGGTAGTTTTTGCGTGAGGTGGGAGGTGTAGGTGGAGCTCACTGTTTTGCTTGCGGACCTGCAATGGCTACAGCCTCATCTGTTGAAAACATGATCCCTTCCTGATGTGTTGTCTTTGTGGATAGATGCGTTGAAAATTTTAGTGAGTAATATAAAAGCCCTCTCCAGCCAACACACATTTATTCCTCCATGAATGAATGCACTGCGGGTGGATGGGGCTTTGTCTCCCTGGCGCTCAGTGCACGGGTGGGGATGGGTTCTGTCTGTGGGGGGAGGTGTGGGCCTCTGTGGGGGAGGCAGAAGGTGCCCAGGAAAGTGGTCACGAATCAGCCGCACATAGTTACCCCTAGCGTCTGTGCTGACTCCCACGCCCACCTGCATCTCTGGGGGTGGTCTCCAGGCATAGTTACCCCTGGGGTCTGTGCTGACTCCCACGTCCACCTGCATCTCTGGGGGGGGGGGGGCGGTCTCCAGGCACGAGATTGTCTCAGGCTCCTTGGGTTCCAGAGCACACCAGGACTGACAGCCCCTGCTCCCGGGGCAATGCTGCTGACACGGCTGCTGGTCAGGCCGCTGGCCGGCCAGGGTCAGGATCCAGGGGCCTCTGAGTTGGAGGAGGGGGCTCCTTTACCCAGGCAGCCCCGCTCTCCCAGCCAGGGCCCAGGAAGCCAAAGCTGCTCTCTGCTCACTTCTGCTCCAGCTGCTGGCTCGGTGGGCCTGGGTCCTGCCACTGCTCCCCAGGGAGCTGTAATTAGGATTCCCATGCAAGGAGTTGATGGAAATGGCATTTCACAACACTAATGAACTTCTGCTTTCTTTCCGGAGCCACTTAGTCTATTTAAAATGCAAATTGAAGTCAATAGAAAGTGGCTTGTCTGAGTGCCATCCGGGGATGTGGTTGGTTTCTGTTGGAGGAAAGACGGGCTGTGGTTCCCCTGGTGGAGAAGACGGGGACACTCAGACCTGTCTGTGCCCAGGGCTGGCTCAGCATTGCCCTCCGCAGGGGAGGGGCTCCCTGGGTCAGGACTTGCGCAGGGACGGGGAGGGGAGTGACCCGAGGATCGTGTCCCGCCAGAGCCCATGAGGCCCGAGTCCTCCAGGTTCTTGAGTGGAGTTGTTTTTATCCCAATTATCCAGGTAACTGCCCGAATTCCTCCCCCATTGCCTGTGTAGGTTCAAGTCACCACCCACATGTGGGCTGCCTGGGGCATCCATACCGCTGGCCAGGTTGGCTGACCTCCTGCTGACTCAGATTGTGACCCCCTCATTCCCTGAGTATCCGAATTGATCAGGGGAAGTGGTGGAAACAGGAAGTTTGGGCTGCTGGGAATAGCAGGTGAGGAGTAACGCATCTCCTGGGAACGTGATGACCCTAAGATTTAAGTCAAATATGTGCTCTCAAAGTTGTCATTTGTGTGTATGGCCACCTACCTTCTCACTAATCCATCCACCATCCATCCATCTGTTCATCTGTCTGTCCATCCACTTATCTGAACTTATACTCAGTTTACTATCCAGTCTTCTCTCTTCCATGCATCCATCCATCCATCCATCTGTCCATTCATCTGCCCATCCACTTATCTGAACATATATCCAGGTTACTATCCATTCTTCTCTCTTCCATCCATCCATCCATCCGTTCATCCAGTTATCTGATCATATACCCAGGTTACTAACCATTCTTCTTTCATCCATCCATCCATCCATCCATCCATCCATCTGTCCAACCACTTATCTGAACATACACCCAGGTTACTATCCATTCTTCTCTCTTCCATCCATCCATCCATCCATCCATCCATCCATCTGCCCATCCTCTTATCTGAACATATTCCCAGGTTACTATCCATTCTTCTCTCTTCCATCTATCCATCCATCCATCTGCCCATATATCTGCCATCTAATCTCTCATCCATTTATACACCCATTACCCGTTTTAACCAGTCATCTGGATTTTACCCAATTACACCATTTATCCTGCAATTATCCAGTCTTCCACTGCACACCCATCCCCGTTTTTACCAATTCTCCATTTATTTGTCTGTCCATTTTCTTCTCTGTTCCTTAATGACCCTATCATTCATCACTCTCCAAAGAGAGTGAGGTTTATGCCACCCAGTCCAGAAGCTATTCTCCTTTCATGTTAAGAGAATCGATGTGGTCACTTAATCAGATGCCACTTTGTTTAATTGTCACATTATCACACCAGAACCACTGTTCCTGCCTGGACCCAGCCTCTGCTCCTCAAAGGAGTCAATTAGCCATCTGAGTGGCCACCTGACACATGATGTGCAGAGATGGGAGGAGACATGCCGAGCAATTTCTTTTATGCTGGGGCTGTTAATGCTGTGAAGTCTGACTAAGGGTTTCTGTCCACTGATGGTGCTTTTCATGCAATGCGTGTGGTTCTGTTCCTGTCTGAGTCCACCCTGAGTCTGCCTTTCTTCCACACCCTGAGACCCTTCCATGCAAATGTGCCTTTCCTGACAGCCAGGCTGGTGTGGATAGAGAAGAACTAGGCAGCCATGTAGAATGTGGTGGAAACATGTCTTCTCTGGAAACATCAGCCTTCACCCCAACACCAGGGAAGTGCTTTGAGCTTCACTGTCCTAGATGCCTTCCTGTGGGCTGTCCACAGGCCTCTCTCTGATGCCAAAGGGATTTGCTCAGATGAGAAAGAAACACCAAGGGGGCTGGGAGGGTGTGCAGACCTGAGAGGTGAGTTAGAATATCCAGGAGCTGCCACTCCCACCGCAGGAGGGGACCATGGGAGATGCAGGAGGGGACCATGGGAGACCCAGGAAGGGACCATGGGAGACCCAGGAGGGAACCATGGGAGATCCAGGAGGGAACCATGGGAGACCCAGGAGGGAACCATGGGAGATCCAGGAGGGAACCATGGGAGACCCAGGAAGCGACCACGGGAGACCCAGGAGGGAACCACAGGAAACCCAGGAGGGGACCCCAGGAGAGCCCAGGGCTGGAGATGTGGGTGAGGAGTAAGTGCAGGAAGGGGCTGACCATGACCATGGAGTCCTCTTCTCATTTCTTCCAGGCCCTCTTGGGCCTTGTTTCTAGGGCTCTGCACCCAGATCGATGGGAGGAGGACGGTGCCATTCACTGAAATAATAGGAATAGATGTGTGAGGGGGAGCTGGCAGGGTGGGAGGTAAAGACTCTGTCTGGGGAATCCACTCACTGAGGGGCACCTGGCCATGGCCTCAGATCCCGCCCTCCTGACACCCACTCTGTTCTACCGAGTTGAAGGTAGAGGCACCTTTCTCTTGGCAACAGGAGGTCCAGCGGGGCTTTTCCCATAATTGTAACCCCCACCCCGACACACACACACACAAGAATCCCTGATATCCCCAAATTTGGTCAAGATCTAAAGTTTGTTTTGCTGTACAACTACTTTTATTGGAGTTTTACTTGCTTCCAACAAGGGAGGCAAAATTTCCTGTTTCCATGACAATGGAAAGCAGGTAACTTCTTTATGGAGTTTGAGCTCACTCCCAGCAGGGAAGACAAGTTTGAGTTTTTTCCTGCCTCTGGGATGGTAGAGAGCAGTCTTGAGCCTGAGACCCATCCCTCAGTAAGTAGCTGAATTGGGGTCTTGTCTTGGCTTAAGTTTAACAACCGGCTGGTCTTAACTTATCTTTATCATTAGAGTCTTAACTTATCTTTACCATTAGGTGCTCAGTGATCGTATTATTAGTTTTTGTTGTTGTTTGTTCCGGTCTTTCTGTCATCAGATTTGACCAACTCTACCTGACTTGGTCAAATGCAAGTGAGAATTCCAAATTACGGGTAACAAAGCCTCTCTAATTTGGCTAAAATTTCTCACAGCTGAAAAAGAGGAAAAAACAAAATTCAAAAACCCAAAAAACTGTGTGCTTGGTTTCTGTGTTTGCTTCCTGCTTTAAAAAAACAAATGTTCTTTCTTTATTTTTCTTCTACTCTATAGCTCCTTCCTCCCACTTTGACATTTGCATACCAAAAATCTAGAGAAGGCTTCTAAGGACTTGAACCCCTTTAAAGAATTCAGAACAAAGGTGCCACTCACCCATTCTGGGGTGTTCTGTTTTCTTTATGGAGTTTCAAGAGTCATGGGCAGATTTTTCTTAGGCCTAAAGCTCTGTTTTCCTGTATTGCATGACCTGACCTCTTTGGCTTTGGGGGTAGCAGAGATGACCTTGTACTGTGAAAGGATTTGACCTTGGCGTGTGTAATGGCAGATGAGAGCTACAAAGTTAGGAGTGGCTGAGCAAATACAGGAAATGGTCTTGGCTGTTTTTTGTTTGTTTGTTTGTTTGCTTCTCCCAGGAAGTTGTTTAAGGATCCTAATTCTAGTTTGGAGATGCATTCTTAAGGGTCTTCTCTATTGCTTTTTCTCCCCAAATTAATCTAGATTCAGCTTGTCTGTGTGCATTTGCATGAGGAACTAAACTGTTGTTTTCATAGGTAAATAAACTGAGTTTTCTCAGCTCCAAGGAGAAGAGGCATTTTGCTCTTCCCAGCTGAAAGGCACCAATGGGTGACTGGAGGCCTCATAGAGGTGTCTGGGGTGTTGACTCCCCACGACATGCAGGGGCCCTACAGGGAAATCTCCAGTGAAAATTAATTTAATAAAAAGATTTATTCAGGAAATGCATAAAAGGGCTGATCACCCAGCATTTTGAGCCCTCTCAGAGGTCATAGACCTCTGGAGAGAGAGAAACTGAGACATGTAAGAGGGCAGAAATGACTCAGTGGTGACACACTGTGGTGTCCTGTCCACAAGTAGCACACATCGATCCACCACACAAAAAAGCTAGGCTACAGCTCAGTTCCTCCTTAAAAAAAAAAAGGGAAACAAATAAGAATGAGGAGAAACAAGGAGAATAGCCCCTTTGTGAACACTCTGTAGATTTTATGGCACCTCTACTGCCAGAGTTTATGTAAAATGGAAGTAATATGGTCTTTGTGCACATTTACATTAAGGAAAAAGAGCCCTAAGGTCAACCTGCAAACAATAGAGTTCCTAAGTTTTCTTTTTCTCTATTTTCTTTTCTGCCTACTTTAAATCTGATGCTATTTTTCTATTAAGATAAAAACCACTGTTTGGATCCAACAGGCATTTTTTTACAAGCTGGTGAATTTTTATTTATCTCATGGCTAAAGTTTTGAAGTAAAAGCTATAGGATCCTTGTGTGTGTATATATTTAAAAGGTCTTTATAATTTCTATAATTTTATGTTTAATTGGCAATTAAATCTATTTTGATTTCCCTCTAGCACACTTTTATTTTTTCTCCCTGCACATTATGAGGTAAATTTTGCTATTTGATTTTTACCTGAGTTGTTTCCTTTAATATACACATTTAAGGCTTATTTAGCTGACAACTGTCTAGAGTAGTGAAACAGGTTATCAATAATTTGAAAGTCTAAGATAGGAAAAAATGTTTTTATAAACCTATAAGATGTGCTTCTATGGGCATGCCTAATACATATATCTATTTATGTGTTGTGTGCAAAATGTTTCACTGCTGAAAATATATAAAAGGGCTCTAGTTAATTGGCTTAAGAAAATAAAAGCTCTTGAATCAAATACTTTATCAGGAAAAAAGAAAAGACGAGTCAAATGCTTTTTCAAGTTTATGTAACTTAAGTAAAATCTTAAATAAGCTAGCTTTAAAATTATTGGTAAAGTATAATAATATTATAAATATGTTACGAATTGCCAGCACACATTTTTGTTTGCATTTACTAATTCAGCAATTTCATACTTATCCCTGCCAAATACTATAAGGTGTCAAAATTTGGCATAAGGATTTCAAAACCATAAACCCAGCCCAAAACAGAGTGATGTCTGCTTATGTAATTTTTTAATAAATAAGACATTGCTATTGGTTTAATGAAAATAGCTACATCCAGAATTTAGTAAGATTGCCATAACTTGTAATCTGTGGCTTTAGGCAGTCTAGTCCACAGACAGTAAGGTTTATTTTGGGAAAGGACTGCTATTGTCTTTGTTTCAAAGCTAAACTATAAACTAAGTTCATCCCAAAGTTAGTTCGGCCTATGCCTAGGAATGAACAAGGACAGATTGGAGGTTAGAAGCAAGATAAAGCCAGTTAGTTCAGATTTTTTCACTCTCTCAGTTATAATTTTACAATGGCCGTTCCTTAACTTTAAATGATGACTATTGCAGTTTTCATAAATAATCTAGGTAAATGATTAAAATAAAATAATTAGATAAATGTAATGGGATAAATACTTGTAGACAAACTCATCATAATTTAGAATCTAAAGTTATATCAAATTAAATATACATTTCATTATTTGGGTATTTTCCAATAAAAATATATTTGTAGGAAAATGTTTTTTCTAAAAAAGTGCGTTCTTTTTAAAAAGGTGAATGATTTTTGTATAATTCGAAGCTTCTTTAAAGGTTATGTATAAAACAAGGTAAAAGGAACCAGGAAATGAGAAAAATGCAAAAAAAAGTTATAAAAAGAAAGGTGATTTTTTTGGTAATAAAGCTTAAAGAGAAATAATTTTGTATGAGAAGAATCTTGTATGGTAAATTTAGTCCTCAAATAAAATGACTGGTGTTTAAGAAAGAGGAACATTCAGGACACACCAGAAAGTCCAAGCTGTCATGAATGGTCTTTGTAAGTCACAGTAAGAGGATTTGTCAAAAAAGACCAAAAACTTTCAGATCAAGTTGTCTATTAATTAAAGGGAAATTATAATGGTCTTTATAGAGACTGGGCTTAATGTAAAAACCACATATAAGAACAATAAAATTTTCTTAAGGGATTGATTTACTCTTAATTAATTATAAGAGATTTTAATTTTTTTAACCCAAAGTTCAACTTTTATTGCATCTTGCCATTTTAGGTTTTCTCTTCCCTTTTAAAGGGTGAGAAATAGTAATACTCTCCTTCAACTCATTTTTAAGCTCATATGTTTTTTTCTTTGAGATCTGTTTGTTGTGGCCTGATGGTAACAATGTTTTCTTAAAGTTCCAAAGGCAATGTTTTCTTCCAACATACCATTCTGTGTAGTGCAGAAGGTCTTTTCTTTTGCCATTGGTAACTGGCCTAACAGATTTTACAGTTTATTGAAACAATTGCTATGCCATTATTATTGTTTTGGTCTGCTTAGGAAAAAAACTCAGATTAAAAGAATTTTTTTTAAATTAAGGTTATTACATCCCTGTATCTTTCTGTATAAGCTTTTAAAGTCCTTGTGACATTGTGTTACAGGGCTTTGACTCATCTAAAAAGGACACCAAGTCCTGATAAATCTTAAACACTGACAACAATTAAAGCCTCATCTTCGGGGCCAGTAGAAGATGCCAATCAAAATAAACTGCATTCCTGAGACACAGGGCCAGAAATTAAAGCTATTCAACTCCTAAAGGCCCAGGGACTATCATGGAAGAGGTGGGCATATGAGATTGTCAGGGCCAATTTTGAGAGATAAAATAAGTTCAGTTTTTGTATGAATTAATCATTAATGTCAAAGGCACACTGATGCAAGACCAGCATATAGGCCCCTGTGTCAGATTAACAAGGTTTTCTTGAAGCATTCACCGACTCCTTAATAAATGTTATAAAGGTTATAGAAAGCTTATAGAAGTTATATCTTATGGTCAATATTTAAATTTTATAGATTGTTTATAAAATTTTGAAAAACAAATTTAATTGGCTTCATACTGTTTTTATTAGGGCTTATTGCTTGGAAAATTAAGTCTCCTCTTTGAAAGAATAAAGGTTTTTGCCCTTTAAAAAAAAAATCCTTGAGTTATCACTTTGGTGTAATGAACGACTTATTTTAAAATGACCTGTGATATCAAGTGTCTATCAAGCCTTTGATATATGACAAACTCTCAAATTATAAATTATGCCTTTTTCTGACTTAATTAATCCTTTAAGATGTTAGGTTCCCTAAAGTCCAAAAATGACATAATTTGTTTTATTTGTCATAAAAATTATACAAGAAGCATTGTCAAATATGAAATGGTGTTGGTTTTCTTTGGGCTGTATTTGTATAAATATGTGTTCCAAAATTATGGGAAACGCCTACAATTCCGATATGACTTAGTGTACATTATCAGTAATAATTATAATTGTTATATTAAATTATTTTGTGCCACAGAGGTAACAAATTTCCTTGTCAATGTGTCTTTGACTATGGCTTCCCTAAAACTGTTGTCATCCATGGAAAACTGTTGTCTTGTTTTGGTCCTCTTTAGAAGGTGTTTTTATAATCAGGTATAAAACTCCAACAGGTGCTCTTGAATACAGATTTCTGATAACTTTGGAGACTGTGAAATCAGAACAGAGAAAAAACTTTCAGGACTCATGGGTAGCTGAAATGTTTATGAATATCAAGCAGAACAAGAATTTACTGCATGGACTGAACTAAGGGAAGACTGAAGTAAACTTTTTGAAGTGATTTTTTGAAGCTTAAACCATTGCTAATCCTTTGTTTTGTTTTTTCAGAGTCAAGAAAACTTTTCTTTTGAGCTATTGACAGCTTTTAACAATTTAGTATACTCCTATGAACAAAATTTGGAGCATATTTGTTTCTTTCTACCTGATTTCTCCAGAATTTAGAAACTATTTTTGAGTATTCTTAACTTATGGCAATACAGTTATTTGCATAAGTGCAATAAGAATCTGTTTTCACTTGTAACAGAAAACAATTGGAGAAACTAGTTATTTTACCAGGATTTTGACTGGAATGATGTGTTTTCCTTAAAGATATCAAAATTGACTTATGGAGCCAATAAAAGCCCCTTAGGGAAAACTAACCTCATGACTTGTCTGCACAGTCCCTGTACAGGGTTCCTCGCCTGTGGTAAGTAAAAAATGTCACTTTCTAATAGGCCCAGAAGCCCTGAGTTTATCTTAAGACCTCAGAAGGAGAGAAATTCACCCAACTCATAGGTATTTGATGGTAAAAATCCATGGCTGGGCTCAGCTTTAAAAAGGTCTTATCTGAGATTCCTTCTGTGGAGCAAAGTTCCATCAAAATTAATGTAAAAGCCAAATAATCGGGCCAAGTATAATAAAGCAAATCAGTCCTACCATGACTTGTCTTTAATAAAGATAAAAACTAGAGAGAGGAAAAAATATGTTTCAAAAACTATAGTACACCTGTTGTTAGATTCTAGACTTGCCTAATATTTTTCAATTTTTATTATTTTCTACAGTTTGGGCTGAATTCTAATTTTCTTGGCTACAGTCTTCAAAATAGTGTTTTCCATTTTTTCTTTCCTTTAGAAGGAAAAAAATACCCCCCATTTTTCCTAATTTAGAGTCACTAAAAACTAAGCTGTGCTTTCTTAAAGCCCTGTGAACTGAAGCCAGACAACTTAAACTTCAGAAAAAAATAACATACATATTTACATACATAAGCCACTTTCATACCTGCCTACTGATGTATAGACTTCAGAGTAATGCAGCCTATATAAATTTTCCAGGATTGTTCTTTTGTTTGTTGTTGTTTTCTCCCTTTATCCCCCTATTTTCTCTTCATAGGACATGAGACCTAACAAGCTACTAAAAATGAACTTTTCTCATAACTCAGGATGTACCAGTCTAGGAATAAACCATCCTAGCCAGGAGATATCAGATGAAACCTGAGACCAGAGACTCATTTTCTTCTAAAATACCTTCTTCAAAAGATTTTTAAAAAAGAAAAGGGGAGAAATGTGAAAGGAAAATAAATCTTGGGACCTCAAAAATCACTAAGCTAAAGGTCAAGCTGGGAACTGCTTAGGAAAAACCTGCCTCCCATTCTATTCAAAGTCACCACTCTGCTCATTGAGTTAAGTGCATATCTGATTGCCTCCTTTGGAGAGGCTAATTAGAAACTCAAAAGAATGCAACCATTTGTCTCTTCTCTACCTATGACCTGGAAGCCTCCTCCCCACTTCGAGTTGTCCTACCTTTCCAGACCCAAGCAATGTTCATCTTACATATGTTGATTGATGTCTCTTGTCTACCTAAAATGAATAAAATCAAACTGTGCTCTGACCACCTTGGGCACATGTCATCAGGACCTCCTGAAGCTGTGTCATGGGCACCTGTCCTCAACCTTGGCAAAATAAACTTTCTAAATTAACTGAGACTTGTCTCAGATATTCGGGGTTGACAACTCCCTCATTCACTCCCTCCCTCACTCCCTCCCTTACTCATTCATCTCACTAACTCATTCACTCATTTACTCTCACATTCTCTCACTCACTCATTCACTCACTCCCTCACTTATTCATTCATTTACTTATTGCTCATTCACTTACTCATTCATTCATTCAAAAACTCATTTATTCCCTCACTCACTCCCACACTCA